>NC_000006.12:27029696-27332727 GCF_000001405.40 Homo sapiens
GTGTTGGCCAAGCTGATTTCTAACTCCTGACCTCAGGTGATCCACCCGCTTTGGCCTCCCAAAGTGCTGGGATTACAGGCATGAGCCAATGTGCCCAGCCAGCTTTTCCATATTTAATATAAATATTTTGTATTCTAAATGCATAAATATATGAATATTTATGGATTTCCTATTGCCACTCTTTCTCTTCACTTTTACTCTGGCTTCTCTATTTCCTTGTGTATTTTGAATTTTTGAATGTGAGCATCTACCATTGCACCGTATCTGTGGAAATTCTCTAATACCTGGGTTGAAGTTTCATGCTTCAAAAAGGATTTTCTTTGCTTAAGGTATTGTAGACCATATAAAAAATAAAAATAAAACAAAATTTAAAATAAAAAACAAAAATCATGAAATCATATTAAGGCCAGTGTATTAGTTTACTAGGGTTGCCATAACAAAGTACCACAGTCTGGGTGGCTTAAACAATAGAAATTATTTTCTCACAATTCTGGAGGCTAGAAGTCTGGGATCAGGATTGGTTTCTTTTCAAGCTTCTCTCTGATTTATAGATGGTTGTCCCCTCCTTCCTGTATCTTCATGTGGTTTTCCCTCTTTGGGTGTCTGTGTCCTAATCTCTTTTATAAGGGGACATCATTTATATTGGATCAGAACCCATCTTAATAACCTCATTTTGCCTTAATTACTTTTTTTTTGAGTCGGAGTCTTGCTGTGTCACCCAGGCTGTAGTGCAGTGGTATGATCTCTGCTCACTGCAACCTCCGCCTCCCGGGTTCAAGCAATTCTCCTGCCTCAGCCTCCCAAGTAGCTGGGATTGCAGGCCCCCACACCATGCCCAGCTAATGTTTTGTGTGTTTTAGTAGAGATGGGGTTTCACCATGTTGGCCAGGCTGGTCTTGAACTCCTGACCTAAGATGATCCTCCCGCCTCGGCCTCCCAAAGTGCTGGGATTACAGGCATGAAGCACCACATCCAGCCCTTAATTACCTCTTTAAAGACCCTACCTATCTCCAAGTATAGTCACATTCTGAGGTACTGGGCATTAGGACTTCAACATGTGAATTTTGGGGAACATAATTCAGCCTGTAATAACTAGCTTATGCATACAAAAACTTACGGGGGAGATTTTTCTTCTCAAACAAGCAAATGAGTCAAGATAAGAAAGTTTCCTTTATATCCCCTTCTGTACAATAGGTTATCTTTATTCATTCTTATTCTACAATAATATCCCTTTGAAGTTGCAGATTTTTGTGGGATTCCCCTTTAAATTCTCTTTCTTTAGTGTTCCCTAATTTATCTTTATTCAACTATACACTATGTAGTTCCCAAAGCACAGACTTCAGGGGACTACAGTGTTAGGTAGAAACCTTCAGGGTAACACTTGTCTTTTGCCCTCATTTTCTTCCAAACTTTCTGATTTTACCTCTTTTGTGGGTCTTAAGGATTATCCCTTCTATACAAAGCCAAAAATGTATGCAAAAATACTTACATTTTTATCCAAAATTAGGCTGTTTCAATTTGGGGATTGTATACAGTATTTATTCCACAAAACATCAAGAAATATCTAAACTTATAAAAGAATTTCATTTAATTTAACCCAAAATTTTGGTTAGCACAATATAGAGGATGGTAAAGAGGATATAATCCATCTCATTGCAAGCACAGAAATACTAATTCTTATTGTTTTCATAGAATCCTGAAATAAGCATCTAATGCAGGCTTCCCTACCAATCTGGAGAATAAGTAGGGAATTCCCTCAATGACTCATAATTGTTCATTTGACTGTCTATCATTGCTCACATTGCAATTCCTGAGCCTCCACAGGCATTGAGATGTGACTACATGCTTTCCGCTTATCAGTACTCTCTTATTCTCACACTTCAGATTGCTGTTATGTTTTCCATCTCACTCTATTAGATGCATCTGCTCTCTGTTTTCAAAAAAATTACTAAAATATTTTACCTACCCTACTGCTATTCCATTATCCTTACCTTTTACTGCTGATTGCTTTTTAGTTCCATTACTACCATTTTAATGTGGATTATGAGGGGAAAAAAAGGAATAAATAAGTTTTTAGCCTTCTTCAACTGACAGGCCTTTAATTTTATAGACTAAAAGTAATAGTGGATAAAATTTAGTAATAAACTTAAAGAATATTATTTTTAAAGTATTTTTTGTAAATAATCAGGGCACATGTATTATTATATTGAAATTTTCCTAAGGTTGCAGTTTGAGTTTAACACGAAGAATAGTGCGGAATTACACTATTCTTCATATACAGAAACAAAAGTGAGACCTTTTATGTATTTTCTTTCCTGTCAGCATTATCTTGATTCATAAAGATGAAAAAGTCTGCATTTATGTCTTTTCTTATGGTTGTTTTCTGCCACAAATTCATGATATGCTTCATGCCAAGGGTCACACCTATCTTTGCCCGAATTTATGAAGAATTGATCATAGTGTCATTAGAAGCAATGTCATATCATTGTGGAACAACTATCCTTTCCTCAAGGAAATTATTGTCCTAAGAGATTGAAAATTAAACTAATAAAATGCAGGGTTATTTATTATTGCTATAGTGCTCTGACTAAAGAATGTTGGCTGGGAATGTTTTATGAGCACTGAGATACTGGCCTAAAGTCAGTAATTTCCATCTGATACTGACATTCCTTCAATGTCCAGACAGCACAGTGCCCAGAAACCCCAGGTCTACCCCAACTGTGCCAAAAGAAGTAGTACCCTGTAGAAGTAGTAGAAAACCGTAACATCACAATGCCTGCTCAGCCCTGAGGATTCAAGTCCATGTCAATACTTCACTTGCTCCTGTCTTAACTCACGCAACATTCCCCAACTCACCTCATACCTTCCTGTCTACACACACCTTCATCATGGCTTTTGATTTAAGTATTTATTGCAGCTAAGCTTCATTTCCTTATCCTTTGTGTCTAACCTGAGTCTGTATTAATGACTAAATAATTGATTCAGTATCATGATAGATCAGCCACTCTGCCAGACAATTTAGATTTTTTTTTTTTTTTTTTTTTTTTTTTTTTTTTTTTTTAGACAGAGCTCAGATAAAGAAAAGCTTTTGAGGACAGGTTTTTGTATTCCAGGAACACAGATGGAGAACAGTCTTTACCCTTGTATTTTCTCTCAAAGTCTTATTCATTCTGAAGTGAGTGATCAAATGGGAGTTATCCATCACATAGTTCTCCACGTAAACAGCTAGTTGCCTGATTAAATTATCTTGAGGAAAGGAATGTGTCCCAGTAAAAGTAATATTCCCTAGTCAACTTTGCATTTAGAGATGGCCAAGTAATATAATTTTACCAATCTATTCAAATATTTTATGGGGATGTCTGCAAAAGTTTTGTTTTCCTAAATTATGTATGTTTGTAGTCTCTCTTTATAATCTCTTTTTCTTTGTTACTTCATCCTTTTTCTCTGTACTTAGAATGTTGGTTAAATAACTGAGCAATAATTGTGCCAGCCAGAAGATAAAAGCCATATTACAGGAATGACGGAATGGGAGGCCAGAAAGAATCTTGTCTTTACAATTTCCTGGAACCCCTGAACAAGCCTTAGATTGCCTAGTACCAGGATTCTTCTTAAAATAAAAAGTAAATCTATTTTTAAAGCCTTGATTAAGTTAATACTCTGACATATGCAGGCAAAAGCAATCCCTAAAGTATACACCCTTAGTTCCTGGAGGAATCATTGCAGAAAGTAATTTCCCCCAGTTTCCTAGGTGAGCACTCCAGCATTTAGCAATGCAGACATCTCTGCTGATCAGCACAAAGGGGCTGAGACTGGCATAACCAAACATTAGAAATGGTTTAATAATTAATACAGCAGAATCATTTGTCAAGATGGAACCTATATAGAAGGAGAAAATAAAATCAGCCCAATAAAAGAAAAGGAAACAGGTCATGAGAATGAAAGTACTTTAAGTAGCTCTGACCTCTGGGCTGGAATTATTTGCAAACCTGGAGCTCTGAAGGTAGGAGACACAATTGTGATATTTATACAGATGATAAGCCACGTACCCACTGCTCCAGCCCATGAGACTCTGAAAGATGATATCCCAAAGAGCCATAAGAGTGAGAAAAACCACCTAACTATTTGCTTAGATGGTAGCATATAGCAACAACTAATATGTGGTCTAATTTCAGACCTATTCATGCTATTAACTGCTCTAATGTAGTAGAGCAAGTTGGAGCTTATCAGAACATTAAAGATCCAAAAGAGGAAGAGATAAGGAAGAACTTGCCATGCAATCCGTAGTTTGAGCTTTCTCCACAAGGTGGTCCTGGGACTGATGGTGATGGCCTGGACCATGCTGAGGAGACAGGTGGTGCAGATGGAAAGGCCCCAAGCAACCCTCCCTAAATAAACTGAAGTTTTACAACCAACATTACCTAGGAAGTTTCTGAAATTAAAAACTGCAGTTATATTTCTGCTACTTATGCTATAAATAATGATTACATTTGAGAAAACCAAATGAAGAAGGATAAGTTCTATGTGCTTTTTCTCAGAACTCATGACAAAAGAATATACATGTCTTATAAATATAAGGAAGTTTCCCACAAATCCAGGTCCAGTAAGGAAAAGGAAGACTATTCCCTGGATGAGGTTACTCTAAATCATTTTCTGACATCACGGACAGAGCCAGAAAAAAAACTTTTGAGAAGCACAAATAAAGATGACATATTTCAGGTCTGTGGCTTTTATCTGTGTTAATTTCAGTGAAAAGACCAGTTTCAATTATGAAATATATAAGTGTACATGATTCTGTCCTAGCAAACCCCTCATCTCATTTTTTGATCTCTTTCTTCTTTTCTTCTTGCTGCTATTGATACAGAGATAACTACAATTTAAACATAAACTCCATACTCATACACATTCACCTGCCTTTCGAAGAGATCCTTCTATGTATTCCTCATGTCTAAAATTTACACAACAATTTATCCCCAGACAAGAGCTAAGCAAAGGGCAACATCACTTTGTCAATTTCTAAGCCATGATCCTGGGTATCATCTTCCATGTCTCCTCCCTTTCATTATGTACATTTGATAAATTACCTTGCTCTAGTGGACTGCATTTCTGCCCCACTTAGATCCTCTTTACCAGCCTGTAGACAGTCATCCCTCAAATGAGGAGCAAACCAAGAATCACAGCTTCTCCAAAGAATTGTACTTGGCCAAATGAGAGGAGTTTCACAGGAAAGGCCATGTGGCTTACTCCTCTCCCCAAACCCCGTGGGTAGACCTTGGCCAATAACTAACACGGAAGTAGGGGAGTAGAAAAGTCCAGCCCCTTGCCTGAAGGTGGGACTAACTCCATGGCAACATTTGTCCTCCCAATCTTCCATGTGGATGGGATCAGATGGAAGCTAATTATTTTTTCTCCTGCCTATCCTGTTTTACTCTCCACTTCTCCTGAGAACACTTGTAGTGAACCCTTATAATTTTATGTTGCCTCACCATCCATTTAAAATATAAGTTAGACCTTCTTATACTAGCAGGGTTCAGTCACCCTTGACACAGTTTCCAGCTCTATCTATCCCCTCCCCATGCCCAGTTCCTCAATGTGGTTTCTCCAGATATCTGCTTTATTCAACTGCTCCCCAGTGACCACCTCCCGATGGGACAGCTAAATGCAGCCTGTTTCACTGGCACCACTGACCCTCACACCTCGCATAGACTGTACAGATATGCCCAGTGACCACCTTTCAGTCACTATGACTTCATCTCCTGGAATTCTTTCCTACCTGCTTTAAACCCATCAATTAAAACTCTCCAAAAAAAAAAATCTGTTTAGATAACACCCTGGACCCAATAAAGGCATTGGTCCACAGGTGTCTTTCTCTCTCTCCCTTCCTTTGCTCCCTGATCTTTGTGTGTGTGAACTCCAGGTGTACCATGTATCCCTCAGAAGTATAAGAACCAAAACTTCTTACACTTTCACACTGTGGTTGTGTCATTGAAGCCATGCCTGCAATCTGACTCCTGACAGGAAGGCTGCCGAAAGGGACCCATGCAGGTGGATCACCTGCTGGTGCTCTTTTGTCCAGGCTTCTAGTGGCTGCTGGGGACAGTGGCTACCAGCTAAGTTGATGGAGAAACTCTAAGGGTTTCATTCAAAAAAGCACTCCTCCAATAAATCATCAGAAAGAATCTCCATCTCAGGGTCTGGTTCTACGGACTCCAGGCAAAGACACATGTATTACTGATTCTATCTTCTGACTGTTGTCAAACCTAGCAAATTTCTCAATTAGAAATGCCCCATCCTGTAGGTCAAACCACTCTAATAATTCACATTGTGATTTGTATAACCACTTTATAAATGGTATCTCCTCTTCTGTTTATTCTCCTATGTTATAGTCAGAATGAGCTTTTTAAATAGAAATATATTCCTTTTGCTTTCTTCTTGTTTTTTTTGTTTTGTTTTGTTTTGTTTTTTCTAATACTCTAAGTTCTGGGATACATGTGCAGAACGTGCAGGTTTGTTACATAGGTATACATGTGCCATGGTGGTTTGCTGCACCAATCAACCTGTCATCTACATTAGGTATTTCTCCTAATGCTACCCCTCCCCTTGCCCCTGACCCCCCAACAGGCCCCGGTTGTGATGTTCCCCTCCTTGTGCCCATATATTCTCATTTTTCAACTCCCACTTATGAGTGAGAACATGCAGTGTTTGGATTTCTGTTCCTGTGTTAGTTTGCTAAGAATGATGATTTCCAGCTTCACCCATGTCCCTGCAAAGGATATGAACCCATTCTTTTTTATGGCTGCGTAGAATTCCATGGTGTATATGTGCCACATTTTCTTTATCCAATCTATCATTGATGGGCATTTGGGTTGGTTCCAAGTCTTTGCTATTGTGAATAGTGCTGCAATAAACATATGTGTGCATGTGTCTTTATAGTAGAATGATTTATAATCCTTCGGGTATATACCCAGTAATGGGATTACTGGGTCAAATGATATTTCTGGTTCTAGATCCTTGAGGAATTGCCACACTGTCTTCCACAATGGTAGACATTGTGATGGAGTCTTGCTCTGTTGCCCAGGCTGGAGTGCAGTAGCAGGATCTCAGCTCGCTGCAAACTCCGGCTCCCGGGTTCAAGCCATTCTCCTGCCTCAGCCTTTTAAGCAGCTGAGATTACAGGCACGTGCCACCACACTGGCTAATTTTTGTATTTTTAGTAGAGACAGGTTTCACCACGTTGGCCAGGCTGGTCTCGAACTCCTGACCTCAAGTGATCTGCTTGCCTCAGCCTCCCAAAGTGCTGGAATTACAGGTGTGAGCCACTGTGCCTGGCCTGCTTTGCTTCCATATAGCTTCACATGTCAACCTTAACTCTATTTGTCCTTCACAATTTGACATCATTTCCTTATCAAGCTTATTTTTGAATTACTTTCAACTCTCCTCAAACAAGAGTAAGATTGGAACTTACCTTGCCAGAAGAATATGCATAAGCTCCCTAAACTGATCTCTTGCCCAACCACTGCCCTTCACATAGCTAATTGCAACCCATCTGTCACAAAGCAGCTTAGAATTGTGTTGTCTAGTACACTTTCCTGGAGCCCATCAGTCTGTGTTGATTGTTTGTTTCCTTCCTCCAGTTGATAGTGGGAACACTTCAGCGATACTGCCTTTCTGTCTAGTATCTAAGTCACCCAGCATCATGGTGCCTACTATTACATGCTTAAAAAATTGTTTACGAATAAATTGTTAGATGAGGCTTATGGTTGTAAAACTGCACATTAATCACAGAAATGAATTTACAAGGCAATTTGGAGAGAGATTTGAGTTGGCTTTATGTTTCCTTATGAATGTCAAAACTGAACGCATGGAGGAGTCAATCCACTTTGGATGATACATTCAGTAGCGACTTTAGTGTCTCCTCAGATGTATAAATAAGTCAAAATTCAAGACTTCCCTTGATCCAGAGAATGACATGGACCATTATTTGAGAGACATAAATTATGTTCAATTTTCACATGTCACATCTCCGTATTGACCTGCTTCTGACTGAATTTTTTTTTAGGATATACTTTTCCGATATCTTAGACACCAATAACAGATTTTGGAATATGAAAATTGTCTTTGCTTTCCTGAAGAGCATCATACCTAGATGGGAAAAGCTACATGCTTATATTTACTCTGGGAGCTATTGGTGAGAGAGAGAGAAAGAGAGAGATTCCTTTATATATAAAATATTTAAAATATATTTATATATAATATATATTATATATAATCTTTTAAAAATGTATATATAAATATATTTTAAATCTTTTCACACAGATGACATTTTGTTGATCCTTAAATGCTGAAAATTTAGAAATTTGTGAAATTTGTGAAATTTAGAAATTTGTGAAAGCTGTCTAAAATATATAAATATATTTTATATTTTAAATTATAATATAATATTTATATATTATATATTATTATATATAACATATTATATATAATACATATTATATTTCCAGCTTCACCCATGTTATTATATATATTATATATATTATATATATAATATATATAATATATATTATATATATAATATATAACATATTATGTTATATATTACATATATATTATGTTATATATAATACATATTATATATAACATATTATATATAATATATATATTATATGTTTTATATATATATTATATATATAAATATATACGTATTATATATAATATGTATTATATATATTAAAATATATTTATATACATTTTAGAAAGCTTTCACAAGCTTATTTTCAGCATTTAAGGATTAACAAAATGTCATCTGTGTGACTCTAATCACATCATTGTTTCCTCTAGAAAATGGTGGGGAGGGGCAGATATTCCAGATGCTTGAGCAGTATCATTAAATCTGAAAAGTAAAACAGTTCAGGGTTCATAGGAATAAGCTTTGGAATAAGCCACTCTGTGTTTCAAATCCTGGCTTTCCCAATTCTCAATTCCTATCTGTATGACCTTGACCTCTCTGAGGCCCAATGCTCTCTAAAATAGAAATGGTGCTTTGTGCTATACAGGCCTATTGTGAGGATTAAATGAGCTGATATAGGTAATGCTATGTCAGTGCCTAGCAAGTATTCAAAGAACCATTTTCTAAAAGCAACTGTTTATGTTATTATGTGTCCCCATGCCAGCTTTTTTTTTCCAATTCTCTATAATTACATATTATGTTATATTTTGGAGCTGAAAAAGGAAAAATTCAGAAAAAATGAAATCTTAATAAAGAAGGCAAGAGTACTCCATCCTGAAAAGACTGAAGGACAGGAGAAATTAGATACACAGCTTAAGCAAAAATTCCCCCTGCTAGGAGAGAAAGTGCACAAATGCTGAGGGAAGACTGCAGAGGATAAGTGCTCCCACACATCCAGGCTGACATGTCACTGATGTCTGATGTCACCTATACCTCTCTTCCTTGTATAAGAAGGGGCAGCTCCAGGCACAGTGCATCAAACACTGCTGTACAATGGCTCTGGCTCCCTTGTGGACCAGAAAGAAGCAGATGTTTCTGGTTGGGAGTTGGGAAATGATCAGCCACCTTCTCCCTGGGCCCTGGCACCTTCCTCTTCCACAAGTGACAAAGGACCTCAGACTCTTCTCTTTCACTGTCTACCCCTGACCAGCTCTGCCCTGGACAGTCCCCTTCCAAAGCCAAAGGCAGCCCCAATCCACAGTTGTCAGGTACACTCACCTGGGGAGTCTGTGCAGCATGCCTCTGGGTGGCTGCTCTGGCAGAGCAGCACCAACCAGGGCCTGTTTATATTTCCCCAAGTCCCAGTGCTCATGGGCAACTCTCACTGGTGTCACAATGTCAATATCATAAGTTTTGGCTTTGCAAGGGAAAAGGGGTCCTTCTGCATGATGTCAATCCCTGGGTACAACTCTGCATTCTCCCTGCTGCTCCATAATTTGCTGAACCCAGAAACATCTTGATCCTAATTATAGTAAATGTGCAGTAACAAGTAGAAGGCACTGTAATGAGGAACAGTTTACTAAGGAGCCTGGGTTTCTTGATTTTTATTTTATTCTCATCCCATCTCCTCCATTCACCACCAAAGCTCAGGAACCAATTTGGAAGAAACATCTGAGAATCTTATCACTTTCTGAACATTTTAAAAGTATACTCTACATTAATAATGAAAGATCATCAAGTGCTAGAATCAAGGGCTACCGTTGGGGTATGGTGTCTAGAACATGGCAGAAGGGGGGCTTCTGGGGTGCTAGTATTGTCTGTTTCTTGATCTGAGTGCCGGTTGTATGCAAATGAATTAGTTTATACAATTTATTGAGATATTCACTTGTGATTTATTCATTTCTTTGTAAGTATATTTCTTTTAAAAGTTTACTGCCAAATAAAATCCACTGCCACTGCCTCCAGCAGCTCATGTTCTGGAGCCACAGCCTAGATCTAGCTGAGTAGGTTGTGTGCAGCCCTGGCTATCAGAGTTAAACATTCGTGCTGGGTCCCTAATACTATTTCCAGATATGGTTCCATTAGAAAATAAATGTATTCAAGGAGAGGAAGGCAGCTGATTTTGATATCCACCAACCAGCAATGTGGCCTAGCTTAAATAATCATTCTCTGGTCTCCATGCATACCCTTCCCTTCTGAGGGGGCAGTATAGTTCCTCCTGCGAAGGAATGTGCTGAAGTGAGTGGAAGTGGCTGAAACCTAAAGTTCAAGTAAATATTTTTCTAGCCACAAGAGCATTGTTCTTGTGTCAGCTGAGTTACGTAAGTGGTAGTAAAAAAAAATGAGGGAAGAGGGGAGAACTTCTAATCCTGTCCAGAAGAACTGACCTGGGAGTCCATGTTGAGGCTCCATGCCTCCAGCCTCACATTCTGTAGGTCAGATGTTCAGTGGTCTTGGCTGGTTTTTCTGCTTCAGTTGTTAGAAGGCTGAAGTCAAGGTGTTGGCTAATTTGAGATTTATCTGGAGGCTCCGGGGGGAATCTGTTTCTAAGCTTAATTAGGCTATTGACAGAATTCAGTTCCCTGTGTTGGTAGAACTGAAGTTCACTTTTTTCTTGCTATTAGCCAGGAACGTCTGTTATATCCTTTAGGCTGCCTGTATTCCTCATCATGTTGGCCACTTCTTCAAAGAATGAACGATGCACGAAGAATCTTTCTGACTTCCCTTTTTGTCTCATCTCTTGCTTCTAAACAGAGAAAGTTCTGTTTTTAAGAATTTATGTGATTACACTGGGCTCATCCTGATAGTTTCTTTATGGTTAAACTAAGGTTATGAGTTTGTGGGGAGAATACCACAGAGGTAAAGTATCCTTCTCATCACATCTGTTACGGACTGAATTGTCCATATGGGGAATTGTCTTTCCACAAATTTCATATGTTGAAATCCCTACCTTCAATGTGATGGTATTTGAGGGCGGGGCCACTGGGAGGTAAGCATTTATGGCATTAATATTTCAAATGTCGAGATGATTTTGCAAGATATCCCTCAATTTTACCCTCATTTAACATATGGTTCTCTGGATTTTTAGCAGACTCCTTGAAGGGGCTTTTTCTTTCAACCCATTCAAATCATCTAAGTGGAGTTATAAGATCAATTTAATAAGCTTCTAGAAATAAGAGCAAGGTGGGAAGATACAACAGAGTGAGAAGAGAGAAGAGAGGGAAAGGGAGAGAGAAAGGGAGAGGGGAAGGGTTGGTGGAGAGAGAGAATCAAAGTTGTCCACAGAAGTTAATAAAAAGGGAATCGAAAAGAGAGTCTGATGGTTGTTCTGTTCTCCTACTATGAAAGGTAAAATGAAATCTTATGAAAGACTTAAGTTCAGAAATCTAGACACATACATCAAGGCACAAATTCAAAGAATTAGATAGTGAAACAGGAATCTACTGGGAGTCAACAAATTTTGGTCCTAAGGAATGGATGCAGGAGTTTAAATACTAGTTTTAAATGCTAGGGTAAGACAGTTTTAAATCATAATCATAACCCCTCAAATTTTACTGGTTTATTGTCAGATGCTTTTTTTCCCTTGACTATATTCATGCATTCTTTATATGTCTACATAATAATCTGGTTTCACAATTATTTTAAACAGCTGCTTTTTCAGTTAAAACCGGTTTGTTTTTCATGATCATGTTGATGGCTTCCTAGCAGTCAATAGAGTGGTCATATAATTTCCCTTTTAGTCATTGTTCTATTTTTAAAGTTTTGATTTTAGGATAATTAATTGGCTAAGGCTTGGCACCCCTTATAGATTAATTTTAGCAACTGATAATTTTAAAAATTAAGATATAGTTGGCAAAAATTGTACATATTTATGGAATTACAATACGATGTTTTGGTATATGCAAGCCTTGTGAAATGATTAAAAGTGACTGACAATTTTGTTTTCAAATTTGTTGTTTCTTTTCACAATATTACTGCTAAAGCTTGAGTAATCTAGATTCTCTGGTATCCATGTACAATCTGGTTCCACAATTATTTTAGTGTTTTACATTTGCATAACAATAGAGTATAGGTTACATATGTATAAATATCTGAGATCTCTATCTATTTAGGAGAATATTTGAAGATTCTTCCCCAAAATTTCAAATAGTTTTCCAATTACATTGTCTTCTGTTTTCAACCTATTATCTTTAAAATTATTTAAATTTTTCCAAACTCTTCTTTTAAAAAAACAAATATTTTCATATACCTGTTTCCTATTTGTATGTTGTCTTTGGAAAAATGTTTAGTCAAGTCTTTGCCCATTTTTAAATTAGGTTGTTTGTTTTTTCTATTGAGTTGTATCAGTTCCTTATATATTTGAATATTAGCCCCCTGTATGGTTTGCAAATATTTTCTCCCATTCTGTAGGCTGCCTTTTCATATTATTGATTGTTTCCTTTGATGTGAAGAAACCTTTCAGTTTGATGTAGTCTCAAACTACGGTTTGTAGTTGAGTTGTTTATTTTTGCTTTTATTGCCTGGAGTTTTGGTGTCATTTCCATAAAATTGCCAAGATCAATGTCAAGGAGCTCTTCCCCTGTTTTCTTCTAGCAGTTTTACAGTTTCAAGTCTTATATTTACATCTTCAATCCATTTTGAATTGATTTTTGTGTATGGTGTAAGATAAGAGACAAAGTTCATTCTTTTGCCTATGGCTATCCAGTTTTCCTAACAACATATATTTGAAGATATTATATTTTCCCAGTCAGAAAAATGCAAATCAAAACCACAATGAGATACTACCTCACATTTGTTTGCATGGCTATCAAAAAGTGGAATGACAACAAGTGTTGGTGAAGATGTCAAGAGAACCTCTATACAGTGTTGGTGGGAATGTAAATTGGTACAGCCACTATGGAAACAGTATAGAGATTCCTCAAAAAATTAAAAGTAAAACTACCATATGATCCAGCAATTCCACCACTGGGCAGATATCCAAACAAAAAGAAATCTGTATATCAAAGAGATATCTTCACTCCCAAATTCATTGCAGCATTATTCACAACAGTCAAGATAGGAAAACAACCTAAGTATCAATTTACATATATATAATGGAATATTATTTAACCTTAAAAAGAAAGAAATCCTGCCACATGCGACAACATAGATGAACCTAGAGAACCTTCTGCTAGGTGAAATAAGCCTGACACAGAAAGATAAATACTGCATGATCTCATTTACATGTGGAATTTAAAGAAGCTAAATTCATAGAAACAGAGAGTAGAACAGTGGTTGCCGGGGGCTGAGGAAAGGGGACAATGGGGGATTTCAGTCAAGAAGTACAAACTTTCAGTTATTAGATGAATAAGTTCTGGAGATCTAATGTACAGCAGGATGATTGTAGGTCATAATGTGTTGTATACTTGAAGTTTGCCAAGAAAGTAGAACTTAAGTGTTCTCATGACACACACAAAAAGGTAACTGTGTGGTTTGATGGGTATGTTAATTAGCTTGATAGTGGTAATCACTTCACAATGTATACTTATATCAAAACCTCACGTTGCACACCTTAAATATATACAACTTTTACTTGTCAATTATATCTCAATAAAGCTGGAGAAAAATTAAAAAACAAAATTTTATTATGGCATTATTAAAACACACTGAAAATTAGAGAGAATTGTAAAAAATAAAAATAAAAATCTGCAAACTCTTCTCAGCTTCAATAGTACCTTACATTATCTGACCTCACCCATAGTTCTCCTCCCTACCTACTTTTTCCAATTCCTTTCTTTGGGAAAATATTCTATCATTAAGAAACTGAAACACAGCAGGACCTTCTGCACATCCTCTAGAGCAGTTACCACCTGTAAATCTCATAGTCCTGCTAGCAAATATATACAGTCTGATTATTTTATGATGAAGAAAAAACAAACTGCATTGAGGAAAAGGAAATCTGAACATATTACTCTTTGATGAAACACTTGGTGTCACAGAAATAATGAGTGATCTCTGGAAAGCCAATATTTTCCTCTCAGATGAAGGTATCATTGTTATGGTATCACTTTTAGTAAAAATAATATATGGGTGGCATTTTTATTGTAATGCAATAAGGCCGCATGCTTTTATACCTACAGATGGTGATTCCAGCTGATTGCAGATTGTTTGTGATTCCAGCTAGATGGAAGTGGATTTTAAAGGTGTAGGATCAAGCTAAAATATAAAGTTGGACCAGGTCAGATTTATTGATACGGGAACATTAAGCAGAGATTATGAATTCAATTTAGCTTGAGGGGTTAGGAATGGCTCTAAATTTTGCTAGGCTAGTTGTCTGAAAAAGGGACCCAAATTGGCCTGCAATAAATGAAGCCAAAACTTCAGAACCTACTTAGGATACTGTAGAGGGACTTCTCCAAAGTCTATGAGTGATTGAAATGCTAAAGATAATTTATGGTGTAAAATCTGCTCATCCAAACCAGGAGACTACAGCTGTGACGAATTCATGAGGATAGCCCCAGCACCAGAGCTCTGTGGTGGATCTTCCCTCTTAGATGGAATCCCTAAACACAATGGGATGATTTGATCCTAAGGTGACAGGGGCCAAGAGGAGGCACTTAACCACCAAAGACAAGGTGAATATGGTTACCATAATGATCAGTAAACAGAATAGTCTGACCCAGAGAGATCTTTGGCACTCACCAGTTGATCATGGTGTCTGTGGACCAAATCTACTAAAGTTTTGTTGGATCTGTAGAAAGGGAACATCCCTAATCTAGTAAACAGAAATCTGATTTGAAACACTAGAACAGATAATCAAACAATTCCCACATTTATCACAATTCCTGTGATTTAAATCAGTTCACAGATGTGTAACCTCTTGAATGAAGGGGAAGCCAGGTCCCCACCCCAGCTACACTGCCAAAAATGTGTACTGTTAATCTATCTTCCACCCTTCCACAAAGGGACCTGCAGTCATTTACTAGTGAGAGGTGACAGCCTGCTGGCAGCCCTCACAGCCCTCGCTCACTCTCGGTGCCTCGTCGGCCTTGGCGCCCACCCTGGCTGGGCTTGAGGAGCCCTTCAGCCCGCCGCTGCACTGTGGGAGCCCCTTTCTGGGCTGGCCAAGGCCAGAGCCGGCTCCCTCAGCTTGCGGGGAGGTGTGGAGGGAGAGGCGCGGGTAGGAACCAGGGCTGCGCGTGGTGCTTGCGGGCCAGCACGAGTTCCGGGTGGGCGTGGGCTCGGCAGGCCCCGCACTTGGAGCGACCCGCCAGCCCGCCGGCCCCAGGCAGTGAGGGGCTTAGCACCTGGGCCAGCAGCTGCTGTGCTCAATTTCTCACCAGGCCTTAGCTGCCTTCCTGTGGGGCAGGGCTCGGGACCTGCAGCCCGCCATGCCTGACCCTCCCCCGCACTCCGTGGGCTCCAAGCCTCCCCGACGAGCGCCGCCCCCTACTCCACGGGCACCCAGTCCCATCGACCACCCAAGCGCTGAGGAGTGCGGGTGCACGGCGCAGGACTGGCAGGCAGCTCCACCTGCGGCCCCAGTGCGGGATCCACTGGGTAAAGCCAGCTGGGCTCCTGAGTCTGGTGGGGACTTGGAGAACTTTATGTCTAGCTAAGGGATTGTAAATACACCAATCGGCACTCTGTATCTAGCTCAAGGTTTGTACACACCCCAATCAGCACCCTGTGTCTAGCTCGGGGTTTGTGAATGCACCCATCGATACTCTGTATCTAGCTACTCTGGTGGGGACTTGGAGAACCTTTGTGTCCACACTCTGTACCTAGCTAATCTAGTGGGGACGTGGAGAACTTTTGTGTCTAGCTCAGGGATTGTAAACGCACCAATCAACACCCTGTCAAAACGGACCAATCAGCTCTCTGTAAAATGGACCAATCAGCAGGATGTGGGTGGGGCCAGATAAGAAAATGAAAGCAGGCTGCCCGAGCCAGCCGCGGCAACCTGTTGGGTTCCCTGTTTAGGCTGTGGAAGCTTTGTTCTGTTTTACTCTTTGTGCTGAATTTTGCTGCTGCTCATTCTTTGGGTCCACACTGCGTTTGTGAGCTGTAATGCTCACCGCGAAAGTCTGCAGCTTCACTCTTGAAGCCAGCGAAACCACGAACCTACCCGGAGAAAGGAACAACTCCAGATGCGCCGCCTTAAAAGCTGTAACACTCACGCGAAGGTTTGCAGCTTCCATCCTGAGCTAGGAAGACTACGAGCACATCCGGACATCATGAAGGAACAAACTCCAGACCTGTCACCTTTAAGAACTGCTCACTGCGAGGGTCTGTGGCTTCATTCTTGAAGTCAGTGAGACCAAGAACCCACCACTTCTGAACACACTAGGATGCCATGTAGTGGGGAAGGAAACTCAATTGAACTTTTCAGATGTTAGTGAACAGTGGCTCTGAATTGACATGAACCAATGGAAACCTGAAATGTCACTGAAACACTAGCGTAGGGATTTAATAAGGTCAGGCGATGAATGCAGTTTTCTCTCAGCTTCATGATTTCTTATGAAAAATCCAATGTTATTTGAGAAACTTTGTTTTCTTACAAGTAGTCCCAGGCCACTTTAGAGGTTTTTTTCCTTTGGTTTAATTTTCAGAAATTTATAATGTGTCTCGGTATGGATATTTCTGGGTTTATCCTGCTTAGCGTTCTCTGAACTTACTGAATTGGGAGGTTTATGTCACCAAATTTATAAAAGCTTTCAGCTCCTTTTTCTCGTCAAATCTTAGGCGCCGGGCGCGGTGGCTCATTCCTATAATCCCAGCACTTCGGGAGGCCGAGGCGGGGGGATCACGAGGTCAGGCGATCAGGACCATCCTGGCTAACACGGTGAAACTCCGTCTCTACTAAAAACACAAAAAAATAGCCGGGCGAGGTGGCGGGCACCTGTAGTTGCAGCTGCTCTGGACGCTATGGCAGGAGAATGGCGTGAACCCAGGAGGCGGAGCTTGCAGTGAGCCAAGATCGTGCCAATGTATTCCAGCCTTGGCAACAGAGCGAGACTCCATCTCGGAAAATAATAATAATAATAATAATAATAATAATAATAATAAAGATTTTACAGGCAATAGATGTAGAGTTCATCTTTCTAGTTCTATTTTACTGGTAACAAAATACATGGAAGTCAAAGGCAGTGCATGTGGTTATTAGCCACATCAATGTGTTCTAAAATTCAGTATTTCCAGTTTCTATTCCCTGCTTCCCACTCCTTTAGATGTGCAACAATTTTAATTATGTTTATTTTTAATTATTTTCTGATTAAGATTGTAGATTTAAGTTTTCTCAACTCAATTTTGACTTTTCAGAGAGAAGTACAGAATAGCACTTATTTGGACAACTCAAATTCCAGGGTATCCTTAGTTATGTGCCACTGTTGTACCTGAGCGAGTTAGAGAAAACGCCACACTTTGAGACGAATTAAGAGTCCGGTTATTTAGCCGGCGGCCAAGAGACGGCTAATGCTCAAAATTCTCTAGGCCCTGAAGAAGGGGCTAGATTTTCTTTTATACTTTGGTTTAGAAAGGGGAGGGGGATCTAGTTAAAAGAATTTTACAGAAATAAAGTAGGCAAAAAGTTAAAAGGATAAATGGTTACAGGAAAGTAAACAGTTCCAGGTGCAGGGGCTTTAAGACTATTACAAGGTGACAGACTCGGGGCTTTGGGCGTTATCAATCAGATGAATTCCTAGGAATTCCGGATATAGCTTGCCACAGTATCTTATCAGTTAATTGCATTCTTGGGTGTGCTGGGAGTCAGCTTGCACAAGTTAAGTCCTTGAGGAAGGGGCTGCCAGTGAAAGAGCCAAGATGGAGTGAGTCTGGCTCTCTTAGCTAAGGGAGAGTCAATTCAGGTGGAAACAAGGCTAGGTGATTAAAGGAAAAGGGAGAGTCTAAAAAGGTTAGTAAAAACAAGGTTGGGCATTACATCACTAGTTACACATCTCCTATTTTCTTTTTTTTTTTTTTTTTGAGATAGAGTCTCGCTCTGCCGCCCAGGCTGGAGTGCAGTGGCGCAATCTCGGCTCACTGCAAGCTCCGCCTCCCGGGTTCACGCCATTCTCCTGCCTCAGCCTCCTGAGTAGCTGGGACTACAGGCGCCCGCCACCAAGCCCAGCTAACTTTTTGTATTTTTTTAGTAGAGACAGGGTTTCACCGTGTTAGCCAGGATGGTCTCGATCTCCTGACCTCATGATCCGCCCGCCTCGGCCTCCCAAAGTGTTGGGATTATAGGCGTGAGCCACGGCGCCCAGCCCTCATGTCTATTCTTAATACTCAATAATATTTTCTTCAGTATTTTTATTTTTTAGAGACAAGGTCTCTGTCACCCAGGCTGGAGTGCAGTGGCATGATCATTGCTTACTGCAGCTTTGAACTCCTGGGCTCAAGGGATCCTTCCACCTGAGCCTCCCAAGTAACTGGGATTATAGGCGCATACCATCATGCCTAGTTAATTTAATTTAATTTTTTTTTTTTTTTTTTTTTTGGTAGAGATGAGGGTCTCACAAAATTGCCCAGGCTGGTCTTGAACTCCTGGGCTCAAGCATTTCTCCCACCTTGGCCTCTCAAAAGCTGGGATTACAGGTGTGAGCCACCATCTGGCCCATGATTCAGTTTTTGTTGTTGTTGTTGTTTTGAGATGCAGTCTCACTCTGTCACCCAGGCTGGAGTGTAGTGGTGCCATCTCAGCTCACTGCAACCTCTGCCTCCCAGGTTCAAGCAATTCTCTGCCTCAGCCTCCCAAGTAGCTGGGATTACAGGCGCCTCGCTAATTTTTTCATTTTTAGTAGAGACAGGGTTTCACCATCTTGGCCAGGCTGGTCTCAAATTCCTGACCTCAGGTGATCCACCCGCCTCGGCCTCCCAAAGTGCTGGGATTACAGGCGTATGATTCAGTTTTAATATGTCATTCTTACTATTATTTCCAGATCCTTATATTTTTTTCCTTTTGAGTCAAATACCAACACTTACTTTGTCTTACTTTCTATGTTAGATACTAGGAAAAGGCTGCCACAGAAAAGTTATGAGACTGAGATAGATAGCATGCTCCTTGCCTTCATGTAAGCCACAGTGATATGAGAAAGAGAAGTTCCTAAATTACAGTGTAATATAATAACATAAATTATGTAAAAGCCATGTAGACAGCCAAAAAGCCAAACCAGAAAAGAAGTAAGCGTTCACCATTTTTAAGTAGAGGGGTGAAAAACCCAAATGTTTACAAGGGCTACAACAGAGACATGGTAAAGGGACTCTAAAACATGGGGGGAAAGCCTGTCTATCAATTTTAACATTTTGTGCTATAAACGTGTAAAAAGTAAAATAGTATCAAGTATTTTTCAAAATGGCCTCATCAGATATCTGATTGCCAGAACTATGTATTCTCACCAAATATGTGTATTTAATGATTCCATTTTAAGAAATTAATAACTGAATTATTCATTTAAATTAATGTAGAACCAGATTATTTTGTAGCTCTTTGATGATAAAGACACTGATAGCATTGTGAGAAGTGCAAAGACATTAATGAATGATGTCTAGAAAGAAGCCACAAATTGTTTTCAAACTTATTCATTTTGAAAAACAATGCAATCATATGTTTAATAAATAAGACACTACAGAAATATACAAAATGAGATTTATGAAATTCTATGTACTATGACTCTATTTTCTTAGTTTCTGCCAACACTTAAGAGTTTCTTTTGCATTCCTCCAGAGATTGTTCATGGATATAATAACAACTTAAATATATATTCCACATTTTTAGAATACTATTACTCTTGCATTGCTTCTCTTTTGTTAATTAAATTTACACCTTAGATATCATTCTGATACCGAAGGGGGGCAAGGAAGTGCTGGGAGGAGACGGGTGGGTCCCTCTCAAGGGCTCCACCCCCGGGCCTGTGCCCACAGACCTAGGTGAGGACAGGCACTCGGCACTCCTGCTTTTGCACCCAAATGTTGCCTTTCCCAGGACCACCCTGGCCCGCCACGCCCCTATCCTGTGCCTATAAAAACCCCAAGACTCTAGCAGGCAGACACACACGCGGCTGGACGTCAAGACAAACACATTGGCAGAGGAACACACAAGCACCTGGATGTGGAGAGGGTGTCGAGAGCACGCTGACAGGTACCGGCAAGCCTGCAGGCCATCGACCGACCGGCCGAACGACTTGGAGTTTGGTCAGGGCGGTTGGAGGAGAGCCGGGGCTGCTGAGCGGCAGGAATCCAGGGGAAAACCTTTCCACTCCATCCCTCATCTGCTGAAAACTACCTCCACTCAATAAAACCTTGCACTCATTCTCTAAGCCCAGGTGTAATCTGATTCTTCCAATACACCAAGGCAAGAACCCGGGATACAGAAAGCCCTCTGTCCTTACGACAAAGAAGAGGATCTAATTGAGCTGGTTAACATAAGCCGCTTATAGGCAGCAAAACTAAAAGAGCACAGGGCGCACGCCCACTGGGGCTTCAGGAGCTGTAAACATCTACCTCTAGATGCTGCCGTGGGGTTGGAGGCCCAAGCTTGTCCATCTGTATGCTCCCCTAGAGGTTTGAAGAAGCGAGCCACTCTCCCTGTTGAACGCCCTGCAAAGAGACCAGGGGAACTTTTCCCGTTTCAATTCCGTATCAGTACATTTTGAACTTCCTTATTTTTTCATATATTCTGTAAAATTCCTTTGTATAAATGGATACTTAATGACTATTTTTCAAATAGCCAGAAAACTAGCTCATTTTGCTAGATATCTAATTGTGTTTATAAAATAACAAATGCTTCAATGTGTAGTAATTTTCCTGTTGTAATTCTCACAAGAGCAAGTATATCTGTAGAATCAAGGCCTAGAAGAGAAACTCTGGATCCAAAGAATAAATACACTAGTAATTTTGGTAACATTTACCAAATAGTTTTCTTTTACTCTGCCACTGGAAGAGTTGTTGTGAAAGACAAACATTAGAATTAAAGATGTTTGCAGCTGGGTGCAGTGGCTCTTACCTGTAATCCCAGCACTTTGAGAAGCCGAGGCAAGCGAATCACTTGAGGTCAGGAGTTTGAGACCATCCCAGCCAACATGGTGAAACCCTATCTCTACTAAAAACACAAAAAATTAGCCTGGCGTGGTGGTGTGCGCATGTAATCTCACCTACTCAGGGGGGATGAGGCAGGATAATTGCTTGAACCCGAGAGGCGGAGGTTGCAGTGAGCCAAGATGGCACAATTTGCCCTAAACCTACATGCAGAAGAATGAAATTAGACCCTCATCTCACACCGTATACAAAAATCAACTCAAAATGAGTGAAAAAGCTTAAATGTAAGACCTGAAGCTGTAAAACTACTAGAAGAAAACAGGGGGAAAGCTCCATGACATGGATCTGAGCAATGATTTTTTGGACATGACTTCAAAATCACAGGCAAACAAAAGCAAAAATTAAAACGTATGATTATGTTAAATCAAAAAGCTTCTGCACAGCCAAGGGAATAATAAAGAAACAATCTATGGAATGGGAGAATATATTTGCAAACCATACATCTGATAAGGGGTTAATGTACAAAATATATAAGGAACTCGAACAACTCAATGTTAAGAAAACAAGAACCTAATTAAAAAGTAGGCAAAGAACCTGAATAGACATTTCTCAAAAGAAGACATACAAATGGACAACAGGTACGTGAAAAAATGCTCAACATCACTAATCATGAGGGAAAGGCAAATTAAAACCATAATGAAAAACTACCTCACACTTGTTAGAACAGCTGTTATAAAAAAGACAGAAGATAACAAGTGTTGGAGAGAATATGGAGAAAAGAGAAATCTTGTACACTCTCTGTGGAATGAAAATTAGTACAGCCGTTTCAGAAAACAGTATGGAGATTACACAAAAAATTAAAAATAGAACTATCATATGATCTAGCAATCCCACTATTGGGTATACAGTCAAAGGAAATGAAATCAGTATACTGAAGAGATATCTGCATTCTCATGTTTATTGCAGCGTTATTCAAAACTCGTGCAGGAATGTTCACAGCAGTTTTATTTGGAATAGCCAAAACTGAAAACAATCATAATGTCTCTTAATAGGTGAGTGGTAAAACATAATGTGGCAATTTGTACAATGGAGTACTATTCAGCCATAAAAAATTAAACATTGATACATTCAACAATTTAGATAGATCTTGAGGGCATTATGCTTGTAGCAGGACGAGCCTCAGATAAAACCTCTCAGACACCGAGTAGTAGAAGGAAGGGTTTTATTCAGCTGGGAGCATCGGCAAGCTACTGCCTTAAAATCCGAGCTCCCTGAATGCACAATTTCTGTCCCTTTTAAGGGCTCACAACACTAAAGCTTTCACATGAAAGGGTTGTGACTGATTTGAGCAATCAGGCAGTACGTGACAGGGGCTGCATGCACCGGTGGTCAGAGAGAAACAGAACAGGGCAGGGAGTTTCACAATGTTCTTCTATACAATGTCTGGAATCTATGAATAACATTGGTTTCTAAGTTATGAGTTGATTTTTAACTACTGGGTTTAGGCCAGGCAGGCCCAGGCCTGGTTTTGGGCCTGGCGCCGGGCTGCCTGTCTTTGGTTTTACTTCCTTGTTGTTTTTTCTTAAAACAGGTACTGGGTATAAAATAATATAAAACAATATGAGAGGGTCTCTCTCTTCCCTCATGCTGAGTGGAAAAAAATCTCTGAAGTTCACATACTGTATGATTTTATATATGTATGTGTTTATATATTTCATATACACGTACAAATACATGACAACATTTGTATACATATACAGACAAAATTGCAGTGATGTAAAACAGATTAGCGATTGCCGGGGATTATAAATGATGGGTATAGGGAGGATACGAGGTTAGGAGGTGGACGTAAATATAAAGGGATATCAGAAGGGAGATTTTTGTGGTGATGGAATAATTATTTATATTGATCATAATGGAGTTTGTACAAATCTAAACATTATTAAACGGCTTAGAACTATACATATACACACTAGTAATGGCAATTTCCTGGTTTTGTTATTGTACTTTAGTTATGTAAAATGTGACCATGCAGGTAAACATGGGGTCTCTGTACAAACTTTGCAACTTCCTTGAATCTATAATTATATCAAAATAATAGTAAAAGAAACAAGTTTGAAAATGTAGGTAGTTATTGAAGCATGCCTGATGTGTACTAGACGGGCATCTGACTGTTCTTTATAGCTCTGCGTGTGTATGCAGATCTCCAAGATAACAAAAGAAATAACTTTAGGGAAAAAATGTCCATTAAAAGTCATGTTCTTCCTTTTCTGATCAGCTAAGAGTAAATGCAAGGAATCTGGTGACAGTAGTAAAGATTCAAGTGACAAAACTAAGAGAAAGAAAAAGAAACGAAAGAAAGCCACGAGCCCAAGGAGCAAACAAGGGATAGCCCTCAAGCTCCAAAAAAAAAAATAACTGGAATTGTTTGTTTCGTGGTTTTGAATAGGTACTGCACTTCTAGGGTTTAATAACCACATATATTAAAAAATACAATAAACAATCCTGTTTCCACCTCAGTCCCAAACCACCCAGTTACCCTACCAACTATAAGCAATCACTCCTATTAGTGTCTGTGTACTCATCTGTGTACATAAATATATAAACATGAATTCTTTTTGCATCCTTTTATCTCACATGGCCAATAGTTGCATGTTCCTTCCATGGTTCTCACCATTTGGGCACCCTTACCTATAGGGAAGTGGAGTGGCTGAAACTACTCAGCAGGTGCTTCTGTGCACTGTTGACTGAGAAAGCTGAGGTCAAACCTGCTTCCCTGGGAATTCCCTGCTACACTGGGAATTCCACCATGGCTGCATCTTCCATGAAGGTGAGTTGGTCTGTCACTTTGAAATGTCATGCATGAGTCTCTCAGCACAGTTGCCCAGGGGCTGAGCTGGGCCAGAGCAGCTGTGGGTAGGCAGAATTCCTGTTCCTTTCCTGGAATGGAGCCTTCACCCTTTCTAATGAGAAACACAAAGGCCCTAAGACTGGGAACTCTTATTGTCAGTGAGACCTACTTCAACTGTCTTGTAATTGAGCCACCCCACTTGCATTTTCTGTCCCTACTTACTGCTTTATTTTTTTTTTCATTTTTACTCCTCTTTTTTTTTTTTTTTTTTTTGAGACAGAGTCTTGGTCTGTCACCCAGGCTGGAGTGCAGTGGGGCAATCTCAGCCCACTGCAACCTCCGCCTCCCGGGTTCAAGCCATTCTCCTGCCTCAGCCTCCCTTGTAGCTGGTATGACAGGTGCCCACCACCACACCAGTTAATTTTTGTATTTTTAGTAGAGACGGGGTTTCACCTTGTTGGCCAGGCTGGTCTTGAACTCTTGACTTCATGATCCACCCGCCTTGGCCTTCTAAAGTGCTGGGATTACAGGCGTGAGCCACCACACTCAGCCACTCCTCTATTTTTTTTAAAGAAAAGCTTATGAAGATCTGACATTGCATGTTTTGTTTATTGACCTTGCTCCTTCCCCAATATATTCATTGAGACCAGGATTATTTGGTAGGGGTAAGGAGTGTAGGGGAGCTGTTTCCATTTGATCACTGCTCTATTTCCTTGCTTCTAGAGCAGTGCCTGGCATAGTTAGAAACTCAGGGTTATTTTCTTAAGTGAAAAAATTGAATTAATCTTCATCCGCCCCCAAACAGGGAGCTCCTCAAAGGATGTCCTTTACTTCCTTCCATGGATGATTCAGAAGATCAAAGACAATCTGTCAGCCTCAAGCACATTGTTCTGTAACTGGCCAAATTTCTAGTCCATTCTCTACATTTCCTCTTTCCCCCCAAATATTTTCAGTTTTGTTAAAATCAGATAGACATTCAGACCTCCTTTTCTTTTTCCTAAATATGTCCCACTGATTACTACTAGCACAGAGTATTTCATGTTCTCTTTATGTAGCAAAGAGGACAATTGATTTATTTTGCCTCATGAAGACAAATTTGCTCTTTCTTTGGCTGAAGCATGACACTTTTGATCATGGAATGCACTAGGAGCTGACTGCAATAAAATGTTCCTCCAGATTGTGGGGGCAGAATCATGCTTAATGCTTTCTGTCCCCAAAGCACTGCTTTTTGTATTTTCATTTGTCCTGGTACAGAAACACTGGTTTTAGAGTCCTAGCCAAATAAGCCAATGTGAGAGGGGTCTCTTTTATTTAATTTTTAAATTTAATTTTATTTTACTTTTTATAGAGAAAGAAGTCTCACTATATTGCCCAGGCTTATCTCAAACTCATGGCCTCAAATGATCCTCCCACCTCAGCTTCCCAAAGCACTAGGATTACAGGCATGAGCCACCACACCCGGCCCCCTTTTTACCTCAGTGATCAGAAGGATACAGTGTCCAAGGGCTGCAGTGTCCACACTATTCTCTGCTCACCCAGGGAGAAGACCTTTTGGACTTCCCAATGAGGCCACTTGTGTCTTACTTTTGATGAGACTTCCTTTTCTATTCTCATCTGGATCTTTATTCCCTCAGAAATGTCCATCTATTGAAGGAAATGGCTTCCAAAATTATCTCCTGGCTAAAATTTTCTCCCTTTAATTTAAATCTGCACTTGAAACCATATAGGATGAGATATTCCCATTCAAAATGCTAGCAAAAGGACCTCATAGGAATAATCACCACCATATTTTTAATCTGTGGGGCACACTAAAAAAGGAATCACTTTACTTATCCAATTTCATTTTTACATAAATCTATGTGTGATTACCTGCCATTTACAAAGGAAGCTAGACCTCCTAGGAGTAAAATTACTTTCCTAAAACTACACTCATGCTAAGGGGCCAAGCCAGATGTGGAAAGCAGATACTTTTCTAACTGTAAAACATGTGCTTTTGTCCATCTTAGCTCAAGGTTCCTCCATCAGTTCTTCTGCACAGCTGCTCACTCATTCATTCAACAAATATTTCCATATTTATGAATTCCTTTATCCTTTCAATAGACGTCAAGTCAGAAACTTCTAAGTGCCTAGCACCTGAGTTCAAAACTTCAAAATTTTTCTGACTTCTGCTTCTCCATGGAAATATCCATACTGTGTGAAGTTCTTGCTGTGCAATCCCTCGAATCTGTCTCTTTCCTTTTATTCACTCACTTGCCCATTCCTTGTACACATAGTGAAGGAATTTCTGGATCAGACCCTGTGATAAGACCTGGGTCACAGCTGCGTATTTGTCCTCACTGTCATCAGAAACCAAAGAGAAAAATATGGTCCAGGGTTTCTTTATTTCAACATCTTCCTAACTGGTCTCTCCTTCTGCAGTCTCACCACCTTCCACACTTCCTAAAAGTCCACTGTGAGGACAATTCCTAACTTTCAATTTGGCAATATAAACTGCTCTGCTCAAAGTTCTTTGAAGGATCTTCAGTCTCCTTAATATGGATTTCAAACCATTTCACATCATCATCTCCAATTTTCCAGGCTTGTTGTTTAAGTTAGTTCTACCCTAAATCACATAAATAGGCTCTTTGCTTTTCCTCATAGAGGAATTCTCATGTCCATACCTTCCCCCTCCACCCTCTGGTACCTCCCTAACTTGGACTTCATGGGTTATTCTTCATTGCTTCACTGTGATGTGATATGGCTTTCTCAGAACTGCTGTATCTCTTGATTTAGTCATGTTTTATGTTTTTTTCTATTTTGTTAGAATGTTGTCATGTGACTTCCTTTCTCAGTCCCCATCCTTTGCAGGGCAATAACCATCATATTCCATTAACACAATGCCCAGCAACCTGGCATATGAACTTCAACCAAATTGAGCTGGGTAGATTGGAAAAAGCTGGGTTATCTTGAGTAACAGCGCTTAGAACAACTGCTGTTAAAAACAGCTGTGGAGCTAAGAAGAATGGGGGAAATACCAAAATAAGAGGCAAATCAGAACAGGGACAATTTGTTTGTTGCTGGCAATTTCCATAAGAGGCAGTCTTCTTTACCTAGGTAATAAATGGTACCTTGAATCAGTAGCTTTGTCTAGTTTGGACCAGTAAAGAAATGTTTCCCTCTCAAATGTCAATGCGATTACTCACTAAAAGCATACATAATTCATGCTATTAAGTGTTTTCTATATTATATATTTAAAATAAATAAATAAATAAATATTAAGTACGGCGAATAGACTTGTAGCATTCTTGCTCAACCTGTTTATCTGTTAAGCCTGTTTATCTGTTTATCTCATGAGATTTTCTTTTTCTTTTCTTTTTGCACTGTCCAGCCCTCCCTGATGCTCAGTTTATTTGCAGAAAGGTTGGGGCCACCTAGAGAAGTCTTCACTGGCTTCATCATGTGGGTCCTACACTTGAATTACCAGCATTCAGATAATCAATAGTGTCTACAGTGGTCTATCTTTTCTAAGATGAAAAGAACTAATGATAGGTTAGGCCAGTGCTTTCAAACTGTGTTTAAGTTTCCATTAGTTGATTCACTGTAATTAAAATGTTTTTTAAATTAATAAATCTAGGGCTGGACACAGTGGCTCACGCCTGTAATCCCAGCACTTTGAGAGGCCAAGGCAGGTGGATCACCTAAGGTCAGGAGTTCGAGACCAGCCTGGCCAACATAGTGAAACCCCGTCTCTACTAAAATTACAAAAAATTAGCCTGATGTGGTGGTGGGTGCCTGTAATCCCAACTACTCGGGATGCTGAGGCAGGAGAATCACTTGAACCTGGGAAGCGGAGGTTGCAGTGAGCCGAGATTGCACCATTGAACTCCAGCCTGTGTAACAGAGGGAGACTCTGTCTCAAAAATAGATAAATAAATAAATAAATAAATCTAATAAAGAAACAACATGATACTTACTTTTAAAAGTTGAATAACTTGTAGATTATTAAAGCTGTAACTTTATATCATTTGCACTAATAATAGCATAAAGTCATGAAAATAAAAAAGACTTGGTTTTGAATTATAAAATAACTTTATTGTTTTGAATTCTAAAAGAAACAGCATGTGTACATGATTTTAAAAACAGTAAATTAGAGACTATCTGAACAGTAAATTTTTATTTACATTAATTAGTAGTATAAAGTCATGAAATTAAAAAAGTTTGGTTTTAGTTATAAAAATTTATTGTTTTATTTGAATTCTAAAACTCCTCAAATTTGAATTCTAAAATTCTAAATTTTTATTTTAAAATGTTCATATTGTTTTATTTGAATTCCAAAATTTCTTTGTTTTGATTAAAATAGCCATGGAAAAACATTTAGAACTATATATGACATATATATGGCATGACTAGATAAAGAGATATAATGTATAGCTTGAAACAATCTCCAGATTCCTATGAACAGATAGGTGAAATATACCTCCTCCAAACAATTTGATGAACATAAATCTGAATGTATCAATTGCTAAATGCTAATTAAAATTACTTTTATCCATTTTATGTTTTGAGATACCTTGTAGGCATTCTTTTGAAGTAACATTTTCCAATAAATAATGAAAATTAGGTTGTAAACAACATCATGGGTGAGGACTGTGAGTGTCAGAGGTGTTGAGGAGGAAAAAGGGTTTCTGTTTGAGTCTTGTTCTTTTCAACAGCAGAGGAAGAGGAGCGACTGAAGAAGAAAGAGGGTGGAGGTGAAGATGTGGAGCTCATATTGAATCTTTGGAAAAGTGAAAATGGCTTTTAGTATCCAGTAAGAAGAGTAAATAGAAGAATTTTAGCCACAAATGGAAAAGAAAACGTCTCTTCCTCAGCTCAAAGAGACAAGCTCTTGTCAGTTCCTGTAAAATTTAATGCTGGTGGGCCTGGAAGCACATTTCTCAGACACCCTAGCAAATAGGAATGACCAAGTAATATAATTTTGCCAATAAAAATATGCACAATATTTGGTGGAAATTTCTCACAAAATCTTGCTTTCCTCACATAAATGTTTCATCTTCATGCTTGTTGCTTTCTCTTTTTCCTTCCTATTCAGAAAGGAGATGGATCAATAATTGTACAAGCATGAAGACAAATGCCATATCACAGCAATGGTGAAAAGAAAGCCTAGAAGAAATTTGTCTTCCCAACTTTTTTGGAACCCCTGAATCAGATTGACTGCCTCGAAATAGACTTCTTTTTAAACACACAAAAAAAGTAATCTCATTTTTAACAGCCATAAGAATATACCTTGTGGACCATAAATACTGTAAAATTATTTGACCAGGGCCCCTAGCTGTTCTATTCCCAAGTGCTTTGTTGTGTTTTTGCTGTGGCTCAGTATCCCATGAACTGTTTCCAGCTAATAACTGAGTGCATAAGGGATACTAAGACAGACAAAGTTTCTGGGAGACTAAGGACTCCTCCGACAGCTGAATTTAGTGTCAGGCCTTCCTTGCTTAACTCAACTTACACTGCAAGGTGGCCTAGGTTGCTTCCATCCAAACTTCTTCCCTCTATCCTTGCACTGTGGTCTGATGATTCTCTCAGCTGACATTTTCTCTGACAGGTATTTCCCCTAATAACACTTAATTTTGTCTTGATGTCTGGTTCTGGGAGGACCCAGCTTAGCACACTATTTTTATAAGACACTGCTAATTTATGCAGGACAAACTTTTTGCTGGGCAAAGACAAAAAAATCACCAAATAATATACTGTCATGTTCACGACTATACCAATTGTCATGTTGAGGTCTGAAGGGAGTGGGTGGATGAGCAGAAAGAACACTCGGGGGGGGGGGGCACAGGCAGGTGAAAGATGCTTTATTCAGTAGTAACTCTCATCAACAGCTTACTCACACTAGCTTTCTCACACTGTCTGCCTTGTCTAGCTGTCTGCTACAGCTCTGCAGCTCCTCTCAGCAGCCCCCTTCCACACGCAGCTGTATGGCCGGCTCTCCCCTGCCTTCAGGGTCATCAGCTTAACTCTTTCTCTCTCTGGTCATGAGCCGAGTTGTGCTGTGCCCTGGCTCCCCACTGTCTATCTGCAAAGAGGGACAGCTTTGATTCTCTCTTTCTCTGGGCACGAGTGCACCTGCACAGTGTCAACAGGGCAATTATACATTTTATAGACAACAGTGGCTCAGAGCCAAGTGATGGCCTTCCCATGTTATGGCTACATAGTTGTGTTTACATTATCCATGGAATCGTGCGCCTGTGTTCCAAACTCGCTGAGTCATTCTGGCCCAGATGACTGCCTCGGCCTATTCCTTGACCAAAGCACAGCCATGTTTCTTACATATACCTTTAGTTACTGGAGGAGTTAATGTAGAAAGTAATTTTCCCAACTTCTTAGTGAGTGTGCCAGCAGTTAACCAAATGGAATCCCTGCTGATCAGCATGAAGGGACTGGCACAGGCATAACCAACTGTTAGAAATATTTTCATACTTAATATCATAAAATCATTTGTCAAGCTGGAACCTATGTAGAAGGAGAAAATAAAATCTGCCCAATAAAAGAAAGGAAACAGGTCATGAGAATGAGAGTACTTTGAGTAGCTCTGATCTCTGGGCTGGAATTATTTGCAAACCTGGAGCTCTGAAGGCAGGAGACATGCTTGTGATGTTTATACAGATGATAAGCCATGGACCCACTTCTCCAGCCCATGAGACTCTGAAAGATGATATCACAAAGAGCCATGAGAGTGAGAAAAACCCACCAAACTTTCCCTTTGCTTAGATGGTGGCATATAGCAATAACTAATATGTGGTCTAATTTCAGACCTATTCATGCTATTAACTGCTCTAAGGTAGCAGAGCAAGTTGGAGCTTATCAGAAAATTAAAGATCCAAAAGAGGAAGAGATAAGGAAGAACTTGCCAGGCAGTCCGTAGTTTGACCACGAGGTGGTCTTGGGACTGATGGTGATGGCCTGTACCACACTGAGGAGACAGGTGGTGCAGACGGAAAGGCCCCAAGCTACCTTCCCTAAATAAATTGTAGTTTTACAACCAGCATTATCTAGGAAGTTACTGAAATGAAAAGCTGACACTACATCTGAGATTCCTCTGACACAAAGTGTCATTGCATTAGTAAAAGCCAGGCGGATAAGAATAAGGTCTATGGGTTTTTTCTTGGAACTCATGACAAACATGTACACATGCTTCGCAAACAAAAAGAAATTCCCTCCAATGCCAGATCCAGTAAAAGAAATAAAGATTATTCCCTGGATGGAGTTATTCCAGATCATTCTCTGACTTCATGGACAAAACCAAGAGGAACCTTTTGAGAAAAACAAACAAAGTGAGGATAACTAGTTTGTTCTGAATTGCTATAACAGAATGCCTGAGACTGGATAGTTTATCAAGAAAAGAAGTTTATTTAGCTTGTAGTATTTCAGGCTGGGAAGTTCAAGGGCATGGCCTTGGCTTCTGGTAAAGTCTTTCATGCTATTTCATAACATGGTTGGGGGAAGTAGGCACATCTGAAGAATCAAAACCCAAGGGGTATCCTGGCTTTATAACAACACATTGTCCTGCATTATACGCCATCTACCTGATTCTACCAACTTCACTGTTTTAGTCTGTTTTCTCTTGCTCATAACAGAATACCAGAAACTGGGTACTTTATAAGAAAAGCAATTTATTTCTCATAATTATGGACACTGAGAAATCCAAGGTCAAATGGCCACATCTGATGAACACTTTTTGCTGGTGGAAACTTTCTGCAGAGTCCTAAGGTGGTGCAGGGCATTACGTGACCAGGGGGTTAAGCATGCTAGCTTGGGTTTCTCTTCCTCTTCTTATAAAGCCAGCAGGCCTAATCCCATGATAACACATAATCCATTCACTCATTAATCTATGAATGGATTAATCCATTCACGAACACAGAGCCCTCATGATCCAATCACCTCTTAAGGGCCCCACCTATTAATACTTCTACATTGAAGATAACACTTTTTTTTTTTTTAATTTTTTTTCGAGATGGAGTCTTGCTCTGTTGCCCAGGCTGGAGTGAAGAGGTGCGATCTTGGCTCACTGCAATCTCCACCTCCTGGGTTCAAGCAATTCTCCTGCTTCAGCCTCCCGAGTAGCTGGGATTACAGGCACGCACCATGCCCAGCTAATTTTTGTATTATTAGTAGAGACAGTCTTTCTTCATGTTGGCCAGGCTGGTGTTGAACTCCTGACCTTGTGATCCACCTGCCTCGGACTTCCAAAGTGCTGGGATTACAGGCATAAGCCACTGCACCTGGCCAGGATAACATTTTAAAATGAGTTTTGGAAGCGACAAATATTGAAACCATAGCAATCGCCTTCTGTATATGTCCACATATATGTGGCAATATTCCTCCCCACAATCCTACTATACTTCATGTATTTCCTAAAAAATAGTAAATTCCTACTCTGTAATCCTGAATATTACCTTCCGTCACTTCCAATATTCGACCACCTCTATGTTATCCTGAACATTGTGAATTCCCCTTCCAGATCTCCTGGATATAGCATGTGCATCCATCTCCCAATTGCTGTGAATGTTGCTTGGAAACAGTTCACAGCTGGCACTTTCTCTAGAGAATTTCCCTTGGCCAAAAGAGAGCAATCTCTACCAAGAGAACAAGCACTCTCTCTCTCCTTACTCAGAACACCTAGGCCAGTTACTGACTGACATGGAAGGTCAAGCTTCCCCATAACTTCAACCTGTGGGTCCCTCCGTTATTTTGTTCCATAATCTCATAGACTGGAGGCAGCTGACATATTTTATTAGCTGAGACTGCATTGTGGGGCTAACTTTGCTCATCTGCCCAAACTTGCTTTATCCCCTTCTCTTCCTCTGACTCCCCCCATAAATTATGTGAACACAAATTCCATTTTCAGAATCTGGATCCAGGGAACCCTGCCAAGATCAACATCCTGTTGATTCTATCTTTTAACATTTGTCTAATTTTACCATTTTCTTAATCAAAAATGCTACCCTAATAGCTCATATTTTGATTGACATAATAGTTTTCTAACTCATCACTCTTCCTCCAGGTTTTTCCATCCATTTTCTGCCAGACTGAGATTTCAAATTAGAAATCTGCCTATTTGAATTTATGTCTCATAATCCCTTGATAGCTTTATATCTATGCAAGAACATTTGTCTTCTTTTGATTTGTATAAAGCTTACACTTTTAGCCTCCTTTCTTATCAAACTCATACTGAATTTTGGAGGTACATTGAATTACTGCAAAAAGTTTAATCTTTACACTTATCCATAGATATATGCACAAGCTCCCTATGCCAATATTTTACCTCTGCCACCACCCATTTCATAGCTACCTCCCATCCATCCATCAGAAACCAATTTAGACTTCTTTTGCCTGTTAAACATTCACTGATCTCACAGGGCCAAATTGTCACTCTGTATTTCTCACTTTTCTTCTGCCATCTAACTGTGGAAAGAGACTCACTTTTCATCTAAGTCATCTGGCTATATGCCTGCAAAATAATATTCAATAAACAGTTCATAAACAAAAATCAAATAAGCATGTAGTTATGGTTGTTAAAGTGCATATTAATCACAGAGATGAGGTTAGGAGCCAACTGGGGAGCAGCTGTTTGAGCAGAATCTTCTCTACGAATCTAAAGACTAGATGACGTGGAGAACTCAAGTCAATCCATGTCCGATGACACATTCATTAGGGACTTCAGTGTCTTCTCAGATGTATATGTAGGTTTAAACTTTAAGGCTGCCATTCTTGTTACCAGCTCCAGTAAGTCACATGTGCCATCTTTCAAGAGCCACAATAAACTCTGACATATTTACATTTACTCTCCCTGCATTGAAATGCTTCTGATTAATTAGTTATTTTCCAAACATACCATTCTGAGATACCCATAGCAGTTTTTGGAATGAGAATTTTGTCTTTGCTATCTAGAATAGGATGACAAATGGACTGGGCAAGTGATACTTTTATGCCTGCTCTGGTCGCTGGGAGGGGGTGAAAGGTCACACATATTTATTTTTTCTTTTCTTTTCTTTTTTTTTTTTTTTTTTTGAGACGGAGTCTCTCTCTGTCGCCAGACTGGAGTGCAGTGGCACAATCTCAACTCACTGCAACCTCCGCCTCCGGGGTTCAAGAGATTCTCGTGCCTCAGCCTCCTGAGTAGCTGGGACTACAGACACGTGCCACCACACTCAGCTGATGTTTGTATTTTTAGTAGAGATGGAGTTTCACCATGTTGGCCAGGATGGTCTCGATCTCCTGACCTCATGATCTGCCTGCCTCGGCCTCCCAAAGTGCTGGGATTACAGGCGTGAACCACTGCGCCCGGCAGGTCACATGTATTTCTAAGAAACCTTTTGCAAGGCTTTTACAGCCAGTATTTAAGGATCAACCAAAGGCAACCTGGAGAACATAGGGTGTACCTCTTGGAGTTGTTTGGCAGAGGCTTTCTACATGAGAGACAGCATAACCCCAAAGTCAAGTGAGATAGCTGGCCAGGAGGGCTAGTGGTGTTTAAATCTCTGCAGATATGGGCTTCATTAATTACATTGTTTTTCAAGTCTCTCTTTCTATATATATGTGTGTGTGTGTGTGTGTGTGTGTGTGTGTGTGTGTGTGTTGTTTTTGTTTTTGTTTTTGAGACAGAACCTCACTCTGTCTCCCAGGCTGGAGTGCAGAGGTGTGATCTTGGTTCACTGAAACCTCTACCTCCCAGACTCAAGTCCAGCCTCCCAAGTAGCTGGGACTACAGCTGCACACCACCATGTCTGGCTAATTTTTGTATTTTTTGTAGAGATAGGGTCTCGCCATGTTGCCCATGCTGGCCTCAAACTCCTGGGTTCAAGTAATCCTCCCACCTCAACCTCCCAAAATGCTGGAATTCCAGGCGTGAGCCACCATGCCCAGCCCAAGTCTATAATTAAGGTGTGTGGCTTCAATATTAAGAAGAATTGTCGGAAGATTTAAACACTTTATCATGGTATACATTAAGCCCACCTTAACTTTTAAAGCCTTTATTTATAACCAAGTATATATGAATCTCTAGTAAGCACTTTTCTATCAGAGTTGAGGCCTTCAAAATGGGTTAAACTCAGACACTGTTCTGAATGAAAGACTTATGAACCTGCAAGAAAAATATGATAGATTAAAGAAAACATTTATCCAACAAATGTACCTGGATATTTCACCATATAATAGGCCCTGAATAAGATATTGGAAATTAAATAGAAAAGTACCATGTGGTTTCGCCATCAAGGGCTACTCACTGATAGGGAAAGATATCATGTGGAAGAGCCAAGACAGATGTCTGCAGTGAGTGTCATGGGAACACATGATATCAGACGAGTGTGGTCATTTAGAGGAGACTATTGAGAAAGGGCTTTTAGATAATGTGACATTATGGTAGACCCAAAAGGAAAGGGTTTATGAATATCCACAGTTATGGGCTGTGAAAGGTAGAAATGGGTGAGCAGAAGGAACAAATGAAATTTCATGAGCAAAGGCATAAGGTTACCAAGGCGAGGTACAGGGAAGGGAAACAGAAAGTAGGTCACTTTGGCCCCATTGGATAGTACATGAATTGTGGGTGGCAGCCCACACGTTGCGCTCTCTTGAACAAATCTCTAATTTCTTGTAATTTGTTGTTCACACCACAGAACTAACATATATACTTTAAATGAGTCTAATGAATGTATTAGCACTCCATGCTCCAGACACAATGAATGGTTTATAGTTTTAAAATGCATTTTTCTTGTTCATATTCCTGTGCATGTCAATGCCTCTGCTTGGAATCCAGCTTTCATATATGTATTATATATATATATATATATATATATATATATATATATATATATATGAATATATAAATATATTTTTTTAAAAAATCAAGATAATTTTTAAAATATCATCTTTTAAATGTCATTCATGTCATCTTTCTTGTAATGCCACCCTTAACATTAGCTAGATTTATTTTTTATCTGCTCTATTCACTGGCATTTTGGACCAGTCTCTGCTTAACACTTAGTCAACCCTAGTACAATTGTTGGCTTAGGTATCTCACAGCCTTATGTGACTGCTTCATGTAATAAAATCTCAAAATTGAAATAACTATGTGAGGTAATATATATGTTAATTAGCTGGATTTAGTCATTTCATAATGCATATATTTCAAAATATCATTATATATAATTTCATCTATCTATTTTAAAAAAGAAGAAAAAAAGAAATACAAATTTAAAAAAAAAATCTCAAAATTGAAGTTTTGGCTGAGTCATTAGGGCACACAGGCATTTGTTAATCATCTCTGAGTGCCTCTTGGGTAGATCTGGTTTTACAGTTTTTGGATCCTGGGAGCCTACAACCTAGTTTGAGGTTTTTCAGTGGGTAAGAAAGTACAATTTAGAGAAGATTATGGGAAGAAATCAGAAGAGAGCTATATTGTGAAACCTGTCAAGTGAGAGGAGTGAAGTGTGATGCCACATCTAGGAAAGGACGTTTCCTCAACCAATTAGGAAGCACGAAGTGTCTGCCTTGTAGCTGTTACACACGGTGGGGGGATAGGGGGACCGCTGTCTGACTTGGGCTAATTAAAATGACAAAGGTCCCTCACAGCAGAGGAGAAGGATGAAACTGGGAAGTAAAGGTGCTCAAGGTGATGGGTGATCAATGCTGCAGACCTTTCAAGGACTAGGTTTGACAGTGCAGTAGGGATATCAGCCATGAAAGTGGTCCAACATGCTGAGTGTATGCACAGGGAAAAGCCTGTGTGTATATCACAAGCAGCAGAATCATTGGGGTTTTCAGGAGTAGGCTTCCTGAAGGAGAGGCATTGCTTGCCCAGGGTGAGTTGCAGCTAGAAGTGCCCAGCAGAAATGCCTCCAAAGAATTTACAAAAGTGTCTCGGAGAGAATTGGCTTTAAGTCAGATAAATAGTCCCTTTGTTCTCCTGTGAGAACACATAAATAATTAAATAGATAAATATGAGTCAAATAAATAGTCCCTTTGTTTTCCTATCTACTGTGAGGCAGGAGATGCAAAGAGAAAAAGCAGGCCACACCCCTAACTCAGCTCAAAGTTTCACACTCTGCTCACAGAGGGAAGAAGATTGTACTCCTGATTGGAAGTGCTTTTGTGATTTAAACTATCTTTAGGTAATTTTATTGCCTAATTCTGAAAAGAAAAATTAAGGATCTGCTTGATTTGACATCAGGTATAAAGGACGGGAAACAAAAACAAAGTTTCCCTTATAATTACAACCATGGGATTTGCTATTTCCAATGTATCCACATTTTCAAGGCCTGTTTTCCTTTATAAGCCTGAAAACAACATGTCTTTTGGGCTCAGAGACAGTGGATGATAAAAGAAGCATCATGAACATGGCCATTAGACAAGCATAGGTGTACATCCCTGGTTTGGGAAGTTACTAGTTCCATGATTTGGGGAGCATGTGTTTTCTTCCCTGGGACTCTATTTCTTCGTGTTTAAAATGGTTATAAAATGATCCATATTGTGGACTACATTTGTGCATTGCATTTTCCAGAATGTCTTCCTCTTATATAGTGCTTGACAAACAATTTAATAATAGATGGCTTATGCCTGTAATCTCAACACTTTGGGAGGCTGAGGCGGGCTGATCATGAGGTCAGGAGATCAAGACCAGCCTGGCCAACATGGTGAAACCCTGTCTCTACGAAAAATACAAAAATTAGCCAGGCATGGTGGCGGGCACCTGTAATCCCAGCTACTGGGGAAGCTGAGGCAGGAGAATCGCTTGAACTCAGTAGGTGGAGGTTGCAGTGAGCCGAGATTGCACCACTGCACTCCAGCCTAGGTGACAGAGTGAGACTCCATCTCAAATATAAATGAATAAATAAATAAATGTAAATAAATAAATAATAATTGGCAACTCACTACAACAACAAAAACAACACTGATTAATAAATAAAAACTCACAGAATTGTTAAACAGTTTGGTCAAGACCTGGAATATGTTTGTAAGGAATATCTCAATTCACTTTACTGACTTATTTTCCATCCAAATACTTTGTTCCATCCCCTCGATCTTTTTGTTTGTTTGTTTTGTTTATTTTGAGACAGTGTTCTGCTCTGTTGCCCGGGCTAGAGTGCAGTGGTGTGATCACAGCTCATTGCAGCTTAGACCTGCTGGGTTTAAGCAGTCCTCCCACCTCAGCCCTCAGCCACTCTCCCACCACAGCAGAGAATACAGGCACATGCCATCACGCCCGGTTAGTTTTTACTTTTTAATTTTTTGTAGAAATGAGGTCTCTCTATGTTGCCCAGGCTGGTCTCAAACTCCTGAGCTCAAGTGATCCTCCTACCTCAGCCTCCCAAGGTGCTAGAATTACAGGCATGAGCAACCATGCTCAGCATCTCATCCCCTCAATCTTTGTGATCATCCTCTTTGCTACTCCTCTGATCACTCCCTCCCAGGTCAACTTATCTAATTCCTACTTCCCACCCTGACTGATATGCTCACTGTCTCTGAATCTCCTAGATGTTTATCTAGTGTCCTTGGGTCTAGGAGATACAACTGCACAGATTCACAAGAATTAGCTTTGCCTTCAGTCACTCTAAAGTTCAAGTCTTGGCTTTCCTAATTTGTATCTGCATATTACTTGACCTCTGTAAGACCCAATATTCTCATCTGTAAAACAAGGGCAGTGCTTTGTACTGTACTGGTCTCTAGTGAGGAATGAGGACTGAAGGAGCTGATGTAGGAAGTGCTTATATATGTGCTTGGCAACTAAGTACTGAAGAACAATTTTCCATAAGGTAACTATTAGTATTATTATGATGTGCTTTTTACATCTGTCCTATTCCCCACATCTCAACAATTTTCTAAAAAAGTACACCGTATTATGTTTTGGAGCTAGGGTGTTAATTTAAAGAAAAATGCAGAATAAATTTAAACATCCTCAGAATACTAAACCTTATTAAAGAAGACAAAAGTGCCACGTAAAGAAAAGATTGAAGGACACTAGAGATAATATGCATAGCTTAACTAAAAATTCCAACTGCTAGGAAAGAAAGTGCACAAATGCTAAGGGAAGAATGCAGAGAAAAAGTGCTCCCACACATCCAGGCTGACATGTCACTGATGTCTGATGTCACCTATACCTCTCTTCCTTGTATAAGAAGGGGCAGCTCCAGGCACAGTGCATCAAACACTGCTGTACAATGGCTCTGGCTCCCTTGTGGACCAGAAAGAAGCAGATGTTTCTGGATGGGAGTTGGGAAATGATCAGCCACCTTCTCCCTGGGCCCTGGAATCTTCCTCTTCCACAAGTGACAGAAGACCTCAGAATCTTCTCTTTCACTGCCTACCCCTGACCAGCTCTGCCCTGGACAGTCCCCTTCCAAAGCCAAAGGCAGCCCCAATCCACAGTTGTCAGGTACACTCACCTGGGGAGTCTGTGCAGCATGCCTCTGGGTGGCTGTTCTGGCAGAGCAGCACCAACCAGGGCCTGTTTATATTTCCCCAAGTCCCAGTGCTCATGGGCAACTCCCACTGGTGTCACAATGTCAATGTCATAATTTCTGACTTTGCCAAAGGAAAAGGGGTCCTTCTGTACAATGTCAATCCCTGGGTACAACTCTGCCCTCTCCCTGAGGCTCGATAATTTGCTGGGCCCAGAAACATCTTGATCCTAATTATAGTAAATGTGCAGTAATGAGTAGAAGGCACTGTAATGAGGAACAGTTTACTAAGGAGTCTGGGTTTCTTCATTTTTACTATATTCTCCTCCCATCTCCTCCATTCACCACCAAAGCTCAGGAACCAATTTGGAAAAAAAAAACCTGAGAATCTAGAGTGGTCACTTTCCGAACATTTTACAAGTGTGTTCTACATTGATTATGAAAGATCATTGATTGCCAGAATCAGGGGCTTCTCTTGGGGTGTAGTGTCTAGAACATGGCCGAAGTGGGGCCTCTGGTTGCTGGTATTGTCTGTTTCTTGATCCAGGTGCTAGTTTTATGCATATAAATTAGTTTATACAATTCATTAAGATATTCATTAATGATTTCTGCATTTCTTTGTATGTATATTTCATTTAAAAGTTTACTGCCAAATAAAATATACTGCCACTGGCTCTGGAAGCTCATGCCATGGAGTCACAGCCCAGACTAGCTGAGTAGGATGTGTGTAGCCCTGTCTATCAGAGTTAAACCTTCATGCTGGGTCCCTAATAGCTTTTCCAGAAATGGTTCCATTAGACAATAAAGGGATTCAAGGAGAGGAAGACAGCTGATTTTGATATCCACCATCTAGCAATACGGCTTAGCTTAAATAATCTTTCTCTGTTCTTCACTCATACCCTTCCCTTTTGAGTGGCCAGTATAGTTCTTGATGCGAAGGAATGCACTAAAGTGAATTCCAGCTGAGACCTAAAGTTCAGGTAAATATTTTTCTAGACACAAGAGCACCTGTGCTTATGTCAGCTGAGTTAGGTAAGTGGTAGTTTAAAAAAAACAACAATAACAAACAAACAAAACAAAACAAAACAAAACAAAACAGGGAAGAGAGGAGGACTCCAAAGGAATGGAATTGACCTGGTAGCAGAGGCTGGGGTCGGGGCCGGGGACAGTTTCTTTCACAATCCTGAATGATGCAGCATGATCATTGCGGACTCCTCTGCTATTGCAACCTGAAGAGACATAATTTCCCTCACTTACATTTTTATTCAATTCTTACAACCTTTCGATGTGATATTTGAGCTCCCTCCAAACTCAAGTTTGTGCGTGTGTGTGTGTGTGTATCACAACCACACATTATCTACTATTTGCAGAGCTCTTGTATCAGGATATAAAAAAATCTAGGCATAAGTAATTCCATTAGATGCACAACAGATTTTTCAAATTTTCTGCTAAGTGCATGTGAGAAGATGAACATAAATATTTAATAATGTATTATACATCTAGAGAATTTCATGTAAATTATTTGAACTTCATGATAACCACGGAAATAAGATGCTGAGGCCAGGTGGGCTAAATTGCTTCCTCAAGGATGCATAAATAAGACGCCGACCTAGATCTCATGACTTATGTTCATCAAAGTCTCCCTAAATTAGTAAAACAACAAGCCACAAACTGACAAAATATATTTACAACAAAGTATTCTGAATTAGTATTCAGAATATATATTAAAACTGGCTTAAAATAGACCAGAAAAGGATAAAACTAAAAAAGCACAAAAAACATGGCCATTTCATAGAAGGATAAAAAAAATGCATGGAATATAAAAAGACACAGATACACTCAATCTCAATAATTTTATGGCAATGTGAATTAAAACCAAAATAAATACTTTTTATCAAATTTAAACAGACAGAATACCAGGTGTTGGTGAGCATATAGAACAGTGGGGACTTATGGCTGATAGTGTTAATTGGAACATCAGGGGAAATAATTTGACTAATTATTAACTAGTATGTTTGAACAACTCATATCTTATGACTACGCAACAAATTACTACATATATACTTTACTATTACACTTATGTGTCACTCAATGAAGGATATATGTTCTGAGAAACATGTCATTAGGCAATTTTGTCGTTTGGTGGGAACATCATAGTGGGACACCACCATAGTGTCCCACATACTCACGCAAACCTAGATGGTATACCCTACAACATACCTAGGCTGTCTGGTATAGCCTGTTGCTCCTAGGCTACAAATACGTTAGTGCACTGAATGCAGTAGGCAACTGAAACACAATGGTAAGTATTTGTGTATCTAAACGTATTTAATACAGAAAAGATACAGTAAAAATATGATATTATAATTTTATGGGACCACCCTCATGTATGCAGTCAGTCCATCATTGACCAAAATGTTGTTATACGACCCATGACTATACTATATACCTTAGAATATTAGCTTTCAAAATGTGGTCCTGAGTCCGGAGTCACTAGCATCACCTGGAAACATGTTAGAAATGAAAATTCTATGGCCCACCCCAGAACTACCGAATTTCAAGACTCTGCAGGTGGCACCCAGCAATCTGTGTTGAACAGGCCCTCCAGGTAATTCTGATGCACACAGAAGTTGAAAATATTCCTCTTGCATATTTGTGCAGGAGACAAGGAATTAATAGAATTGCTTTTAGAGCAAAGAGAACAACAAGAACAAAAAACTATAATTAACTGAAATTTAAGTTGATAATAGAATGAATAAAGACATAGTATTTATGGCACTTAAAACAATTAATTGCATTTGCAACCACAACATAGGTGGATCAAATGGCAGTTATATAAGTTATGATACTATCTTAATAGAGTTTCAAGCAAAACTAAAATAAACATTGTTTTGAAATGCATGCATATGTGATAAAACGAAAATAAAGCAGAGAAATACTAATTTTTAAATTATTTTAATATTTATTTCTTATTTAATGGTATTTTAATGTAAAGTTTTTTTTTTGTTTTTTGTTTTTGAGATGGAGTCTTGCTCTGTCACCCAGGCTGAAGTGCAGTGGCGCAATCTTGGCTCACTGCAACCTCCGCCTCCTGGGTTCAAGAGATTCTCCTGTCTCAGCCTCCCAAGTAGCTGGGACTACAGGCATGCACCACTACTCCTGGCTAATTTTTGTGTTTCTTGTTGAGACAGGGTTTTGCCACGTTGGTCAGCCTTGTCTCGAACTCCTGACCTCAGGTGATCCACCCCCGCTTGGCCCCCCAAAGTGCTGAGATTACAGGCGTGAGCCACCGCACCCAGTCCTATAATGTAGTTTTAATTATGATTTTAAAACACATTTTGAGACTTAGTTTATGGTCTATGATGTTTTGTAAACTTTCTTCATAATATACATATTTTAAATTTGAGGAACATAAAACTCTATATATGTTCAATTATTAGTTATATTGTTCTAATCATCTTTATTTCTGGTATCAGAAAATGAAAAGATCAGTATCATCTATCACTAAATGAAAAGATATATTAAAATTTTATGATGCTGGATATCTATATTTCCCATTATAGTTCTATAATTTGCTTTACATATCTGAGGCTTTTCAAATGTGCATAAAATTGAGAATTGTTTTACTATACAAGTTGGAACTTTTATCATTATGTAGCATGATGGCTAATTTTAGATGTTGACCAGATTAAGTAATATCTAGAGAACTGGTAAAGCATTATTTCTGGTCTGTGAAGGTGTTTCCAGAGGAGACTGGTGTGCGAGTGGGTGGACCTAGTAGGGAAGTTCTGCCCTCAATGTGGATGCACACCATTGAATTGGCTGTTGCTTGGATAGAACAAAAGGGCAGAGAAAAGGCAAGTTGTTTTATCTTTCTCCTGGAGCTGGAACACTCTTCTTCTCCTGCCCAGACTCTCTCAGCCTGGGACTCCAGGACTAGAGGCCCCCAGATTTTCAAAGCTTTGGTCACAGATTGAAAGCTATACCATTGGTTTTTCTGGGTTCTGACACTTTCAGACATGGACTGAGCCACACTACCAGCATTCTATGGTCTCCGGCCTGCAGACAGCCTCTCATGGGACTTCTCCACCCCCATAATCATGCAAGCCAATTTCCTTATTAAATCCCCTTCTATCTACCTATCATCTATCTATCTATCATCTATCTATCTATCTATCTATCTATCTATCTATCTATCTATCACCTATCTATCTACCTATTTATCTCTTATTTGTTCTGTTTCTCTGGAGAACCCTGGACTAATACATGTAGAAACCCTCTTTAGTCGTAATAATGCTTTTTGTCTTAACAACAATTAGTCTTATATTAATATGGGTTCTCCAAAATACTTTTTGCTTAATATTAGCTAAGGTAACTTATTTCATAATTTTCCTTTCGAAGTGGTCATTATGTATTGGATAGGTCTCTTGAAAAGGAAAAATAGCAGTAGTTAGTATTTAGTTTCATCTAATACAATATTCATAGATGACCAAGAATAACAATTTGATCTATGGCTTCTGGAGTTACTTTTCCTGAATTTGGTGTCTATGCCCATCAATTGCTAGCTTTGAAATCTTGGAAAAGTTATTTAGTTTCTTGGTGTTTTCTCATCAGTAAATTAATAATTAATAATAGTAAATTAATAAATTTCTCATCAGTAAAATAATTTAATTTAATAAAATTAAATAGGAAGGATTATATACATTTTTGATGTTTAAATGAGTAAAAATCTGTCCAGGAATGAAAGAATAAAAATCAGCTCACATCGTAAAAGAAAAAAAGCAGCATTGTCATTTTTCTCACTAGGAAAACATACACAGATTAAAGAAGGCTGAAAGTTTACAGGAAACATTGTTTTTCTACCAAGATCATGGAATAACTGTAAAACTCCCTAATAGCCTCCTCTTTGAAAGGTTTCTGCTTTCATTCCAATGATGCCCCAGGCCTGCCTTGCTATATCCATTTATTACAGGGGAGACCCGACTACTAAAGCACCCTCAACTCATTACTGCACTAAATCTTTAGTTAATCCTTCTACTTTCTAGTCCTGTCCTAGAAACATCAACCAAACCAGAACCAAGGTTGAAGAATACCTGCTTCTCCTTGTCTCTCTTCAGAATCTTTCAGCAGTAACTCAAACCTTATAAAATGTACTTCTCTCTTCTCTTCTGTAGAGCTACCGTTTCAAGATTCCTCTCAAACATCTTCCTTCCATTACCTGACTCATTAATCTGATTTTGTCAGATTACAGGTTTGTTTCTAGTGGTTTAGTGGCTCCTGGTTAAAGCTGCTTAGGCTGCAACCTGTTATTATACCAGCACTGATATACTTGGAATTTTTTCTAACATCTCTTTGGTTTGTATTTTTCCCACATTTGAGTTTATTACTTTTTTATTATCTTTTTTCTTTACTGTCTTTTTAATTGGATTTTTTATTTTGCTAATTTTTCCCCTTATTGCTCTACTCATGTGAATAATTTTTCTTCTACTAATCTATATATTTATCTATTCTTTGTGTGCTTACTATCAAAATTTTATTATTAATAGTTAACTTTACAAAGTGTAAAGTTAATCTACTTTATAACATATTCCAAGCATTAACATATGTTTACACACACATATTTTGAGACAGGATCTTTCTCTGTCACCCAGGCTGGAGTGCAGTGGTGCTATCAGGATTCACTGCAACCTTGACCTCCTTGACTTAAATGATCCTAATTTTTTTTAGGCTAGTTTTAGACCACCTGGCTAATTAAAAAAAACTGGTAGAGACAAGATCTCACCATGTTGCCCAGGCTGATCTCAAACTCCTGGGCTTAAGTGATCCTCCTGCCTCAGCTTCCCAAAGTCCTGCTATTGTAGCCATCATTCCCAGCTACAATATTTTTAAATAGCTTAAATCTAATTACTGTCATCTGTTAAACTATTCTTATCTGTTATTTTAGTTCTGGCTTTTTTCAACCCCCAAAACTCGACATCATTATTATTATTATTATTATTATTATTATTATTATTATTATTATTATTTTATACAGGCAATATTTGCTTAGGCTTATATGTTTCCCGATTTTTTTTTTTCATTTTTTTCTTACAGCTTATCCCTTCTAGGGTTATGTTTTTGTTGTTCAAGTACAAACTTAAAGATTCTATAGTAAAGTTTCTTAGTGGCAATATTGCTCTGCTTTCCCTCACCCTTAAACTGTATTTTATCCTCATTATTGAAAGACAAATTTACTACGATGGTTTGAGTGTATCCTCCAAAAGTTCACATGTTGGAACCTTAATTCCCTAAAGTGGAAGGATTGGGAAATAGGGCCTGGTGGAAGGTATTTGGGTTATCTCTGCCCTCATGAAGAGATTCATGCAGTTCTGGCTAACTGGGTTAGTTCTCATGAGAGTGAGTTGTTATAAAACCAGTCAGCCTGCTTCTTTTTCCCTCTTTCATCCACATTCTCTTGTCGTGTTGCTTTTTCACCATGTCGTGATGCAGAACAAAAACCCTTGCCAGAAGCCAGTCCCATGACCTTGGACTTCCCAGCCTCCAGAATAAACTTCTTTTCTTTACAAATTACCCGGTCTAAGGTATTCTGTTATAGCAACAGAAAATGAACCAAGACATTTCTTTGTATAAACTTTTGAGTTGACATGTTTCTCTCAACAGTTTGAAGATACACTTTTTCTCAGATTGGACTTTCACTTTGTGGTTTCAAAAACCTATGGCAATCTGAATGTTATTTCTTCAGCAATCTTTTTTTCTCTTTCCTGTTGCTTTAAAAATCTTCCTTTAGTCTTTAGTATTGTTAATTGCACTACAGTGTGTCCGGTGAGATCACTTTCTATTTGATCTGCTTGGAATATGTTGTGCTTTCTGTGTATGTGAAGTCATATCTTTCCTTTGTTTGGAGAAATTATCAGCCATTATCTTTGTAAATATTGCCTCTTCCTATCCTGCAAGTTCTAAGTGTTTTAAAAATGTTTTCCATTGTTTTCACATCTGTGCTACTTTCTAGATAATACCTTCCATTTTATCTCTTTTTTTAATTTTCTGGACTATTTTTAGAGTTCTACATTTACAAAAAAATTGATCAGAAAGTACGAGAGTTCCCATATACGTCCTTATAGTGTGATATATTTGCAACAGTTGATGAGACAATATTGATGCATTTTTATTAACTAAAGTTCATAGTTACATTAGTGTTCACTTTTTGTGTTGTACATTATAAAGGTCTTGACAAATATACAATGATCATTACAGGATCATACTGAATAGTTTTATAACCCTAGAAGTCCTCTGTGTTCTACCTGTTCATCCTTCTCTTCTTCCTGCCATCCTAGATCCTGGCAACCACTGATCTTTCCACTATCCTTATAGTTTAGCATTTTCCAAAATGTCATATAGTTGGAATCATATAGTATGCAGCCTTTTCAGACTAGCTTCTTTCACTTAACAATATGCATTTAAGTTTCCCCGTGTTTTCTGTGTCTTCATGCCTCATTTCCTTTTATTGATGAATAGTATTCCACTGTATGGATATACCACCGTTTGTTTATCCATTCACCTGAAACGATATTGGAAACCCATGAACAGCCAACAGGCTTTACGAATGTCTATAGTCTACCACACCTGTTTCTTGTTTTAAAAAATTGAAATAGGCCGGGCATGGTGGCTCACGCCTCTAATCCCAGCACTTTGGGAGGCTGAGGAGGGTGGATCACCTGAGGCCAGGAGTTCAAGACCAACCCGACCAACATGGAGAAACCCCATTTCTACTAAAAATACAAAATTAGCAGGGCATGTTGGCTCATGCCTGTAATTCCAGCTATTCAGGAGGCTGAGGCAGTAGAATCGCTTGAACCTGGGAAGTGGAGCTTGCGGTGAGCCGAGATTGCACCATTGCACTCCAGCCTGGGCAACGAGAGTGAAACTCCATCTCAAAAAAAAAAACGAAAAAAAAATTGAAATAATTTAAAAAGTTTTAGTAGTCCCTAACTCTACTATCTTTTCTTTCTCCTCAGTCATATTCACTCTCTCCCCAATTCGGTTTTCTAATTTTACTACTTTTCTCCCCCATTCAGAGTTTTCTAGTATTACTACTTATGGAAATATTAAAAATAATAAATAGTGTTGTTTTACAGGATTTAATGTATTCAATGAATGGTATCTTACTAAGCAATTCACATTTTTGGCCAAATATTTTTTCTTGAAATTATTAACATAACATTTGTCATGGTTGTTGATGTTTTAATCATAATTACCCCAGGGTTTATTTCTTAAAAGCAGAATATTCTTTTACGTGGCTACAGTGCAATGATTAAAATCAGGAAATTAATATTAATACAATGGTACTATTCACTTGATAGAACATGTTTAGATTCAACAATTGTCCCAGTGATACAATTTATGGTAAAAGATAATCCAAGGTCACATGGTACATTAATATGCAGTTGTCATCTCTCTGTAGCTTCCTTCATCCAGTAAAAGTTCCTGAGTCTTTCTTTGTATTTTATGATGTTGTTGTCATAAAAGCTTGAGACATTTCTACAATGTGCTTCAATTTGAGTTTTTCTGATTTTTCCTTGTAATTAGATTCAGGGTGACCCCTTTGGCAGGAATACGGTAGAATTTATTATGAGTTCTCAGCGCATGATGTCAAGGCTCACGTGCTGTTGGTGTGTTTCATCCCAGGCAGTGTTAGCTGCCATCACTTGGTGTCTACTGGTATCTATTTGGTGTTCAGTGTAATGTTACTGTTTTACTCTTTGTCATTAGTAAATCTTTGGGGAAGACACTTTGAGGCAATATTGATATCCTGCTCACCTAAACTTCCACCTATTAGTTTTAGCACCCATTGATGATTCCTTCCTGAAGAAATTATTATTATGATAGTCATCGAGTGGTGATATTCTAATTTCATTATTTCTTTTACATTTACTAGTTGCTTTTTCATTGAAAGTTAGGTCTTTTCCTTCTCCCTCATTTATTCATTTTAATTGTGGACTAATGGATTCTTGTAGTATCCAATAGGTAACAATCATTTAAAATCATTATTCAGTTTGATTCTCAAATTTTCTCAAATTTGGCTGGAGGGAGTCCCTTCAAGCTGGCTCCCTATTTGACAGATTCTCACCATTCTTTGAGCTCATTCTTACTTTTTGACACAACAAGATTCTCTAGGCTCATCTTGCATCTTGTTTTCAATGTCATTTTACATAAGAAAAAGTATAGCAATGGAGAGGCCAAGTAATTCATCAAATATTGCCCATCCAATGTAACCCAGCCAGAAATCATTAAAGTTCACATGTAAACCCCGAAACTGTTGAGACAGCCGAGTAAAAAGGGCTCCCCAGAGAACCTCCGACCCACCTGTGCACTGGGAAAAGGGGGTGGAGCCACGAAGTTAGCGTGGTTTGCAGAGGGGAGGAGCCCAGCCTCTTGTGTTCCTGTGTGGTGGGGCAGGAGCAGGTTAACAGGCCTCCCTCTCACTCTGCTGAAAGTATTTCTTTTTCCTTTTTCGCGCAATAAATTCCATTTTTCTCACCCTTCTATGCATCCTCAAGCCTAATCTTTCCTGGTTATGTGACAAGAACCCGGTTTTTAGCTGAACTAAGGAGAAAGTCCTACAACACTGCCACCATGTGGCAATTACTCCAAATAGAAGGAGAGGCTGAAGGACACACAACCAGGATGCAGAGAAAAAGATGGAGACAGAGTCTGTGCAAGATGGGATTGATACTGAGACTGGGTTAGCCACCTCTCCTAGACAGTGAAACAGATCGCAAGAGAGGCTGACCCAGAAAGACACATGCAAAACAATGGGCAATAGAACACATGACCTGAATTAGATTATCTGGGTTCAAATCCTGATTTTGCTATTCATTATCTGTGTATCACTGGGCAATTTACTCAATCTCTCTGTGCCTGAATATCCTCATTCAAAATCAGGGATGAAAAGAGTACTTATCTCAAAGGGCTATTTGCTCACTTATTGCACAAGTAATTTGGCATCTGATATGAACCAGGTGCACCTCTAGATGAGGATACTGTCACATTGAATGAAGACCAGTGACCAGAAGCCTGCCTCACAGCCCAGCTCAGTGAGAAAAATAATTCCATTCTCACCTCTAATCTCAACCCTGTGTCACCATTTATGTATAGTCCTTTGCATTAGTGTCTGGAAAGGTCATTTTTTGAGGGCAGAATGAATAACCTATAGAAGGATCATTCTTGGGTATAATGAATTAAAGAAGTATTATGAAGCTTTATAAGGCAGGATTAGCTCATAAAAATGGAGGGTTCTTTTGCTTTTCCAGTCCCATTTGTTGTTTCACAGACAAAGAATAAAACAATCACTGATGGCAAAGACTGCAAACTGCCAACGTTCATCGGTAGAGCAAGGTGACGCTCGTCCTGTCCAGGCCTGTGGTTGGGATAAGCTCAGAAAGCAGAGTCTCCAGGGCTGGTCATCATCTATCATAACCCTGCGTATAAAGAAAGCCTTGAGAAAGAAAAGAAGTGACTTATTATGTGTCTTCTGACCTGGTTCTCATTTTTATTCAAAACATTAGAACCTTGGGAAGATGAAGAGAGGGCCAGAAAAATGGGAAACCCTGGATACAGAAACTTGGCTAGCTGTTTACTTTTTCACTGTACATCTTTCTATTGCAATAGTTAAACCCCAATTAAGACTGAAATAACTCCTGAGGCAAACAAACGTAATTGTGGAGACAGAGGGGAAAATGTACTTCAGGGACTAGGATCCTGCAGAGGGTTTCCGTCTTCCTGACAGAAAAACAACTTTGAAAATTTGAGTCCTGGTAATAGTTTGTTAACCAAGAACTCTACAAATCCAGAAGGCACAAACATGGCTTGGGGAGCCTTACCTTGCCAGAAGGACTAACCCAGAGCTTTACTACACCATAGCTACCAAGGTGAGTAGACCTGACAATTCTTTTATTTATTCACATATGCCATATAATATTTCCCTCAGAAGTATGCATCTTGCTTTGTTCTTTGACTAAGCAAGGGAGTTTATGTGAGCCAGAGGACCTTGACTCTGCATCTAATCTTTACCTGGGGTCATAAACATGAAGGGGACCATTTCCAGAAGATGACCCTAGAAATGCTTGAGCATCTTTGTCCCAGTGTTCAGGATCTTGTACTGTAAGAGAGGTCCGGGGTGGTTCTTCCTATAAGGTTCCCTCTTTGGTTTCATCCAAAAATCACAAAGATAAAAAAGCTTTTCAGGTTTCTAGAAAAAACTCATTTTTAGGCTTACATTTTCACCTGCATTATAACTCTATCAGCATTATTAGCTTTCATCAAATTTCTTCATATCGTTTTTGGTGCATTTCTGTGATTTGCAAGTGGGCCAACTTTGTCTTTACCTATTAAGTAGTTAATTCATTAAGAAAGAGATAGAGAGAGTGTGTGTGTATATCTTGAAGGTTTTCTTTCTGCATCCATCCTTAAAGTCTCCTAATCCAATATATAATATTGTATCATATACAGAAGTCAACTTCATTAACCATATGCCAGTTTAATGGAAGCATCTATTAACAATCATTATGATTAAAAATCATACTTGCTCTTCAGAAATTTTCCACTTTTATTTTTGGCCAGGCTATAAGTAAGTATAACCTGATGTAACCCTGTAAATTTACCCTGGCATTATGTAGCAGGGAGCACTAATCTCATTTTCAGTTGAGAAAACTGGAGCTGAAATGGGTGCACTTCCTTACCTGCCTAAGCTATTAGGTATTAGAACTGGATGGAGCACTACACATCTATCTGAATGTGAAGCATGTTTTTTCAAATAGTTTTCAATCATGATTCCAAAAACAACTTGGAAGACCAGTCACCCTTCCTTCCTCTGATATTTTTCTTATTATTCAGTCAAAAAAATGGAAGTGTCTTATTAGTATTACAGAAGCTAATCTCTAATCTGAATCAGAGCTTTGGAACCTTGGGAAGATGAAGAGAGGGCCAGAAAACTGTGAAACCCTAGAAAAAGATAAGAAGAAACAAACATAAAAATATTTGATAAGGACATCAGGGTGGTGAAGTGTATGCAGGACATTCATTTTTGACAAATTCCAGGTTTCTGACTAAATATGTAACCAGTTCTTACTCCAAACCTATTAGTCCATACTGCTCTTCTTGTTATTAAAGCCTGTAGTTCATTTCACTATAGGCTATCCAGTTCAGATCATGTAATGCTTTGTTTAATGCATTGATATAGATGTTAGTCTCTTCATTTGGCACTGGAGGAAACTGAGGCAGAAAAGCAATAACTAATATTCCAAAAGTTATAAAGTTTCCTGGTATAAGACCTGAGTACAAGCCTAAATTCAGGCAGTTCACACTGCCAGGGACCTTTAAGACAAATTAAGATAAATCTAAGGCATCTCTTAGTGATTAGTAGAAAATGAAAGGGGACAAGGCTTATAGAAAGGTTAGATCAAACATCCTGGTTTCTTTTGTTTTGGGGGATTTATTTGTAGTTTGATGTAAGTTCTGGAAAAGAAGTGAGATTGGAGAGGTTGATTGTGAAAGAGTAAAATCCTGTTCAGACAAAAAGAGTAAAAATTAGCTTGGACTGGTAAAGATCAAAGTAGCTCTCCTGTTACCAATGTTGGGAGAACAGACACAGGTAGATCTGGTTACAGAGTCAACTGGACTCACTGGTTACACAGCAGTTGTAAACTGCCATAATTGCACCATTTGAGTGATGACTCTTTTCTTACCAATGTAGCCCCAACCTGCCTTGTATATCCAGACATCAGAGATCTCTAATTTATAAACTGCCTTCATCTCGTGACAGTATGCAATAGCTAATTAATCTACCTCTCCTAATGGCCCTTGAGAAACATCAACACATCAACAACTCCGCTTAGGGGCCCCTCAGATCCATCAGTGGGAACTCAGACCTCTCCTAAATGCCCTTGTAGAGTGACATTCTATGGTTCCTCTAGAGCACCTTCTCTGGCTACATCCAGTCCATGTATCTCATTGTTTTTCAGCAACAGGCTTGTTCCTGAAGGTCTTTGGCTGATTAACCATTAACATTTGAGGTCCTACAGTGAAATGCTATGCAGTTTGACTTTATATGGAGTACTTGGAAAACCCACTGAAAACTTGTAAGTACTGAAATTACAGATTCAGTTCGGGGTCTTGAAAGACAACTCAGAAATATTAAGGAATATAAATCAAAGATATGAAAATAAGAAGAGATAAACCAGAAATTGTTATACTAATCAAAATGATAGACATATAGGCATAATGAATAAAAGAAGTATCACAGAAGATAAAACATTGTTAAACTTGAGAAATGTTAAAGATGTTGAAACAACATGATTTTATGAGTGTCTGTCTGTTGAATGTGGAAGAGGTAGAGGGGTTAAGGGTGAGCACCAGGTTTTTGAAATTGGCTGATAGGAATATTAAGAATAAGTAGAAAATGGAGACATTCAGGTTGGGGGAATTGTTTTAGTTCAATTCAGCATATGCTGAGACTTAAAATATGTGGGATATATCAGAATTTGAACAAGCAAGTTGGTCTTGCAGCTATGGAGATCAGGAAAACAAAATCTGTTTCCCAAATTTAGATTTTTGTATCCTCTTCCAAGATGACATTTAAGGTCACATGGTATGTTCATCAAAGAGTGTCACAGGGAAAGGACTACAGTTCTTTGGACAAAAATCTGCTCTGTTACATATATTATGATTTCCTTTATCCACTAGAAATGTGCTATGATATGATTTTTTTGCAGATACATATATATCATCATAACTGGTACTTTCTTCATACAGTGTTTCCTTGATCTAAATATTTTCTGCCCATGAAGTTAGAAATGGCTTTGAATATTATCAAGGGAACAATATTCCTGTTTCTAACTGGACTTGGCATTGTGGGGAATGTTTTGGTTTTGGTAAACTATATGTGCATTTTCTTTTGGGGGACTGAGAAGAAGTCTTTACACTTTATTCTTATTCACTTAGCTTTTACAAATATCATACTTCTATTTTCCAAAGGAATGCCCAAGACAATAGCAGCTTTTGGTTTGAAAAACTTCCTAGATGATACAGGCTGTAAAATTGTTGCTTATCTGGAGAGGGTGGCTCGAGGCCTTTCCATCTGCACCAGCAGTCTCCTCACTGTGGTCCAGGCCATCACCATCAGTCCCAGAGCCTGCATGAGGGGGAGGCTCAAGCTGAGGTCTGCATGACAAGTCCTTCCCTTGTTTCTCTTTTTTTTGGACATTCAGTTCCTTGATAACCATAAACTTACTTCATTCCATCACAAATAGCAACATGAACAGATCACAAATTAGTGAAAAGGATAACTACTGTTATTTTCTAGCAGGGAGATCGGTAATAAGACGGATTTTTCTCACACTGATAGTCTTGCAAGATGCCCTGTTTCAGGGTCTAATGGGCTGGGCCAGCAGCTACATAGTATTTCTTCTCCACCAGCATCACAAGCATGTTCTTCACATTCAGAACTCCAAATTTCTGTACAAAACTCCCCCTGAGATAAGAGCTGCTCAAAGTGTTCTCCTTCTGATGATCTGTTTTGTTTTCTTTTATTGGATAGATTGTATTATTTCTTTATATTTAACTTTATCCTTAGAGAATAATTTCATAATATCAAATATTCAAGAATGTTTAACCCTTGGTTATGCAACTCTCAGCCCTTTTGTGCTGATTCACAGAGATAGATGTGTGGCTGAATGTTGGCAAGTTCAGTAAGACTTCAGAAAATGTCTGTTTTATTGATCTCTTCAGTAAGCAAGTTTGAAATAAACTTGCTAGTTTTGCTGTGCTGTGTATTTTTTAAAATAAGAAGAATTGCTTAAACATATAAGGATAAATTCTCATACAACAAACCTGGTGACCAGCAGCTCCGATCTAATGCAAGAGATCACAGAAATCCTAGAGAGACTCAGCGATCTTATTCTCTATCCTTCCACCCTTCAAAAAGCAGCTGAAATTCTGTGTATTTATGATGGCTCTTTCACCACCAGGCTTCCAGGAGTAAAAAACAGTAGAACAATCTGGTAAAATCTATCAAAATTACTGGTGCAGTCACCTTTTGACTCAGGAATTCCATGTCTAGGGCCTAATCCTTCAGATATACTTGCGCATTTAAGAATTGGAGTAGGAAAAATACACATTATGATACATTATTTTAAAAATACAACAAAATATCTAGCAAAAGGAATTATTTTTGGCTATTTAAAGATATTGATATGTATCCATTCATACAAAGGGATTTTATGGTACTTATGAAGAAGTGGATGAGTTCAAAATATATTGACACGGAATGATACGCAAAGGTTTTTTTTTTTCAATTAAAACAAAAGCAATGTGAAAGCTGTAGCATTCAAAAAGCAATATAATAATATAATTAATTTGGAATTATCTACATCATGAACTCCTGCAAGAATAAAAAAAAAACTATAAGAATTATTCCTGATTGAAGAGAAACTAAGTAAATGGAGGCATAGTAAATCAAATTTTATTTTATATATTTCTCTGTTTTCTGATTTGTTAAACATGTAAATGTATCTCTCTTCAATATATAAATAAATTAAGTTAGATAGCAATTTATGACTTGTTTCTAGACATCATTTTTTAGTGCCTTGGCACTCCCACAATGTTATCAGTCTAGTCTCTCTATTATCAGAGTTAAAAAATAATCTGGTTCTGCATTAATTTAAATGAATAACTTGGTTTCAATTTTTCTTAAACTGGAACCAAAATACATATTTGGATAGAATGTATAGTTCTGGCAGTAAGGGATCTCATCAAGCCATTTGGAAAAATACTTGATAAAATAAAAATGAAGTGAAAACTTTATAGATAACAAGAGACTTAAGAGACATTTCAAAAGAACACATGTTCAATCTTACTGAGGTCTTCTTTACTTGTTTTTATTTGGTCTAGTTTTCTTGACCAAATAAACTAAAGTAAAAGTTAACAATTTTTGAATAAATGTATAAGTAAATGAACATCTGATTACTAAACAAGCTGTAATAAATAAGTGAGAAAAATGATTCCTGATTATAGTGCTCATTATATCAAGCACAAGGAAATGAAAGCAAAGGAAACCAGAGGAGAGGAAATAGTATTGGGCAAGAAATTGAAATAAGTGTACTGTATTGAAAGTGAATGAAAATTTTAAGTAGGAGCAATTAGCTGCTTTGGAAAGATTGGCAAGAAATATTTAACTGGTCCATGGCAGCTTCTATAATCAACATTTAATAACTGATTAAACTGATTGAACCATCATAACCAACCACCATTCATTTTCCCCGTTTTTGCTCAAAATGGATACATAAGAAGATCATAATGCATGAAAGGTGAAATAGTGCAGAAAGCAAAAGGCATATGAAACTCTGAAAACCAGAAATTAATGTAAATAAAGAGGTTGGAACTTGTAAGGTAGGGGACACAAGTTTGTGATGCCAGGTTCATTAATGTATGACTCCATTCTTCTTTTCAAGTATTTTAAGTCCTGAAGATATCCTTAAAGTGCATTTGGTAGGTGGGATTCTTCCCTTTTTACTTCTCAATTTCTATCACACTCTTCTGGAAGATACAACACAGTATATTGGAGATAAAGGAAAACTACATTTATTTCTTGAAGGATAAGCAAAATAAAAAATCAAGAAAAGGTCGGGCGCGGTAGCCCACGCCTGTAATCCCAGTACTTTGGGAGGCCAAGGCAGGCAGATCACGAGGTCAGGAGATCAAGACCATCTGGCCAACATGGTGAAATGCCGTCTCTACTAAAAATACAAAAATTAGTCAGGCATAGTGGCGGGTGCCTGTAATCCCAGCTACTTGGGAGGCTGAGGCAGGAGAATCGCTTGAACCTGGGAGGTGGAGGCTGCAGTGAGCTGAGATCGCGCCACTCCACTCCAGCCTGGGTGACAGAGAGAGACTTCATCTCAAAAAAAAAAAAAAAAAAAGAAAAGAAAAGAAAATACAAGAAATACAGAGTGAGAGAGAGGATGAAAGGAAACCACTGCCTGCCTCAGAGTTTTCTCCGGTTGTAGTTATTACCAGTCTCAAAGAATTCATGATTCATTCAGTGATGGAAGCATTTCAAGCCTGTAATTTGGGTGCCTGCTTTCACTAACTCAGGGACTTGAACACAAAATTCTCAGTTTAAAATGCAGATGTACTCTTGACCAAGCTATGCAAACTGTAAAGTATCTTTTAACTAAAAGATAAGAGGATTTTGATCTGCTACCTGAGTCCTTTTATGTTCTCTTGAAGATGATTTTTGACATCCTCTGATCACACACAAAACATCAGCCTTTAATATACATATTACCAATTTTATACTATTAAAATATACATTCCAGATTTGTTGAACAAAAGAGTTTTGGTGCATGTTGCTATGTGGATGAAATGCAAGATCTTGTTATGACCTTGTGATCCTTGAATAAGCTCAACATTCAGTGGTCTGAAACCATGCCAAAGACCTTGGTGATCCCACCACCCTCCCTGAGTCTGTCATTCCCACTTCCATACCACTGTTGAGGCAAAGTTCAGAGGATCTCATAATTAGCAAAATAGCAGCTTTCATAAAAAGAACTTTCTTCAGCCCTATCCCAGCCACATATGGGGTGTAATAAAGTCCTGTCAATCCAGTGGCCAAAGTGTAACTTGTCATTTTTTTATATCATGATACATGTGTCAAAGGGCATGAATTTCTGACCTTGATTATCATATCTTCATGATAATATTTCAAGACACGCACACATACACACACACTCCCCTCAAAAATGAGAGATTTGAGTTGGCAAAATATTATTGGAGGAGTCCAGAGAACTTACTTTGAAGCTGTGTCTGCCTATCAATCACACTGGTTAACTTAGATTTTAGTTTTATTTATAATGCCTCGGAAAAGCTGATGGAGATTTTGAGGAAGGGATAGAAAAGCAAATTCCACTTGTTGTCTTCTTGGTTTTTTAATTGTAGCTCTGCCTTGGTTGGTCAGTATGCTGTATCTGTTGGTGGTTCAGTGTCTTTATCTCTGAAACGGAATACAGAATAACAGCATTATCTGTTTTAAGGCTATTGTGAGAAGTAAAAAGGTAGGTGCCTTTAAAATAGTACATAGTAGATACTAAGTGTGAGAAAACAAAAGACTTTTGTTTCTTATAATTGTGTACTCAATTAGCAAACATTTGCTATGTTGCTTGACATTTTGTATAGGCTACACTGAAGAGAGAGTGTCCTAAAAGAATGATTTCCTTTAAAATCTGCCTCTTGTGGGCCGGGCGCGGTGGCTCACACCTGTAATCCCAGCACTTTGGGAGGCCAAGGCGGGTGGATGACCTGAGGTCGGGAGTTCGAGACCAGCCTGGCCAAACATGGTGAAACCCCGTCTCTACTATAAATACAAAAACATTAGCAGGATGTAGTGGCAGATGCCTGTAATCCCAGCTACTCGGGAGGCTGAGGCAGGAGAATCGCTTGAACCTGGGAGGTGGAGGTTGCACTGAGCCCAGATCGCACCAGTGCACTCCAGCCTGGGCAAAAAGAGTGAGACTCTGTCTCAAAAAAAAGAAAAAAAAAATCTGCCTCTTGTACACTGCAATTACATGTGCTTTAATTCTGTGTTACCAATCACTTTGTTATTTATGTTCATAATGATTCCATTTTCTAGCACTTCATTAGCTCATGAAAACTTCATGACAGGCACACAAGTGTTGGTGATCCAGCTGGAAGAATCAACACAATTATGTGAGCCACATTCCTGCAAAGTGTGCATTTTACTTTACTTTTGTCTTTCATATTGTCATCATCATCATCCTCATCACCCCACCACCATGACCATCATCACCATCATCTCACCACAATCATCATCATGACCATCTTTATCAATATAATTTCTCTATTGAGCAACATTGTTCAACTTCCAACTGTCAGTCAATTGGTTGGAGGCCTGTGGCCAGACTTACAATAAAGATCCTGGACTGGCCCATTTCCTTAGTCCTCTCTCAACTGAATAAAAATTCAGGTGAATAGAAATGTCACCTGAAGAGAAACCTTATGAGAACTTCAGCAAGTAGAGAACCTCCCAAACTATAAAGATTTGGGAGGCAGTTTACACTGCTTGACTAAAAAGATGGGCTTCCAAGAGGAGATTTTTTAAAGTGTCATATCTTTGAGGGATTCAGTATTTGGTTTTAGTGGAATATAGAGACTTCAGAGTCATAAAACAGACACAGTCATAACGATTTGGGATGCAACTCTGTTTCAGGAGATCTTATACTGATATAAATATCTATTTTTAATTAAACTTTGTATTACATCTGTTTAAGATGTATAAAATAATTTTTGATATACATAGTGAAATGGTTACTATAGTCAAGCAAATTAACATATTCATTATCTCACAGTTATCCTTTGTGTCTCTATGTTAAAATTATCCAAAATCCACTCCTAGCGAATTTCCAGCATATACTACAATATTATCACTATTGTCCTCATGTTGTACAGTAGATCTGTATACTTATTCATATCAGATATCTACAGCTTTTTACCCTTTGGCCTATATCTCTTCATTTCCTCCTCTACTCTTCCACTCCGGATAATTATCTCTCTACTCTGTTTCTGTGTATTTGAGATTTTTGTTTGTTTTTGTTTTTTAGATTGCATATATAAGTAAGATCATGTAGTATTTTGTTTTCTATGCCTGGCTTATTTAGCTTAGCATAATGTCCTCCAGTTTCATCCATGTTGTTGCAAACGGCAGTACCTCCTTTTTTAAGGCTGGATAGTATTTCATTATATATATTCATATCACATTATACCACATTTATATATATATATATATACACACACACACACACACACGCACACACACACTATAATATGTATTATAATTTTTTTAATTTTTTTTTTTTGAGATGGAATCTTACTCTGTTGTCCAGGCTGGAGTGCAGTGGTGCGATCTTGGCTCACTGTGACCTCCGCCCCTAGAGTTCAAGCAATTCTCCTGCCTCAGCCTACTGAGTAGCTGGATTTACAGGCATGCGCTACCATGCCTGGCTAATTTTTGTGAGAGATGGAGTTTTTAGTAGAGACGGGGTTTTGCCATATTGGCCAGGCTAGTCTTGAATTCCTGACCTCAAGTGATCTGCCCACCTCGGCCTCCCAAAGTGCTGGGATTACAGGCATGAGCCACCGCACCCAGATGTATAATATATATATTATATATACACATTTTTATGCACACGCTTCTGCGTGCACACACACACACATACATCAGACAATTTTTTTCTCCATTCATCTACTGAGGAACATGGAAATGCAGATACCTCTACCAGGTGCTGATTTTATTTTCTTTGGGTATATATCCAACAGAGAAATTGCTGGGTAATTTGATATATGTATATATGTGTGTGGGTTTATGTGTATGTGTGTATGTTTGTATATGTATATAGAAATTTGGTGAATGAATCTTGTCATTTGTTGGGAAATTTTATATCCATTGTTCTAAGTTGTCTTCTGTAACTATATCTTTAAGCCACATTTTCTATTTTCCAAGAAATTTGAGTTTATGAATATATTCATATTTGCTAATGTAACTAAGCATGTTATTATGCATGATCTACATGGCCTAGACAAGGACAATAAACATCTCTGTAAAATGACTGGAATATAAGTCCTACGTGGGTCCCCTGATGTGTGTAATGATGCTGATGTTTAGTAATCTTTAAATAATGACCTTTCTCTGGAGTCTGAGTTCCCACTGGTATAAAAGTAAATGAACTATTTATTATCCTTAGAAAAGTTGGATTTGGGAAGGGAAATGTATATTATACTACAAAAATGAAGAGAGAACGAGGGTTTGGGGTTGAGAGTGTGGGTCTGTATATAAAGTATGTGATCCCATTACCATTGTGTTGAGTTCAGAAATTAGTAAACTAATCTATTCAGTTGATTTCAAGATGAACAGAAGTGCTCTAAGTTGTGTGTCAAAGAACAGGTTCTCTGGGAAATTGTTGGGTTCAGGACAAATAATTATTTTCCACACTGAAATATTTAACCTTTGATTTAACATCTCAATATAGTCCTATGTCCCAGCTCCATCTATGCATGAACATGAGATGCTATTTCTTGAGGAGAAAAACATATTTTCATGGAAGTGGAATGTTGAGTCTGAACCATAATCACTTCTAAGTTTTAGGGCAGTTAGGAATGATTACTACTCCTAGGTGTGTGTTTCAGAGGAGTTAGTCAAGATTTTTTAGGTTTTCATAGTACAAAGAAAGCAGTCGGATTGCAATAAGAATCTCACTATTCTAATATTAGTAAGGTGGGCAGGAGTTAGAGGAATGCCTAGTAGCCTCATAATTATTTTGATCCGCTCAGTAAATCCATGTCAAAATTCAAATTAAGTACTAGTTTAAATCTACTCTCCCTTTCAGAAAATATTGATTTCTCTTCACACATATTCAAGATAATCCTTATTTTGATTTGTCCTTGCAAGAGAGTTTCATTTTTAGTAAATAAACAGGTACTCTATAATAATTATTGGATAATTGAAAGAATGAACTGAATGAGATCTTTTAAATTTTTGAAGGTATCAAATTCGGGACAGCAAAATGAAATTGAAAATATGTATTAATTCAAAACATAAATTTTAACATGAATGTAAAATGTGGCTTAGATGTATCAGCTAATGATCTGTTGTAAAAACTTTCTTTGCATTTAACCGAAAGTTTTTGTAACTTTCTTAAATCTGTATGTAGGAAGAAGTTAGTAAACTAACCAAATACATCTTGGTACTCCTGAAAAGTTGACCTTAAGAAATCTCTTATAAGTAGAATTTTGCTGAGATTAGGAATATTCTTTCTGAAAAACTTCTGGTAGCGAAAATATTCCTTGTTAGAGCAAATCATCTAGAAGTCCCTCAGTAACAGTAATATCCAACTTTCAAAAAGGGTAGAAGTGAGATAAGGAAACTTGAAAACTCAAATTTTTCTAAAATATTTTAATTGAAAGCTAAAAATGGAAAAAATGAGTTAAATTACTTAGAGTAGTATAGCAAAGTAGAATAAAGGAGAAATGTTTCTACAGGTGACAAGTTTTACCATAGTATGGTAATTTAAGCTACCAGCAGACCATCCACAGAAATAGCCTTTCCAACCCTTTCATTTATGTAAATGATTGATGGAGTGATAAATATTATTTGGTAACAAATTCTTTGAGGAATAAAAATAAATAATTTGGGAATAAATCCTACAGTAAATATAAGCAAAAGCCATTTCTAAGTGGCTCGTTGGTCTAGGGGTATGATTCTCGCTTCGGGTGTGAGAGGTCCCGGGTTCAAATCCCGGACGAGCCCACTTCATTTTCGCCCAATAAGGTTTAAGGATATTTAAAGTATTTCCCCAAATAGTCATACCCAAAAATATGTACTTTCACCACATCAACAGTAGAATTGTCTAAGCAGGCGAGTACTGAATCCGGACTTCTTCTAAGGGCAGACACCGGAATGTTGATGCGGCTGCAGCTGCGCTCTCCCACCTCTGTCTGTCTCTTCTCAAACCCCGAAAGGAAGACCGTGGGCAGCTCGTGCGCGCGTGCGTGTGCGTGTTTAACCGAGTGCTGGAGGGGAAACGTGAGTTGCAGTCAACCGGTTATCTTCCTCTTATAGGAAGGAGGATTTTAATTTACACTTTTAACTCCAGCTTCGGTGATTACTCTCTGACTCCTAGTGTTTACTACTCCCGCCACACTGGAAAGTAAAAGTCTCCCCAAGTGCTGCTGGTGCCACTGCTCCCACTGCAGTCGACTGTTAGGGTGTCACACTCCTGCCTCTCCTGCTTTCCCCGGTCAGAGTTCATTCCTTTATTTCTTCAACGGATGCATAGCCAATGAGTATGACATGTCACCCTTCAGTGCTGAAAGCTGTGGAGGCAGTGACGGAAAAACATGGTTTTATTTCTACAGAACTTAATATTACAAGTAATTAATTATTTACCATGATGACGCGTTTTGAGAAAGTATGGAATTCCCATGGAAGTATATAGCACCAGGGCTGACTATTGACTCTTGGGAATATTGCTAGCCCAGGTTCGTCTAACTGGAGAGAGAGACCACGAGGAGCAGTCATTAAGGCTGGAATTTCAAAGTTTTTCTCATCCCATGCTCTGGAAATTTGCGGGTACTTTGTTGAAAACACTCAGGAGAATTGATTAACACTGGAATTCGAAACAGGGAAAAAATGGAGAGGAAGATATCAATCCAGTTATTTTGCTCATGCTGTCTAAATTAAAATATTTCCTCAGAATAACTGTTTTGTTTGCTTTTGTGGCCAAGACTGAAAGTGGACACCCACTCCCCGACCCCAATTTCGTTCTAGCTTCATGGACCTCACAGAGGCTCAGCTCGCTCTGCTCATCTTGGTATTCTGAAAGTGTGGATCTTTTTACCTTTCCTTTTTCTGACCAACTTTAAGGGCCACTGAGTATGAAGATGCACATCCTTATTCATAGGTGGGGTGTAATATATTGTCTCTTTTTATAAATAAAATATAAGTGTATAATTTATTTGTAAATTAATGTGTATAATTTATTTGTAATTTAATTTTATAACTTGGAATAGTGTTACTTATTAAGTTTGAAATTCAAAAGGAACTTCCTCTGACCTCTGTTCATTAAGAATTTTCTCTGAATGCAGAAAGTCAGTGTGATGTCATCTAGGCAGAAGAGATTGAATGACCCTTCTCAACAAGGAATTTTACTATCCTAAGAGGGATAAGTTGGACATTTTGACATGTAAAAGTCTGATAGTAAATGACACAGGCAGTCCATTCTAAAATGGTTCCCAGAGTCAATAAATTGGACTCATGGTCTTAGTTTCCAGTTATTTTTAGGGCTTAATTATAATTATGGACCAGCAATCAAAGATCACTAGGCATCATTAGACACTGAAGTTAGTGTCCAATCTGAGAAACAGTGATTTTTTAAAAGCTATTTTAAGAAAGGGAGAGAAAGAATGCTGTACAAAAGGATAACTCTATAGAAGTCTCTTGAAATTAAAATTATGAGAGTAGAAAGAAAAAACTTAATAGAACAATTAACATAAAACCTGAAGGGCATCTCCAAAATGTGGAGTAAAAATATAAGGGGAAACTCCAGCAATTGTGATTCTTGATATATACTCAAATGAGTTGAAAAACCATATCCACACAAAAACCTTCACATCAATGTTTATAGCAGCTTTATTTGGATTTGCTAAAACATAAACAATCAAGATGTACTTCAATAGGTGAATGGATATATTTAATGCAAACTATGGCACAATGGATGGACTATTAATTCATGATAAAAAGAAAGGAGCTATCAAGACAGGAAAAGACATGGAGGAATCTTAAAAGCATACTGCTAAGTGAAAGAAGCCAATCTGAAAAGGCCACATACTGTATATATGATTCCAACTATATAACGTAGTGAAAAAGGTAAAAATATGTAAACAGCAAAAAAGAGCAGTCATTGCTAAGAGGGAGGGAGGGAGGGAAGGATGAAGAGGCGAAGCACAGGGAATGTTTAGAGTGGAGATACTATTATACATGATACAGTAATGATGGACACATGCCATTATACATTTATCAAAGAGGAAAGAGTTACAACATAATCCATAAGAGTTACAACAAAGAAAGTGAACCTAAAGTAAACTACAAATTTTAGTTAATATTAATGTATCAATATTGGTTCATCAGTTGTAACAAATGGACCACAATCGTATAAGATTTAATAATAAGAGAAGCTATAGGAAGGATAGGAGATATATGGGAACTCTTTGTACTTTCTCTTCAATTTTTCTGTAAATAAAAAACTGCCTAAAAATGTCTATTAATTTTTTAAAAGTAAAAAGAATGTAACCAGGAAAGAGCAGTAAAAACAAAACAAAAGGTAGAGGAAACATACTGGAGATTTAAAATCCAAGTAAAGGAAGGGAAGGAAGGAAGGAAGGAAGGGAGGGAGGGAGGAGAGGGAGGGAGGGAGAGAAAGAGAGAGAAAGAAAGAAAAAGAAAAAGGAACAAAAGAAAAGAAAAGAAAATTAGCCGAGTGTGGTGGCACACGCCTGTAGTCCCAGCTACTTGGGAGGCTGAGGCAGAGAATCACCTGAACCCAAGAGGCAGAGGTTGCAGTGAGCTGAGATTGCTCCACTCCACTCCAGCCTGGGCAAGAGAACAAGACTCTGTCTCAAAAAAAAAAAAAAAAAAAAAAAAAAAAAGGGCAGAGAACACAGAAATCAGAAAACTAGCAACAACGAAAAACAAGCTAATATCCCTAACCGAAATACAGGATTTAATGATGTAATAGAGTTCCCAAAACAAGGAATGGAAACAGAAACACACTAAAGCATATCTTTCAGACATTGCAGAACATTGAGGACAAGGAAATTATCCTGAAATAGATAAATAAAAGCTAACTGCAAATGTAGACTCCATAATTAGAATGACTTTGTACTTCTCAAAATGAATACTGGAAGCTAGAAGAAAATAGAGAACTCTCTCAAAATCCTGAAATAAATTTCAAAAGCCTGAAAAATATTTCCCAGACAAACATTCAATCAAGTTGCTGGAGAAGTATTGAAAAGTCTCATCGACCACGGTGAAACCCCGTCTCTACTAAAAATACAAAAAAAATTAGCCGGGCCTGGTGGCGGGCGCCTGTAGTCCCAGCTACTCGGGAGGCTGAGGCAGGAGAATGGCGTGAACCCGGGAGCCGGGGCTTGCAGTGAGCCGAGATCGCGCCACTGCACTCCAGCCTGAGCAACAGAGCAAGACTCCGTCTTAAATTAAAAAAAAAAAAAAAAAAAGTCTCATCTACAATGAACTCTTTCTCAGGAAGCTGCTTTACAATGTACTCCACCAAAATGTGAAGGTATAGTAAGACAGAAAATACATGAGAAATTGGGCATACAGCACCAGTGGCAGGGAAATAAAATGTATAGTACAATGGTGAAGGAAGACATCACGATGAAAACCCCATATCAAGTTTAGAAATCACTCAGTTTATTGTTTTGGCAAGGCTTTTATGGTTATTTGTGATATTTTTTTCTAAAAATAATGTTCAGGAAACAAAATAGGAAAGATAGGTAAATAATATTGCCAAACATAATTATATAAAGGGTGATTACTTATTCAATAAAAATTCTGATATAACTATATTTGAAGGAAAAATTGATCAGAAGAGTGTCTGTGGAGGTGTTTACGGTGAGGAAGAGAAGTGAATCTTCTATTTGTGTAATGGGAAATCAATGGAAAATACTAAGCTTAAAATTAATATGTAGCATATGTATTAGAGTACAATTTTGTCTCTGTAACAAAGACCCAAAAGAACCATAGCTTAAAAGAAGCATTACTGATCTCTCCTGTGACTGTCTGAGGGTGTAATCAATGCCAGGGTGATGCTTTGGCTTCATGGTGTTGGTTCCAGTCTTCTATGTCATGGCTCCTTCCTTCCTACAGTGTGCTGGGTCCAATCACTATTCCATGAAGCCTTCATTCTCAAAAGCAGATACATGAGGAAGAGATAAATAGAGGTTATTTCCTTCTCTTATGGACATAACCTGGAAGTTTTACATACATTTTCTCTCTTATGCCTTTACTTAGAAATTGGTCACGTGATGACGCTGACTGTCAAGGGAAGTCACTGTAATCTTTTCATGGGTGGCTATGAGCTCAGCTAATTTTCCATTTCTTGGAAAAAACAAAAATAATGATTGGACAACTAGCCATCTTTGCCATAGCATGATGACATGCAGGTAAAAACAACACAAAACGCCAAATGGCTGAAAATGTTTGCCTCTACTAAGAGGAATAAGATAGGAGAGACCACTGTTTCGCATACACATATTTTTTGAAGTAATTGAGCTTTTAAAACATGTATGGTTAACTTTGATTAAAAATTTTGTTAATAATAATTTTAAAAAGCTTTAAGAACCAAAGTATGGATAAATAATTCAGCCAGGCTAAAGTGAGAAAGGGAAAGAGCGTTCCATGAGGGAAAATCACTTGTTGGAAGAGGAAAACTAGATCTGTCTTGAGGCAAAAACCCAAATGGGACTGAGCATGGAAAACAACGGGTAAGGAAGTGGGTTGAGTTGAGGTTGAAGATTTCAGGCAGGTCAACGCAGCAAACACTGCAATATAAGGGCTCTTCCAAGGAAAAAAAAAGCGGATGATTCTTTGTGAATTCACAGAAACTAGCAAAGGTGGTATTCACTCAAGATGTTAGTGCAATCTAACGTAAAATATCCTGACATTGAGAGTGTGAAAATACAGCAGGGGTCCATTCCTGCAGGATTTCCCCTATGTTCCCTGTTGTTTAGCCTGTGATTGATTTGCGTGGGCTTCTGAAGAGAAACCGACTCCGGTGTGAACGGTTTTGGGAACCTCGGTCTCCTGCTGGCTCCCAGGTGCGCTATCCGACGCAGCGAGACGCGGTGAGCCTACAGAAGGGCTGACCAGGCTCACCTGACGCCCCAGGTCGACAGCAAACCCCGTGCGCCCCGTTGGCCCGGTCACGCCCGCAGCCTGCTCAGGCGCCTCCTGCCTCGGGACCAGGAAGCGGAAGAAAGGGAGAGACCGGCCCGGCAATTACGTTTCTATCATGTCTTGAACATTTGTGTGAGTCCCACGAAAGCTAAGCCCGTTTATTCCCCCTCGAAGCGTTTCCACTCAGTTCTTGATCATTCATGTGAAAACGAGCCATCTCCACGTCTCCCAAACGTCTTCAAACCGTTTCCTAAGTCTTGTAAGGCCGCCTGTGGGTTCCTATTACAAACTCTGAAATAAAATACTCGGGAAACGTGGGTTATCAAGACGAGGTGGCCGAGTGGTTAAGGCGATGGACTGCTAATCCATTGTGCTCTGCACGCGTGGGTTCGAATCCCACCCTCGTCGGGGGAGGTCTTTTAATACGAAGAGGAGGAAACAACACCCAAGTCCAGCCAACTTCCCTTTCAACTCTCCTGGAATTCAGGTCCCTGGCGTTGGAGAGGAAAAAGGAGCTCTTGTAATTTTGTATCATCAGTATAACGATGGTGTTGCTGGGTTTTTTAACTTTATGGTTGATGGGGTATTGATTGTCAATATTGTGCGCGTGATCAGTTTAATGAGTACTCTTCTGGTGGGCTTTCTACCTGATGACTGCAAAAACGCCTTCGAGCCTGAGAAAGGGGAGAGGGCAATAGAGAGGAGAGGAAGGTGACGGTGGGGCTAGAAAGAGAGAGAGATGAAGCTGCCAAAAAGGGGGAAAAACTTGAGGTGTGGTTATCCCAGCCGCTTCTTTTAGAAATCATTACTACTGTGAACATTAAAATAAATTCATCAAAAAGATAAGCAGAAAAAAACAAAAACAAAACAGCACGACAAATACACCAACACAGAAATTCAATTACTTAGATTCTCAAGACAAATCGAGGGACCAACATTGAAGAAACGTGTAGCACTGACGACATGGCCACAAGATTTTTGTTTTGTTTTGTTTTGTTAAAAAAAAAAAAAAGCAAGCAAGCAAGCCGGGCGCAGTGGCTCAAGCCTGTAATCCCAGAACTTTGGGAGGCCGAGGCGGGTGGATTACCTGAGGTCAGGAGTTCAACACCAGGCTGGCCAATTCGGCGAAACCCCGTCTCTACTAAAAAATACAAAAAATTAGCAGGGCGTGGTGGGCGCCTGTAATCCCAGCGACTCGGGAGGCTGAGGCGCGAGAATCGCTTGAACCCAGGAGGCGGAGGTTGCAGTGAGCCGAGATGGCGCCACTGCTCTCCAGCCTGGGTAAGAGAAAGAGACTCTCTCAAAAAACAAACAAAACAAGTTATGCAATTTGGAGGTAAGTTATTTTCAAGTCTTCTTCATGATAATCTTAATAGCTGCATTATAGTCACAGGAGTTGACATAATTTAGCAATTCTTCTGTTTTCGAAATGTGTTTTATGAAAATTAATGAGTCAAAGGATTATTGCAAAAATCGGTCAAAGGCTTTGAACGTCTTCTGGTTACTCTTGGTAATTAGTGATTTCTATTTCAGTTATGTTGTTTCTCTTTGCAATCAACAGTGCAAGAGGGACCCAGTTACCCCACTGACACTTTGACGCAGGATAGGTATTCAAGGAGGTGACCATGGTCTTGGGACACAACAACCGTGGTGACCATACAGTCAACACAATAAGCCTCAGCATTCACACTGAAATTGAGCTCATTCAAATGAACAGCTATCAAGAGGAAATTTCCCCTAGAGACAGCATGCGCATTTTGACTTTACCTGTCCTTAGACTGAGCCTTTGCTCATTACAATAGTAAAAAACACACCGCTGGCTGGAGATTTAAGATGCCAATGAGACATACCATGTATGAACAAGCATGTACAGCTACTGCGCATGTGCACTCAGAGGACCACCCAGAAGATGATTACCAGTAACATTTCTCACCTCCTTCTAAATAGTCACCTAAGACTCCCATAAAGGGAGCCTCCCTAGCCCCAATCTTTGCTGTTTCATCCTTAGGAGCAGCCCGCCCTGAATTCTCTCTCTCTCAGGGTGTGCTGTCTATTCTGCACCTAACTTACAAAATATTCTTTTTCCTTTGCAATAAATTAATCTACGTTGCACTTCTTTTGCTGTGTGTCTCTGGTTTAAATTCTTTAAAACTAAGAAGACAGGAACCGCCGGGCGCGGCGGCTCACGCCTGTAATGCCAGCATTTTGGTAGGCTGAGGCGGGCCGTTCACTTCATGTCAAGAGTTCGAGACCAGCCTGGTCAACATGGGGAAACCCCATTTCTGCTAAAAATGCAAAAATTAGCCGGGCATGGTGGCGCACGCCTAAAATCGCAGCTACTCGGGTGGCGGAAGCAGGAGAATCGCTTGAACTCGGGAGGCGAAAGCTGCAATGAGCCAAGATCACGCCACTGCACTCCAGCCTGGGCAACTGAGTGACACTTTGTTAAAAAAAAAAAAAAAAAAAAGACCCGAGGTCTTACAACAGCCATCAACAACTTGACAGGCTGAATTACATTATTTATTTTATTTATTTATTTATTTGAGACGGAGTCTCCCTCTGTCACCTAGGCTGCAGTACAGTGGCGTGATCTCTGCTCACTGCAACCTCCGCCTCCCGGGTTCAAGCGATTCTTCTGCTTCCGTCTCCCGAGTAGCTGGGACTACAGACACCCAACACCACCCCCGGCTAATTTTTTTAATTTTTAGTAGAGACGGGGTTTCACCATGTTGGCCAGGCTGGTTTGAACTCCTAACCTCTCGCAATCCTTCCGCCTCGGCCTCCCAAAGTGCTGGGATTACAGGCATGAGCCACCATGCCTGGTCAACAATTATTTATATACTTTATATATAATCACATATATGTTACATATTTATATATATTTTGGATATATCAAGTAGAATGGCAAGAACTTTTCCATATTCTGTTCTTTAATTATTAATTTACTTGCTATAAATCTATCAGTCCTTAGAATTATTTACCTCAAATATATTTCCTTTTACTTTTCAAATAGATTTTTAAAACAATTAATTCATAGAAAAATTTTAAATACATCGAAATTTATATTAGTTATAAAATATCCATGTATCTATCTCAGAACTTCCATTTTATCCATTTTTGAAAATTCCTATTCTACAAAATAGCACTTTTTTAATTTTTAAACTTTTTTGTGAAAATTATCACCCATGCAGAAAAGTACACAAAATATATATGCAAACTTAACTTTATGTACAGAAAAGTATATAAAATATACATGCCAACTTAAGTAATTACAAAGCAAGCACCTGCAGAATTGTGACAAAGGCCAAGAAGTAGAACATGGCAAGCATCTAATAAGGGAACCCTCTCAGTCACTGTCTCCTCTCTTCCCCAAATGTATTTATTATATATAAATATAATATATTTATAATAATTATATAATATATTATATTATATATCATATATGATATATCATATATTATATTATATATAATACATCATATATTATTATATATAATACATCATATATTATTATATATATCATATATTATATATAATATATCATATATTATATTATATATAATATATCATATATTATATTATATATAATATATCATATATTATATTATATATAATATATCATATATTATATTATATATAATATATCATATATTATATTATATATAATATATCATATATTATATTATATATAATATATTATATGGATTATATTATAAATATATTATATGATATATAATAATATATCATCTATTATATAATAATAATGTATCTATTATATAATAATAATGTATCATCTATTATATGATATATAAATATAATGTATATAAAATATAAATAAAATATAATATATATAAAATATATATGATATATTATATATAAATATATGATATATTATATTATAAATATGATATATGATATTATATTATATACTATATATGATATATGATATTATATTATATACTATATATGATATATTATACATAAATATATGATATATAATATATGATATATTTATACGGTATAGTATATATCATATATACTATATATATGATATACTATATATAGTATATATCATATTATATACATACTATATATGATATATACTATATATCGTATATATACTATTATATATTATATATCATATCATATATGATATATAATATATGATGTATTATAAATCATATATCATATATCATACATTGTATATCATCCATTAAATGTGATATATATAACCAACCTGACTTTTATTACTTCCTTGCATTTTTAAGAATTATTTTATCACCAATTATTTTATTCCTAAACACCATTGTTTACCTATGTCTGAACGTTATATAAATAGAATCACATCTCTAGTATTTTTTTCTATGTTTTTCCTTAATAATATTCTATAAATTTCATTCTTGTTTTTGTAGATAGTTCATCCCTTTCTGTTTTTATATAGTATGTCATAACATAAACATACTGTAACATATTTATCCTTTGAATGCATTTTCCATTGCTGTGTAAAAAATTACCCTGAAATGTAGTTGCTTAAAACATTTGTTGGCGGTTGGGCGTGGTGGCTCACGATTGTAATACCAGCACTTTGGGAGGCCAAGGCAGGCGGATCACAAGGTTAAGAGATCGAGACCATCCTGGCCAACGTGGTGAAACCCCGTGTCTACCAAAAATACAAAAATTAGCTGGGTGTGATGACGCGCTCCTGTAGTCCCAGCTACTTGGGAGGCTGAGGAAGGAGAATCGCTTGAACCCGGGAGGTGGAGGTTGCAGTGAGCCGAGGTCGCACCACTGCACTCCAGCCTGATGACAGAGCATGACTCTGTCTCAAAAAAAAAGAAAAAAGAAAGAAAAAAAAATTGGCTTCTAATTTCTGTGGGTGAGGATTCTGGGAGTGGCTTAGCTGGGTTCTCTGGCTCAGGGTCGCTCACAAAGCTACAATCAAGGTGGCAGCAGGAGCTTCAGTCATCTCGAGGCTAGACTGGTGAAAGACTGGCTTTCATGATCACTGACATGGTTGTTAACAGCATGTTAGAGTGAGGATGTAAGTACTCACCAACTATTGTCTGGAGGCCACTCTCAGTTCCTTGCCATTTGAAGTCTCCACAGCACTGCTCACAACATAGCAACTTGTTTCATCAGAGCAAGCAATTCAGAAGAGCCAGAGTGAGTACGAGCAAGAGAAAAGTCAGAATCTTTTATAACCTAATTTTGGAAGTGACATCCTATCACTTTTGCTTATGCTGTTCATTGAAAATGTTTCAGTAGGCCTAGCCCACCATTCAAGGGGATGGAATTACACAAGAGCATGATTAACAGGAGCTGGGTATCGTGGGGGGCTCTCTTAGAAGCTGCCTACCACACATTTTAGGTTAATGAAGATTTGTGTTTTTGTTTACTTCTAGGGCGCTTCTTGTACATTTCTTCTGATGCATATGTGCTTACATTGCTGAGTCATAAATTATGGATATGTCATGGGTCTGGCTTTGTTCAATATGATGTTGGTGAGATAGATCCATGTACTCATAGCTCATTTTCACTGTGCTGTACTGTTCCATGGTTTGGACCCCTACAATTTATTTATCCGTCCTACTGTCAATTGACCTTTTTTTCAAGTTTTGCCTATTATAAACTACATTTTTGGAGATTTTTCCACATATCTCAGTGCACATTTGCACTGGATATACATACAGAAATGAAATGTTGAGTCCTATGATATGCATAATTTATTAGATAATTTTATTAGATACCCCCCAAATTTTCAGATAGTATCGTGCACCTGCAGCACACATTAAGTTCCTGTTGCTTCAACTTCTTTCCAAAATTTAATATGGTCAGGCTTTTAAATTTCACTATTTTCCTGGGTGTTAATGGGTCAAAATTGCTTATTTATTCTGTAAATACCTGATTAGTAATGCTGTTAAGTCCTTTTTATATTATTATTACTATTCAATATTTCATTTTGTGAAATGCCTCTTCAAATCACTTGATTTTTGTTTTTCTGTTCCTTTCTTACTGCTGTGTAGTAGTTCTTTCTATATTTTGACAAGCTCTTTGTTGATTCCATGTGTTATAAACACAATTCCCCTACACTGTAACTTGCCATTTGAACCTCTGAATCTCTTAATAACTTGAGGAACAAAAGATTTTTGTTTTAATGAATCCAAATTTATTTATATGTGTGTATCTGTGTCATATATTATATATGTACATATGTGTTAGTGTTTTGTGGGTTTTTTACAAATCTTCTGCTCCCTAGAAGTCATAAAGATATCTCCCTTTATTAACATTTAGAAGCTATCTTGTTCTACCTTTTACATTTAGATCTAAAATGCACCTAGAACTGATATTTATGTATAGTGGGAGGGAAAATCCCCTGGAATATCTATCTATCTATCTTTCTCTCTCTCTTTCTCTCAATTCATTTATCTAGAGATAAGTATATTCATTTTGGTATTAAAATGACCAAGCACTTGGTGGGGCGCAGTGGCTCATGCCTGTAATCCCAGCACTTTGGGAGGATGAGGCAAGTGGATCACTTGAGGTCAGGAGTTCGAGACCAGCCTGCCTAACATGGTGAAAGCCTATCTCTACTAAAAATACAAAAAATTAGCTGGGCGTGGTGGCACACACCTGTAGTCCCAGCTACTCAGGAGGCTGAGGCTCGAGAACTGCTTGAACCCCAGGGGGCAGAGGTTGCAGTGAGCTGAGGTTGTGCCACTCTGCTCCAGCCTGGGCGACAGAGCGAAACTCTGTCTCAAAAAAAAAGAAAAAGAAAAAGGCCAATCACCACTTGTTGAAAAAAACCATCTTTTCCCTCTTTGCTCTGCACTTACTTTTTCTATCACCAGATGCCCATATATGTGGTCCTTTTCATTTCTCCACTCTCTTCCTCCTGTCTATTTATCTAACTTTATAATCTCCCACACTCTTATTTACTATAGCTTTATAAGTCTTGAAATGTGGTAACAGAAAACTTGACCTATTCTTCCCCTTCAAGATTTGCTTGTTCTGTATTGCCTCTCTGTACTTACATATACATTTTGGAATTATTTTGTAAATTTCTGCCAAAAAAAAGTAAGCTGCTGTGATTTTGGATAATATTTCCTGGATCTGTAGATCAGTTTGATTATAATAGGTATCTTTAAAATTATGAGATCTGGCCACACACGGTGGCTCACATCTGTAATCTCAGCACTTTGGGAGGAAGAGGTGGACGGATCACTTGAGGTCAGGAGTTCGAGACCAGCCTGGCCAACATGGTGAAACTCCATCTCTAATAAAAATATGAAAATCAGCTGGGCATGGTGGCACATGCCTATAATCCCAGCTACTTGGGAGGCTGAGGCACGAGAATCACTTGAATTTGGGAGGCGGAGTTTGCAGTGAGCTGAGACCGCACCACTGCACTCCAGCCTGGGTGACAGAGTGAGATTCTAGCTCAAAAATAGTAATAATATCAAAATAATAAAATAATGAAATCTTACAATGTATATATTACCTTTCAATTATTTAGATTTTCTCTAGTTTATCTCAATAGCATCATACTATTTTTCTACATAGAAATATGGCCAACATTTCACTAGGTATATTTCAGATATCTTTTGGTTTTTGCGCTACTACGTGTGATATTATTTTTTAATTTTTATTTTATTAATACATTACAATTCAACTCATTTCTTATATCTGTTATAGAAAGCCTGATATTGGTCCATTGTGTGGATGCTGATATAAGGAGAAGCAGGCCTGCAGTTAGAAACATCGTATTAGGAAGAGTTAGCCTCACATCAGGTGATGCAGGATACACATATGTGTACAAGACCATAGACCACTAGGAAAACTCAGTCTAAGTTATGACTGAGGCTTCCCTGCTCAACCAGCATGCCTCTTTCATGAAGGATCTAAGCAGTGGTCCTCAACCCACGGTGATTTTGCCCCATTAGGAGACATTTGACAATGTGTAGAGACATTCTTGTTGTCACAACTGGAGAGGAGATGCTACTGGTATCCAGTGGATAAAGGCCAGGGATGCTTCCAAACATCCTCCAATGCAAAGGACAGCTCCCCACAACAAATAATTTTCCAGCCCAAAATGCCAATAGCTTCAAATTTGAGAAACTCTGATACACTACGATATATATTAATATATAAACATATATAGAGAGAAAATATATCAAATGACAATTTTACTCTCTTTTGGATCAATACCCAACTCCTTTGCTGACATTCAAGACCCTCCATGCCCTCTACTTACCTTACTGCTCCTTAGAGTGAAGTTACAGTCTTGCTCACCCATGTCATATGAATTTCTATCTCCAATACATTTCTTAGGATCTTTATGTAACCTACCATGCACCTTTAGCTTTGACTAATGTATACTTCTTCAAAGACTATTTCCAGGTCTACCCTTCTACATAGACTATAGAGAAAAGTGATTATTTGCTTCTCTCAACTCTGATATGTGATGCTTCCTCATATACCCAGCTAATAGGACATTTGCCCAGGTTTACCTTCTTTTGGATGATAGTTCTCAAACTACCCCACTCAGTTGGATAGAGTTGATCTGCTTCTGTCAAATATATACAGAAATATGTAGATCTCTTTTTCTAGCACATGATATCACTGAATAATAATTTGTTCCCAATGTGGTATCTTCTGATAAAATGAGAACTCTAGAAGTTTTTCTTCAAACAGAAAATATGCTGTATGGATTGCATGTTTGTGTCCCCCCCTAAATTCGCACATTGAAATCCTAACCTCCAATATCATGGTATTAGGAGGTGGGGCCTTTGGGAGGTAATTAGACCATGAGGGTGGAGTCCTCTTGAATGGGATTAGCACCTTTGTAAAAGAGACTCCACAGGGCTCTCTAGCCTTCTTTCTGCCAGGTGAGAATACAATGAGAAGCCTGCAACCTGGAAGAGGGCCCTCACCAGAACCTGACCACACTGGCACCCTGATCTCAAACTTTGGCCTCCAGAACAGAGATAAATAAATTCCTATGGTTTATAAACCACGCAGTCTATGGCTCTTGGTTATAGCAGCCTACACTGACTATAACATATACCAATCAAAACTAATTGTAGGCTGGGTGTGGTGGCTCATGTCTGTAATCCCAGCACTTTGGGAGGCCAAGGCAGGTGGATCACTCGAGATCACAAGCTGGAGTTTGAGACTAGCCTGGCCAACATGGTGAAACTGCGTCTCGACTAAAAATACAAAAATTAGCCAGGCATGGTAGCAGGTGCCTGTAATCCCAGCTACTCAGGAGGCTGAGGCAGGAGAATTGCTTGAACCTGGGAGGTGGAGGTTGCAGTGAGCCAAGATGGCTCCACTTAATTGTATACTTATACACTGTGGTGTTCTCTTCCTCTTCTACACATTCTCCACTAAACAGCTTTAATGCAACCCATCCTGGGGCCATAGGAACAAACTCATGCTATTAGACACAACTTGAATCACGTATAATAATACTAACAGAATATTTAAAAACACTAACAGAGACCTAGAGTGACACAGAGACAGATTAGCACCTAGAGACACACCATCTGAGAAACAGACATGCCATAAAAGACACAATCACACCCCCACACATTACGAGGGCCAACATGTACCAGACACTGTGCTAAGCCCTTCCTAGTCAAATTTACATAACATTCCCATAAAAAATTATGAGACAGGTACAAATAATTTCCACTTAAAAGTGAATAAATCCAAGGCACAAAAACATAATTTTCCCAAGGTCATCAGATGATAAATTGGGGTCGGGGTAGGAATTTTACCTGTCTGGTCTTTGACCTTAATTACTACTCTGAAGTGTCCCCTTCCCCAAGTTATAATGAGGCTGGTTTCTTCTCTTTCTTCAGATCTCAGGTCTAAGAGGCCTTTCAAGATTCCACATTTAAAGAGCCAACATTGCCTTGCTTCATTGTTGTTAAGAACTCACGACTATTTGAAAGTATTTATTATCCTCTACTTTTGTATAGCTGGTTGCCCTTCCAAGAGTTAGGCAAGAGAGACTTCCTTCATCTAGGATTGCCAGATATAGCATATAAAAATATAAAATGCCCACTTAAATTTGAACTTCAGATTTTTAACATATCTCATGCATTATTTGAAAGTTACTTATATTAAATGCTTATATTTATTATTTATTTGAAATTCAAATTTAACGGGGCATCCTATATTTTATGTGGCAACCCTCTCCATCACAGTCAACTCATCTATGGAGTCTTTCATATAGTTGTTTTTTTTGTTTGGTTGGTTGGGTTTTTCTTTTTCTTTTTTTTTTTTTTGAGATGGAGTCTTGCCCTGTCTCCCAGGCTGGAGTGCAATGGCGCAATCTCGGCTCACTGCAACCTCCACCTCCCAGGTTCAAGCGATTCTCCTGCCTCAGCCTCCCCAGTAGCTGGGATTACAGGCGTGTGCCACCAGGCATGCTAATTTTTTTTTTTTTTTTTGTATCTTTAGTAGAGACGGGGTTTCACCATGTCGGCCAGGCTGGTCTCAAACTCCTGACCTCGTGATCCACCCACCTTGGCCTCCCAAAGTGCTGAGATTACAGGCATGAGCCACTGCACCCAGCCTCATATAGTTCTTTTTAAATGTATACCTTCAGTGTAGAAATACAATAAGTATTTCTATGGCTATGGTTCAGGAAATCCATGTAACTGCTTGAATTGGGTGCAGGAACTGGCATTTTTACAGATTTGCAGGGAGAATGTTCATAGATATTTCTAGATAAACAAATGGATCAATGTTTTTTACCTTTGCTCTCTCACCAAGTGAGCACTAGCTCCTTTTTATGTAGGATTTTTCCTTAGAACTTTCTCAGACTTGGTGATTCCCCAGCTCTTCTTACATAAACCTCCTCCTTAACTCCCTTTGCCTTATAGAAAGACATAGAGAGACAATGTGTTTGTGAAAGCAGTCTGAAGATGTGGATCCTCATGGTGGACTCACCGCCCACTGTGTCTTGTTTCTCCTTTCATTCCAGGCTTCTAGTTCCTAATTTTTCTCATAAGCAAAATATTATAAACCGTTCAGATTCTTGAAGCAATAGCAAAATAATTCATACAAAATTATTTGTAGGTTCTCAAAAGCAAGAGAAGTGCCTCTCACATTCAGATGATATGTCCCTCTCACATTCAGAAACAGACACACAAGAAGGCATCAAGCACAGAACAGGAATTGAAGTTATTGCCAGGACTAGTGTCTTTTGGAACTCAATTGCCTTAATACAGGTCCAGGAAAATGTATACCCACAAAATAAGCATATCCCTACAACCAGCAGACTAGGTGGAAATGGTAAGAGGAAATGTTTTGGGAACTCACTTCTACAACTCCCCTGATGTGGTTCTTAAGTGTGGTGGCATATCCAGAATGGATGATATGACCAGGCATCTGCTTCACCAATACTGGGGCCTATTGCTGAGTTGGGAACAGAGTTAGGGAAATTACATATTCTCCTGGGATACAAATACTAGATAAGTAATTAGATTATTTGATATAATTTTCCTTTGTGTTGTGGAGAACGAAATGAGGCCATAAGTACATAAACAAGGGAGGTCCTTAACCTGGGAGGTCAGGAGAAATATCCCAGGGTAGGTGGCATCAAAGCCATAAACTGAAGGAATGAGAAGATGTGGAGGCATAAATATTCAATACTTTTTGACCAACATCTGTCTGATAGGATCAAGTCCCTACTCTGGAGAAGTCTCCATCTTATTGGGAGTTACTTTTTCAACTTTACATAGTAGAAATATTTTCTAGTTTGTCATTTGTTTTCTATCCTTATTTGCTGATATCTGTTAAAACATTTTAAATGCATACATACTAAACTTTCCTTTTTGTGTTTTTATTATGTTCAGAATGAAATGCAAAACACAAATCAAAAGAAGTAGTTTTCTGTATTTTTCAACCTGAAGAAATTATATTACCATTGCATGCATCAAGTCTTTCCTTTTCAACATTAAATGCATTGTTACTGTTTGCACACTTCCTATACAAAATAGGTGCTAAGAAAAATTTGGGGTGATAGAACATATATAACCTGCAAAAGTACCACTCACAAATCCTATAGTCCTATATAGGCTGTTTATTTTTATTGACTTTTTAATGGAAATCCAGTCAAAGGAGAAAGCAGTTGAGATGGGTGTGGCAGAATGTGAGTGAAAGATGTGATCTCACCAGTCCCAACAAAAGGAGAACATCAGACCAGAGCCCTTCAGGTGCACTTGGGAGGCTTCAAAGTTGGATGCCTGAGGAGAGCTCCTCAGTGTAAAAGAAGATGAGTTTTAATTCTTGCATTATTTCTATGTTTTATTAGAAGTCACTTCAATGAGGGATATGTGTTTATTATGGGGAACTTTTTTTTTCTTTTAAAGACTAAGTAGACAGACTAGGAAGTATAGGAATTGTCTCACATCATTTTTTTAAATGAAATTCCTCTGCCCCCTAAACCTTGAACATTCTTTGGATAAAACATTACTAAGGATTCTGGGGAGTTGTCCTTAAAAATATAAATGCTTGTATCACATCATGGAACTATTTAATGTTATGTCAATATTATTTGTTGGACCTAGACTAAAATGGAAAGTCATAGAAACATGGACCATAGTTTATAGAGCTTAAAAATCTTATAAGGCACTCAGGTGTTAGGCAAAAATGACACTAAAGAATAGTATAATTATAAGTAGATGTGGTTAATTAAATAAAAACAAGACTGGCCCCTTTCTAAAGCAGTTATTTATAGGTATGAATCATATTTCACTTGTAATCTCTTGCTAGCATTTAAAAAAAATTTCCCCCAGAGGAGGATGCACCATTTTGGAAGTACTGCAATACCAAGATGATGTGTGGAGTGGACAGAGGAAGTTGCTATTCTATCTCCTACTTCCAAAAGTCCATTTAATATATTGTTCCTTGGATACAGGATATATCAGATATTAAATTGATAAGAACAAACATTACACTTGATGTTAGCCAAAAGGCCGAGAAGCAATTTCTGTTATATTTAACTCCTAATTTTGGCCTAAGTACTGTCAAAGTCAAAATAAAATATAGAGATGAATCTCTAAACATTTTATTTGGGAATCACAAAATTGCAATTCGAGACATATGCACAGACTGGGTTGGTCCTCTGTATGTCTGAAGAACAGAGAAAGTTGGAGATTTTACTAGAAAGAGAAACGTTATATATTGTTTTGAAAGAAAGCTAATTGGCACTAGAGAAGCTCTTGGGAGCTGGCAAGCTCTGACCTGCAAGTGACAGTAGTAAGTAAAATGTCTTAGAGTCACCAAAAGTCATTTCAGCAGCTACTAGGTAAAACTAGTCTTAGGAATAAAGCAAGCCATTTCAGCAGCTGAGCTTATGGAAAAGGTAAGAACCACATGAATGATGGTAGAGATCCCTTTACTGAATTCCATTAGCGGGGACAAAAGAGGTCTTTACCAGGAAAAACTGTCTGGAATGGTAGAGCAGAAAAATTACCATTAAGAAGAAGAAAATTTATGCTTTTATGCTGACCCACAGCATCATATTTCCACCTCTGGCTGCATGTTGGTTCTTTTAAATAGGTAGTGGAGGTCTTCTACCAGTTCACAAGTGTAGGTATGCTGGTCAAGTGTGCTCAGCTAATAACTCCATGAAGTTTAACATTCCAAAGGATTCGTTAACAGCACCTAATAAGAACCTTTTTAAAACAGCTAGAAGTGGTGATACTAGGAGCTGCAAGATTTTACAACCTTGTGATTTTTATAGTTTTAATAAACCCCAGCAATAAGCCAGTGTCTTAAACTAGGATTTGATTCTGTTCACATTTGTCAGAAAGAGTTAAGAGACCCAAAATATTTTGTTGATACAGAACTACAGGTCATTGTAACCGATAGTTACTTATTTAACCAAAATGATCATCAAAAGACTTTAAAGGCAATACAGAAAGTTACACAGATGTAAAAACCTTAATCCTTGTAAATTTCAGTTTTTGTTAAGCAGTCACAAACCTAATAAAGAAAACACAGGAACTATCTTGATAATATTTAAAACCAGGCTTCTCAGCTGGGCATGGTGTCTCACGCCTGTAATCCCAGCATTTTGAGATGCCGAGGTGGGCGGATCACGAGGTCAGGAGATTGAGTCCATCCTGGCTAACATGGTGAAACCCCATCTCTACTAAAAATACAAAAAAGTAGCTGGGCATGGTGGCAGGTGCCTGTAGTCCCAGCTACTCGGGAGGCTGAGGCAGGAGAATGGCGTGAACCCAGGAGGCAGAGCTTGCAGTGAGCAGAGATTGTGCCACTGCACTCCAGCCTGGGCGACAGAGCAAGACTCTGACTCAAAAAAAAAAAAAAAAAAAAAAAAAACCAGGCTTCTCAAAGGGACAAAAAGCTAAAAGCACTTCTGAGATATGAATCTGAGTTTTCAAAAAAAAAAAAAAAAGCTATAGAATTGAAAAGCAAAATTTTTATTAATTTCATTAAGAACAAATCAATACCTTAAGAAAACCTTGTTTTTTTTGTTTGTTTTTTGGTTTTTGGTTTTTAGTTTTTTTGAGATGGAGTCTCGCTCTGTCACTCAGGCTGGAGTGCAGTGACGCAATCTCAGCTCACTGCGGCCTCTGCCTCCTGGGTTCAAGTGATTCTCCTGCCTCAGCCTCCTGAGCAGCTGGGACTAGAGGCGCGCACCACCATGCCCTGCTAATTTTTGTATTTTTAGTAGAGATGGGGTTTCACCATATTGGCCAGGCTGGTCTCAAACTCCTGACCTCGTGATCCACCTGCCTTGGCCTCCCAAAGTGCTGGGATTACAGGTGCAACCCACCGTGCCTGGCCATAAAACCTTGTTTTAAAAGAGGGGACCATTCTTTAGAAAGACTATTATAAACAGTTCCCTTTTAATTATTCCTAAGAATCATATACAAAATTCCTTTTATATATTCCCCTTCACAAACCTTGTCACAACTTACAAAGACCATCTGTGATATGCTTGGACTTTCTGACTTGTCCTATACTACCTCTTCCTTAAATACCTAGTAATTTGACTCTAGAACAAGAGTTTACCATATAAGATTTTCTTTTCATACTGCAATAGTCCTCTCATATTGATTTTTTAAAATTGAAGATCCTTTTTCATATACAGTTATGCTCTTTTCTTTATAACCTTCCTTTATACAATCATTCTTTATGACCTTCCTTACCAAAAATACATCTCCACATCCATAACTTTCTTCACATCTCTCTCCTACTTATAGATTCCTTATTTCATAGCCTTTTCTAATCCATAATTTGAATCAACCTTTATATAGTTTCTGAATTTGACAAAATTATTATCTCAATAAGAACACATTTTAACTAAATATTTTTATTTGCCACTTCAAAAGTTACCTAAGCCTCTTCCATGGAGATGGTAAGGTGTCCAGTGGGAGCTGTGGGGGACCTTGGGCCCGGTCAGTCTTGTTTTCTTGGCCATTATGGGTTTGGGTAGCCTAGGCTCCCTTTGAAGCTTGGAACAGTCCCTTTTTCAATGGCCCTCTTGCTTACAGAAGGCACAGTGATATTGGCCCTGGGGCCAGCAAGTTCGGGGCTCTCATCTGGGCATCTGAGATGCTGATCTCAAATCTCCTCAGGCTGGCTAACCCTGAGGTGGGAGAGGGTGCTTAAAGTAGTCACTAACAATTGCATTTTGGATATTATTTCTTTTGGTTATCTCTGCCTGTTTTGACCTGTGCCTATTGTTGTAAACTGGAAAGGCCATATTTAAAAATTGGCTTATAGGAGTTTGCGTTTCCCCTTTCTGCCTGTTATAGCTTCCTCCTAACATCAAGGACAGACTGAGTGATAAAAGAGTTTGCCTTTCTGGGGAGTCTGTCCTGCAATATTTCCTGAGTGCCTCAACCAAACAGCCCTGACTAGAATAGGATTTTTATCCTCCCCTACAGTTACTTCTCTAACCTTGTCATAATTAACTGGATTAAGCACACTTTCATATCTTCTATTAAACAAGTTACCTATGATTTCTACATTTGAGATCTCAGGAACCCCTCTGGTAATCCCATGGGGGTCCAAATCTGGAAGTACACTCCCACATACAATAAATGGCATGATCCTGGTTACAAGCAGCCATTCCATCAGCATATGCCCAGGCAGTATTCAAAAATCCCTTGTTTCTCCTCTACAGCACAGCAGGTGGACACTATTTGCAAGTCATGCCAAGTTACATCAAACTATAAACTTCCCTGGATCCTCTGATACCAGCCAATGTTTCCCTTGCATGAAGCTAAATCAGACATGGAAAAAGGCACAAGTACTGTTCCCGCCATTAGCAACGTCTCAACCTCTCACAATAGATGTAAGTTTGATTTTAAGGGCTGATAGGACTTTATCACTCCTGATTAGACTGGTTGGACTTATTTCCTCAGGCAGTATGGCATATAGGCTGGAGCTAGTTGGTTAAAGCAGAGGGGTGCCTGATGAACTTGGGATGGAATCCTGTAGTGGAGAACTGGCAGGACCCCCTTCCTCATATTAAGGCACCAAGGAGGCTCCAGGGAGAGTGAACCATTTTTAGGCCAAATTTCTTGGGAAATTAATTTGTACTAAACACTGTTATAATAGAAGATGAGTTTTTAAGACATCAAATTTGAATTTGCTTTAGTTGCCTAAAAGGCACCCTAGCAGGAAGTGTTTCAGGACGCTCACTGTTGTTATGTCTACCAGAGATACCTACTAAACCCAGAAATTCTTCCAAGTCCAGAGAGTCCAGTTACTTTTCCTTTCAAATTTCCACCTCCCTTTTCTTCAAGAGCAGTAGGGAAATTACCACTGACTCCTGCCAAAAGAACATGGGTATCAAGAAGTAGGTGCCACAAAAGTGAAAGATGAGTGGGCAGTGGGCTGGCAACTACCATCACTAGCTAATGGAATGTTACAAAGAAGGCACTTTAAGTATGGAAGTAAAAAAACGCTGACCAAATTAAGAACCCTTAGTGGAAATTTAAACCCCAATCTTAGAAAGGTGACCAAAAAACAAAGCCCCTAGGGCAGGACTCTCAATTCTAACGCCACGTAGAGTGGGACTGACAATAACCCAATAAATTCCCCCTAGAGTGGGACTCTAACCCAATCCTAGAAGGAACATGGCTCTGACATACAACCATGCATTTAGGAACTGAATGGTAATATCAAGTAGCCAGTCATTAGAGATTTAATAGACGATGGTCAAAAACGGGGCAATGGGGACATAATCTGAACATGGGACTAGCTGGAGGCCCCACTTTCATTTCCTGGTTTACCCAGAAAGGTCAATATGACAGGGAAATCACAGAAACCACATGGTGCCAATTGGCCATTAATTTGGGTCCAGGCAAAGGTTTCCAAAGCTTCAGTGTACAACCAGTTAGTCACCAAGAAAACATGGCTCTGAAAAGAGCCTTTGGCTAGTATATAGCATTACAGTATCACAACTCCAAACTTTATCTTGATGGTCAACCCGCTCATCTTGATGCTCCCTTCATGGTCTCTTCATTTTGATGGTTCCTTCCTTCAGGGTCACCAGGCTGACACAGGTGAACCCCAAAATTGGGACTTAACCCTGGAGGGCTTTTGGCTTCAGAGTTAATTTAAAAACACTTCCTAGACCAATAGTGTACAGCAAACTGCTCCATAAACAAAGGGCGACCTGTGTGCTAACCCACAGGCAGCACAGCCTGTAGTAGTAGTATACAGAAAAGTGGGTGCTCCACAGAGCACAAGCTAACCCACAGGCAGAGCAGCCAAGTAGCAGCATGCAGCAAAGTGGGCGCTCCACACAGCACAAGCTAACGCACAGGCAGAGCAGCCCAGAGTAGCAGCATGCAGCATAATAGGTGCTCCACAGAGCAAGGCTCACCCATAGAGCATCCCAGAGTAGCAGCATAGTACAGCAAAGCGGGTGCTCCACAAAGCAAGGCTAACCCATAGGCAGAGAAGCCTACAGCAACTGTGTACAGCAAGGTGGATGCTGCAGAAAGCACAACTAACCCACAGGCAGAACAGCCCAGAATAGCAGTGTACAGCAAAGTGGATGCTCCACCAGTAGAACAGACAGGAAGGGCAGGAGCAGTGTTCAGCAACAGGAGCAGTCCAGAGCAGGAGTCAGAGCAGGAGCCAGAACTGAAGAAAGAGCCACAGTAAAGCACACAGGCTAGCTATATTTATACCCACTATTAATTATATGCTAATTAAGTAGTGTGTTATTCAGAATTTTCTAGAAAAGGGGTGGGGGGAGCTCCCAGAACCCTATAGGGTAACTTCTGAGTCATGTCCATGGCATTTGTAAACTGTCATGGCGCCGATGGGAGTGTCTTTATTCTAATGAGCTGTGAGGGCAACTAGAGGTTGCTTTGTCACCATCTGCTGGTTTCAGCCAGCTGTTTTGTTTTGTTTTGTTTGAGACTGAGTCTGGCTCTATTGCCCAGGCTGGAGTGCAGTGGCTCGATCTTGACTCACTGCAACCTCCACCTCCCGGGTTCAAGCAATTCTCATGCCTCAGCCTCCCTAGTAGCTGGTATTACAGGTGCATGCCACCATGCCCAGCTAATTTTTGTATTTTTAGTAGAGATGGGGTTTCACCATATTGGCCAGGCTGGTCTCGAACTCCTGACCTTAGGTGATCTGCCCACATCAGCGTCCTGAAGTGTTGTGATTACAGGTGTGAGCCACTGCACCCAGCCAGGGTTTTTTGTTTTTGAGACAGGGTCTTGCTCTGTCGCCCCAGCTGGAGTGCAGTGGCACAATCGTAGCTCACTGCTGCCTTGATCTCCCAGGCTCAAGCAATCCTCCCACCTCAGCCCCACAAGCAGCTGAGACTACACATGTAGGCCACCATGTCTCGCTAATTTTTTTTTAACTTACATTTTTAGGGATGGAGTTCTCACTATGTTGCCCAGCTGATATCGAACTTCTAGGCTCAGGGGATCCTCCCACCTCAGCCTCTCAAAGCACTGGGATTATAGGTGTGAGCCACCACTCTGCTGAGGTTTTTTTGTTGTTTTTTTTTTACTGCATCCTGTTTTTGATCAGCATGGTCATTACCGGTGCTTGGAAAAGAAGTCCTGCTGATCTCCTACCTCACTTTGGAAAATTCTTTTCAAGATTAAGTATATGACTATTTATAAAGAACTTAGTACAGTGAGACCAATGATCAATTATTTAAAGTTGTTTTACTCTTGTTAGTGTCATTATTAAATTTTTTAATTCTTTTCATTATTCCGTATCCCATGTTGTTGTATTTTCACAGTGAATATGAGTCTGCATCCAGTTATGGCCAATGACTTCATATTCTTTTGTGATCTATGGAGTTTCAGATGTGAGTACATTCAGACAAGACAAGACCATCACAAACCACTGAGATATATTCATCTCTGCTGCTTGTGACCTGGGGTCCTCCTTCTTCCCCTCTGACTGCCACTATTGGGAGGCAGAAGTAGGAAGAACAACAGAATGGGCTGTGGGTGTAATTTTATCATTTTTTTTTAGAATTACTTTTTTTTTTTTTTACATTTTTGCTTTTAAAAATAGTTTTGCTAAAGTATAATTGGCATATGATAAACTGCACATAAAGTATACATGTTAATGAGTGTGACATAAGTATTCATATGAACCCGTTACCCTAATCAAGACACTGAACTTGCTGGGCACAGTGGTTCACGCCTGTAATCCCAGCACTTCAGGAGGCCGAGGCGGGCGAATCACCTGAGGTCAGGAGTTCGAGACCAGCCTGACTAACATGGTGAAACCCCATCTCTACTAAAAATACAAAAATTAGCCGGGCATGGTGGCATATGCCTGTAATCCCAACTACTCAGGAGGCTGAAGCAGGAGAATCACTTGAACCCGGGAGGCAGAGATGGCAGGGAGCCAAGATCACGCCATTGCACTCGAGCCTGGGCAACAGAGCAACACTCTGTCTCAAAAAAAAAAAAAAAAAAGTGAACTTATCACCTCTAAAATGTACTTGTCCCCCTTTGTAATACCTTTCTCCTATCTCACTTTGTCCCCCAACTCAAAGGAACCACTGATCTAACCTTTGTCACTGTAGATTAGTTTGTATTTTCTAGTTTTGTAAAAATAGAATCCAGTATGTACTGTATTTTGATCAGTTTCTTTTACTCAGCATAATTATTTACTCAGCAGTCCTTGCTGGTTTCATGATGTAAGTGGTCGTGTGGGGAAAGTCCACATGGCCAGGAGCTTCAAGCTCCTCTAGGAAGTGCGGGCAGCCTCTCAGAATTAAAGGCGTCTTCCAGCCAGCAACCAGCAAGAAGCGGGTGTCCTCATACCTAAAGCTGCAAGGAAATGAATTCCGCCAACAACCTGAGTGAGCTTGGACATGGATTCTTCCCCAGTCAAGTGTCTAGATGAGAATGCATCCTGGTGGGACACTTCAATTAGTCTTGTGAGACCCTAAGCAAAAGACCTAACTAAGTCATGCCCAGACTCCTGATCATTTATTATCCTGAGATAATAAACGTATGTTGTTTTGAGACCCTGAAGTTTGTGCTAATGTATTTTGCAGCAACAAAAAACTAACATATTTTAGGCTGGGCACAGTGGCTAACACTGTAATCCCAGTGCTTTGGGAGGCCTAGGTGGAAGGATCACTTGAGACCACTAGTTCAAGACCAGCCTGGGCAATAGTGAGAAACTGCACCACCCCCCCACAACCCCTCGTCTCCACAAAAAAATTTCTAAAAATTAGCTGGGTGTGGTGGCACACACTTATAGTCCCAGCTACTCAGGAGGCTGAGGCAGGAGGATGGTTTGAACCCAGAAGTTCAAGGCTACAGCGAGCTATGATTGCACCACTGTGCCCCAGCCTGGGTGACAAAGTGAGACTCCATCTCAAACAAAAAGAAAAAGAAGAGTAACATATTTTGAATCAACAGTTTGTTTCTTTTGTTGCTTAATAGTATTTCTTTGCAGGGATATACCACAATATTTTAGCCATTCATCTATTGATGAACATTTGGATTATTTCCAGATTTAACTAATACAAATAAAGCTGCTATGAGTATTTTTGTACAAATCTTTATATGGACACATATTTCCTTTTCTCTTGAGTAGATACCTAGAAGTGCCATGGCTGAATCATATGGTAGTATGATTAACAACATTAGTTATATGATTAACTTTTTAAGAACCTGTCAAAATGTTTTCCATAGTATTTACATGCATAGGACAAATTTATAAGAGTTCCAATTCCGCTATGTCCTTTCCAATACTTCACCCTCAGTCTTTTAAATTTTAGGCATTCTAATAGATGTGTAGTGGTATTTGATTGTGATTTTAGTTTGCATTTCCCAAATGACTGATATTCAAAGTATTTTCCTGTGCTTATTTGCTAACAATATGTTTTCTTTGAAGTGTCTGTTCATATCTTTTGCCCACTTATTTAATTGGGTTGTTTATCCTCTTAGTGTTGAGAGTACTATATTAAGTATTGTTCATTCTGGATACCAGTCCTTTATCAGGTAAGTGCATTTATAAGTATTTCCCCGAGTTTGTGGCCTGATTTTTCATTTTCTTAACACTGACTTTCAAAGAGCTATTTTTAATTTTGAAGAAATCCAATGCATGTTTGTTCTTTTATGAATTCTGCTGTCATATCTAAGAAATCTTTGCCTAATCCAGTGTCATAAAAATTTCTTACATTTTCTTGTAGAGGTCTTGTAGTTTTAGGTTTTATGTTTAAATGTATGAACTGTTTTAATTTTTGCAAGGTATAGACACAAGTTCATATATATATATAACATATTATATATATATATATTTTGCATGTGGATATTCAATTTTTCTAACACTACTTTTTGAAAAGACTATCCTTTCCACCAGGATGCCTTTGGGCCTCTTTCAAACATCAGTTGTTTATATACATGTTGGTTTGTTTCTGGATTCTCTATTGTGTTCCATTGACCTACTTGCCTATCTTACAACCATACCATGCTGTCTGGCTTTCTGAAGCTTTATAATAATTCTGTGAAATGAGGTAGTTGATAGCCATCCAGGTTTGTTCTTTTTCGGAGTTGTTTTGGCAACTGTAGATCCTTTTCATTTCCATATTAATTTTGGAATCAGATTGCCAATTTCTGCAAAGAAACCTCCTGGGTTTTGACTGGGTTAGTGTTGAATTTGTGTATTCGTTTGAGAATAATTGTTATCTTAACAATACTGAGTTTTCTGGCCTATAAGCAAGTTTTATCTCTCCAAGTATTAAAGTCTTCTTCAATTTCTCTCAGAAATATTTTGTAGTTTTCAGTGTATAGATATTTCACATCTTTTCTCAAACTTATCCCTAAGTATTTCATATTTTAGTTTTATTATAACTTTTTAAACATTTCTGATTGTTACTAGTATATACAAATGCAGTTTTTAATATTGATCTTGCATCCTACAGCCTTTCTGAACTCAACCATTAACTCTAGTAGCTTTTTGTACATTCTGATTTTCTACATGAGATGGCCATGTCATTTGAGAATAATAAGTGCTATCTTCACAATTTAGATGATTCTTCTTTCCTTCCATTGTTCCTTCTTTTCTTTCCTCTTTCTTTTTTCCCCTAATTTCACTAGCTAGAATTTCCAACATTGAATAGAAGTGGTGAAAGCAAACATGACTATCTTGTTTACGACCTTAGGGGGAAAACATTCAGTCTTTAAGTATAATCTTAGTTGTAGATTTTTTGTAAATACACTTTATCACATTAGGAAGTTCTCCTCTATTTCTAGTTTACTGAGAGTTTTCATCAGTAATGAATGTTGAATTATGTCAAATGCTTTTTCTGCCTTATAGTGTGACAGTCCTCCACCAGCTTGCTTAAGGGTGATATCTGCTACTTGAACCCTGAAGGCTGGGTGATAAGCCAAGACCATGGTACCCAGCTGAGGAGCAGGTATCCCTGAGAACCCAAACATCCCAGAGAGTATCTGATCAAGGAAAACAGTCTCCTTGCCTAAACACAGTAGGCAAAGACCAGAACATTAGCTTAAAAGCAGCTTAGAGATGGTGGCAACACAGCTCTCTAGAGCTGTCTTGCTGCCGTCCAGGAATGCCCTGTATATAAGTCCTAATAAACTCATCTACTTATCAAGCTGAACTTGTCCAAGTCATACTTTGGTCTCTCGGTTCCTTCTGAGTTTGGGAGAAATGTTACAGTCCCACGTTTTTCTTGTAACATTCCTCTGTTGAGATTTCTTAGTTTGTTAATATGGTATATTATGTTGATTGATTTTTCTAATGTTTAACCAACTCTACATTTTTTGGAAAAGCCAGGAATACTTGATCATGATGTATTATTCTTTTTACATATTACTGAATTTGAATTTTCTAAAATTTTGTTTAGAACCTTTGTATCTCTGTTCATGAAGGATATTGGTCAATAAGTTTCTTTGTTTATATTTGTCCAGTTCTAGTATCAAGATGATGTTGCCCTATGGAACGAATTAAGTTAACCAATATTTTAAGAAGCCAGATAGTAAATATTTTAGGCTGTGCAGACAATAAGGTCTCTGTCACAACAACTCAACTTTGCTGTTCTGGTGGGAAAGTAGACATAGATAATACACAAATAAGTGAATGTGGTTGTGTTCCAATAACACTTTTTTTGAAAATCAGGTGGTGGGTCATATTTGGTCTGTGGGCCATAGTTTGTTGACCTCTGAGTTAGGAAGTATTTCTTCCTGATTCTAACACTTCTATGAAAATGAAAAGCCAATTATAAAGAAGAACACAGTTGGAGAACTTACACTATAAGTTGCCAACCCCTATCTTAAACTATGGTAATGAGAATGATTGCTATTGAGCCAGAAACATGTGTGTAGTCACCTGATTCATGAGAAAGGTAACACTGCAGTGCAAGGGTTGTCTTTTCAACAAATTACGTTAGTTAGGTCAATGATATGTCCATATGGAAAAGTCCATATGGAAAAAATTGTTACAAATCGATAAGTACAAATAATTTAAAAATGGGCAAAGACATGAACATTCTCTTCCACTAAATGACATTCAATGTATATGAAGCATATGAATAGGTACACAATATTATGACTCATCAGGAAACTGAAAATGAAAGCAACAGTGAGATATCACTAACACATCCTATTCAGAAAGGCAAAACTTAAAGCCTAACAAGATAAAGGCAAAAATTTGAAGCAATTAAAATCATCTTATATTATAGGAGTTTGAATTGGTTTATACATTTTAGAAAAATATTTGTCAGTGTTTACTAAACCTAAATATATGGTTACCTTAAAAACTGTTAATTCCATTCCTATTATATGCTCAAAAGAAATGAGCACAGGCTGGGCGCAGTAGCTTATGCCTGTAATCCCAGCACTTTGGGAGGCCGAGGCGGGTGGATCACAAGGTCAGGAGATCAAGACAATCCTGGCTAACATAGTGAAACCCTATCTCTACTAAAAATACAAAAAATTAACCGGGCATGGTGGCACCCACCTGCAGTCCCAGCTACTCGGGAGGCTGAGGCAGGAGAATCACTTGAACCTGTGAGGCGGAGGTTGCAGTAAGCCGAGATTGTGCCACTGCACTCCAGCCTGGATGACAAACTGAGAATCCGTCTCAACAAAAGAAATGGGCACATATGTACACCAAAAAACATACACAAAAATATTCATAAAACTTATATTCATAATAGGGAAAAAGATAAGCTAAAAGCAACTGAAAAGTAACCAAGGCCATTACATTTTAAATTATTAACATTTCCTGAAATTGTCTTCTAAAACAATGTCTTCTTTTAATTCTTAAAAGTACAGATGAACACTTTAGTCCTAATGACATCATCATTTACAGAACATGGTGAGTTAACCAAATATTTTACCATGTATGTATAAATCTCAATAAAACAAAGAAGTTTTAGAATTCAAATCTATAAACTTTAAAGTATTGACTTTGTAACATGATTAATTTAAAAGTAAATTAAAATAAATGAGTTTGTGCCTGGCATCGTGGCTCACGTCTATATTCCCAGCATTTGGGAGGCTGAGATGGGCAGATCACCTGAGTTTGAGTTCGAAACCAGCCTCAACAACATGGAAAAACCCTGTCTTTACCAAAAAAAAAAAAAAAAAGAAAAAAAAATTGGCCAGGTATAGTCCCAGGTACTTGGGAGGCTGAGGTGGGAGGATCACTTGAGCCTGGGAGGCAGAGATTTCAGTGAGCCAAGAATGCATCATTGCACTCCAGCCTGAGCAACAGAGCCAGACCCTGCCTCAAAAAGAAAATATATATGTATATTAGTTTGATAAACTCCAATATAACTTTTTTACATAAAATTGATTTTTTAAGTTTATAAATATAAATATTTAAATATGATATTTAAATCCAATTTTGCTGGAAAGCCTAAACACAATGTGGAAGCTATTGACTTGTCCCATTATCAATCTTACATACTATTATAAAATAAATGATATACCATTATAGCTTCTCCCAACTATCCAAATGCTTATGGGTTAGGTGTGAAACCTACAAGATGAAGCAAATGAGGCTTTATCTAGGGGTGACAGTTTTATGGAAAGAAATGAGTATCAGGGAAGGCTACACAATGCAAAAACAAAATTCTGTGAGGACTTGAACCCAAGGCATTTTGCTTACCAGACAAGTAAGTTGAATGACAAAGCAACAATTCCCTGTCATAAAAGTTAATTTATTTGCTATTACAGTATAGACATTTTAAAACACACCAGAAGAATTTTAGAGTTTGAAAATGACAAGTTGCATTTTGTTTTGAGCAGGAAACATATCAAGACAAACTTCCTTCATACTAGACAGTATTGTAATCCCAGCGACTCAGGAGGCCCAAGCAGGAGGACCACTTCAGGCCAGGAATTTGAGATTAGCCTAGGAAACATAGCGAGACCTCGTCTCTAAGAAAATAAATTAGTCATTGTAGTAGCACACACCTGTAGTTCTAGCTACTTGGAAGGCTGAGGTAGGAGGATGACTTGAGCCCAGGAGTTTGAGGCTGCAGTGAACCATGATCACGCCACTGCACTCCAGCCTGGGTGATAGATCGAGACCCCATTTCTGGGAGGGTGGGAAAACCAGACATTGACAAGGCCTGAGCAGAGGAGGCTGCCAACTGTAGAAATTGCAAGTTATAAAGAAATTCTCTGTTTTCTACCTTGACAGCTATAAAAAGTCGCTCTAAAGAAAAAGAACCAGCTCTGGCCAGGCGCAGTGGCTCACACCTGTAATTCCAGCACTTTGGGACACCAAGGCAGGTGGATCACTTGAGGTCAGGAGTTTGAGACCAAGCCTGGCCAACATGGTGAAACCCTGTCTCTACTAAAAATACAAAAATTAGTGGAGTGTGGTGGTGCTCGCCTATAGTCCCAGCTCTCAGGAGGCTGAGGCAGAATTGCTTGAATCAGGGAGGCGGAGGTTGTGGTGAGTCAAGATTGCACCACTGCACTCCAGCCTGGGTGACAGAGTGAGAAAGAAAAGAAAAGAAGGAAAGAAAAGACAGGAAAACCAGTTATTTCCACTGTTTTCACAGAACAAATCAACAGACTGAAGTTTACTCGTGTCAACAGTGTGTGAGGTTACAATGTGATACTTACTATTCTTGAGATGGAAATGTTCAGAAAAGAAGCCACATAAAGCACATGGTGGAAGAGCAAAAATGCAAAACAGGCTTAAAGAACTGTGAGAGTTTAGAAAAAAGCAATAGATCAAAGGGATCAAGAATGGGCATTAGAAGATGAAACTGAAGACAGAATAGGGAGTAGGGGGTTCCAGGCATGGAAATAGGATATTCTGTATGAGGAAAAGAGAAGAACCTCTTTAGTTGGGCATGAAACATACATTCTAAGTAGAAATAATTTTTTTTTTCTTGAGATGACATCTAGCTCTGTCACCCAGGCTGGAGTGCAATGGCACAATCTTGGTTCACTGCAACCTCCGCCTCCCAGGTTCAAGCGATTCTCCTGCCTCAGCCTCCAAGTAGCTGGGATTACAGGTGCCCGCCACCACGCCCTGCTAATTTTTGTATTTTTAGTAGAGACGGGGTTTCACTGTGTTGGCCAGGCTGGTCTCTAACTCCTGACCTCGTGATCCGCCTGCCTTGGCCTCCCAAAGTGCTGGGATTACCGGCATGAGCCACCGTGCCTGGCCCGGTAGAAATAATTTTTAAAAACTTATCTGGAAAAATGTATATAGAAACAAGTAATGGTTTAAAACCCAGACTAAAAGGATACAAGCTCTTTTGAAAAACTTTGAGTAGAGAAGTTGCTTTCTCAGACTAAGCTTTGAAGTGTATTTCTTATCTGTCAGGAAGGTTGGAAGATGGCGAGCCTAGAAGTGGAGAAACCAGAAACTTTTCAAACAAGGAAGGGCCCCAGATGCTAGGCCATGTTCCTTCAGCCTCTGAAGTCAGCAGTGAATACATGTGACACAGGATTTCCTCCATAATGCTATGTGCCACGAATGCATGAAGGAATGAATGAAAAGAAAGCAAATGTGTGGGAATAATCTACAAGAGTTGGTAAGTCATTGGAGGTGGAGATGTATATCTAATGGGTGGGAATGCACAAATTTGTAAATATGTGTCAAGTGTACCATTGGGTACATGCGGACAAGGAATGTGGAGGGAACAGGAGCTGATACGTGAGAAGGAGCACATTTCAGAATCAAAACTATTCTGCTTTCTAGTACTGGCTTTGCCACTTATCAATCTTGTGACTTAAGGAAGTTTTCTACTCTGAGTCTCAGCTTCATCTCTAAAATGAGGATAATGATAACTGTTTGTGAAAAATATTAAGTTGGATAAAATAAAACAATGTAAATGACTCAATTTTTTTTTTCTGAGACAAAGTCTTCCTATGTCTCCCAGGCTGGAGTGCAGTGGTGTGATCTCGGCTCAGTGCAAGCTCCGCTTCCTGGGTTCACGTCATTCTTCTGCCTCAGCCTCCCAAGTAGCTGGGACTACAGGCTCCCGCCACCACGCCCGGCTAATTTTTTGTATTTTTAGTAGAGATGGGGTTTCACCGTGTTAGCCAGGATGGCCTCAATCTCCTGACCTCGTGATCCACCCACCTCGGCCTCCCAAAGTGCTGGGATTAGAGGCATTAGCCACCGTGCCTGGCCATGACTTACACTTTATTGTCCCCTAATACATAGCCCTGAATAGATGGCGGTGACTTTTTATAATAAGGTCCTTTTGGTGATATTTTCAAGAGGAGTGTCTCAGGCCATGTGGTTGCAAGTGCAGATTTAAAATAAGGAGAAATCTAGGCTAGAAACAAGTTTGCCAGCATTCATCCTTTCAGCTGTACTACGTCACCTACTCTGCACTAGGGCCAGAGAGGAAACAATGGCTGGTGAAAGAGCAACTGATATTTCTGAAGGCGGGAAGACATAAATAATTAGAACAAAAGAGAGGGTGAGCAAGGAATAGTGTTGACAGCGCAGCCCTCAAGTCTTGGGTCCTTCTAAGTGCAGGATGGAAAAGGAAGCATTGATGATACATAAATTCTTACAAGCCAATGTTTCTCTTCTAGGAGAAATGGAAACTCAGAAATCAGTGCTCTCAAAGAAGGGAAATTAGGTATGATTTCTTGGGAGCCACAACCCAACAAGGCTTTCCAAATAATACAGTCCTGAATTTGAGCCTCAGAGAAGGCAGGTATATTTTCAAGTCATGCACTGTATCAATTGCCTTTTTTTGGTACATAAAAGAAAATACTGTATATGCTAATAATCATTAACAAAAAAACATTCAGGTAAAAAGAAAAAATCTGAGTTTTAACAAAACTGAAAAACACTCAGAAGAGGACTATATGGAATGACAATTTGTTTTTCATCTTCTGGATCATCCCCTGAGGAAAGTAAAGAAATTTCCCTCAGGATATTCCAGTTGGCAACAGCAGAGCAGAGGAATATTACTTTATTCATTTATTCAGAGAAGTACTTTGCTGGGCACTGTTCTAGAAGCTGGGAAATACAAGTGATCAAAATATAACCTACCCCACAACTCCCAAATCCAGCTCGAAAAAACTTTTAGTGTGGAGGATGGGATAGTAAAGATAATAAGCCAATGAATAAGGAAAACATAGCATTTCAGATCTTTATATTATGATAAAAAAAAAAAAGTCCTAAATTGGAACAGGAAACACAGATGGGGTGGCTCAATTACAAGACAGCAGTTAAAGAAGGCCTCACTGACAAGATGAGTTCCCAGTGTCAGGACCCCAATATCCTTCCTTACAAAGAGTGGGGATCCCACCCTAGAAAAGGAATAGCAGTTCAGCCACCCCACAGCAGCTCTGGCATGGCTGTTTCTGGATACCTTCATGGAGAAATGCACACACTGCCCTTCATTTCAAAGATGAGCATCAGTCTCGTCTTCAGAGAAGATGCAGCCATTGTGGGGTTAGGGTTTCTCTCCTCAGGTCACTAGTGTAGATGCGCCTGCTGAGAAGTTTCAGCCACTCCACCTGCAATAAGAAAGACAGTTAATGAGAAAAGCAAGAGACAGAACCTGTGAAGAACATGTGACCATCAGTCATTTGAATGAAAGGGGGCAAATGTGAATGAAAGGGGACACATTTGTTTATTTGTGTTTGTATAAAGATATTCCAGACAGGTACACAGGAAACGAATAAAAGTGGTTAATTGTAGTATATCAAAGATAAAACACCAGGCCTTACTTTAAATGACGAAAACAGATTTTATTTAGTAACCACTGACAGTGGGGAACCATCTGGGTTTCATAACTGGCACATATCAAAATCAGGCTCCACTCCTACCAGAGCCTGGGAGACGAGGGCCCTATCTTCAGACGTTGACTGAAACAAACAGTAAATTCCTTTGGCGGCATCAATTGAGTTTTCTCAGGCAGGCACTTGAGAAGACCGGGGCTATTAGTAACTATGTTCGGGTTTGTTCAGGTCTTTATAGACCAAGGTGGCCACCTAGTCCAGAAGAGGGCTCAGAAGAAGCCGCCTAGAGTTTGGTCAAAAAGAGAATCTTTGCCAAGTAGATGGGGGAACTGGGCGGCTGGGGGCTGTTGGGGATGTGATGGTTTATAGTATTTCTTGTATATTCAATTATTAAACCGTAGCAATGAAATGCCTAATCGAAATCATAAAACGAAACAAAGTTTTGGCTACATTAGCCTATCCGTTATTGCCATAAGATGGCGACAGCCCTTCTCAACTCATAAAACTAAACAAAGTTTTAGCTACATTATCCCATCCATTATCGCCACAAGATGGCGATAGCGCTTCTCAACTCGCCTGCGGGACGGAGGCAGGGTGCGGCCCGGAGAACTCCTCCCTGTTCCAACAGCAGCTCTCCAGCCCGCAGCGCTTCCTGACGTTCCGTTAGTTCAGTCTCCTGAACTTCTCTGCATGTAGATTCCTCTCAGGGTAGCCCTTTGTTGACCAAAAACGAAATATGTTCACTGATTTGGCCAGCTTTTTTTTTTTTAACTTTTTTTTTGGAGGGGAAAGGGAGTGGTCATGGACATCCTGAAGCAGACACAAAAATATAGAGAATCCTGCACTTCCCAAGTCTCGTCGCACAGGCTTCAACAATTACCAACATCTTGCCCATTTTGTTTCATTATCCGCACCCACACTGACAGATGAGGGAGTCTAAAAAATATCTGAAACATGAAATCCCAAATATGTGATTTTAATCATGAATATTTTCACAAATATCCTAACAGATATGGATATAAAGAAAAAACGCTAAGATTTTACACCTAAGAAAATTTAAAAAATGATGTGTAACATTATCCAATACCTAGCCCTTAAAGAAAGAAAATCCTGAATTGTCTCAAATATTTTTATATTTTGTCTGAATGAGATCCCACCAGATCCAAATATGGCATTTGATTGCTGTTCCTCTTGAATGTATTAAAATCCATAGATTTACCCAAGTCTCCAAGTAGCCTGACTGCCCTTTGAAAAAGGAATTGAGACCATAATCTGGGTGGGAATTCTCACTGATCATGGATTGTCATTGCTTTTAAACCATTCTTTGAAAAGTGTTGGGGAAAAAATATTTTGTTTTCTTTCTTTTTTTTTTTTTTTTTTTTTTGAGACAGAGTCTCTCTCTGTTGCCCAGGCTGGAGTGCAGTAGCACGATTTCAGCTCATTGCAACCTCTGCCTTGCGAGTTCAAGTGATTTTCCTGCCTCAGGCTCCCAAGTAGCTGGGACTACAGGCACGCACCATCACGACTGGCTTATTTTTGTATTTTTAGTAAAGACCAGGTTTCACCATGTTGGCCAGGCTGATCTCTAACTCCTGACCTTACGTGATGTGCCTGCCTCAGCCTCCCAAAGTGCTGGGATTACATGCATGAGCCACTGCACCCAGTCAAAGGTATATTTTTTATGAGACTATTTTTAAAAACACTCAAATTGTCTGTCACAGCTCCTTGCCTATGCCCCTAAAAAGAGAGGGGAGGAGTGGGGGAAGGGGGGGAAACAGAAACAAAAAGAAAACTGACAAACAGAGGAGGAGTCCAAAAGCCCAACACCCATTAAGTCAAGACTTCCCACAGTTCTCTAAGCCAGCAAATGAATGTAATTTAAACTGCTTTAAACTTCATATAAAAATAAATCATTTTTGGTAAATCAATAAACAGAGGCATCTCCATGACTACTGGTGGGAGTATGTACTCCTCCTTTTCTAAAACAAAAAAAAACAGCAGGGAGCCCTGAGTTGGAAACATGAAAAGCATAACTTTTTTGAGTTGGCTATTATTAAGTGTAATATGAGAGGTACCACTCCATTCCTACCTCTCCTTTCTTTAACGAATGCATTTTGTCTACAGAAGAAATTATGCTTTTTCTTAGTCACTATTCAGCTCATCTATAACGTCCAAAATTGAACAGTACTTCAAGAGGGTGCTAAATGACTACATGCCACTTTAACTGAGTCTTCCAAAAATTCAGACTTCTGCTTATAAGGAATGTGGTACACATTAGGACTACCGAGTCTCATGGTCACCCATGCATTACCTTACCCTTTCTGTATAATGTATAGAAATGGGTCCAAAAAATGTTGAGATATGAGGTATAAAGCGTTCAGTAAGTTCACAGATGGTCCTGCTAGCAATAGCATGTAAGAAAGTGAAGCATATCGAAATCTAGAGTGTTTATCTCAGTGAAGACAAATCTCTGCCTCATCCATGACAAAATACTTGCAAGAATACAAGAATACTTCCCCTGACATATGGGACACTTAGCAGCAGCAGTATCCAGAGGTCAGCCTTGGTGAGCTAAGTCTATACTACAGAACTCAAGTATCACCTCTATCATTGCCTACCACCCTGGTCACAGTTTACAAGTAAATCACTTGGGCAATAAGTGGGGTGATAGGAAAAGAGACTACATGACAGCCATATGGTTGATGTGTACCTGATTGTTGATAGCCTCCTCTGAAGAGTGGGAATTTAGGTTAGCATTCACGTGGGATATTATTCTCATACTCTGGGACCATTCTGGGAAATTCATCCGTATCACTGTTCCCCAAAGCTTCCAGTCAACACAACCTCCACTTTTGCCCACTTAAAAAAATCTGTCTATCCAAACCATTAGCCATGTACATTCAGTTTAGATCAGTGTCTTAGGTCACTCTCCTTCTAGAAAAAGTAAACAATGACATTCAATACTCCAAATTGTGCTGAGTGGCAGCAATTCTTTTCCCTATTGCCATTTATGGACATACTTGAGTTACGGTTTCTAATACTACTGTTACAACCGGCATCAGTAGTATTAGCCAACATATATTGAATGCTTACTATGTACAGGACATTGTTCTAAGTATACCAAAACTATTTGCTCAAGAGGCACTGTTACATCCCCCTTTTTAAAATGAAGGAAAAAGCCAGAGGAAAAAAAAGGGAAAAAAGCCAATTCTTCAGGAACTGGTTAGTAATGGGTTGAACTTGCAGCATTCAGTTTTTCTTCTTTTTTTTTTTTTTTTTTTGAGACGGAGTCCCCTCTGTTGCCCAGGCTGGAATGCACTGACACGATCTCGGCTCACTGCAACCTATGCCTCCTGGGGTCAAGTGATTCTCCTGCCTCAGCCTCCCGAATAGCTGGGATTACAGGGTCCCACCAGCACATCAGGCTAATTTTTGTATTTTTAGTAGGGACGGGGTTTCACCATCCCCCAGGGGCAGGGGCTGCTCTCGATCTCCTGACCTCAAGTGATCTACCAGCCTTGGCCTCCCAAAGTTCTGGGATTACAGGCGTGAGCCACCCCGCCCAGTCCCATTCAGTTTTTCAAGCAAAGTATTAACTCTTTGTCCTTATTAAGGGGACACCAGCAAGATGAAAATAACCCATAAGGTGATCATTTGTTTCATTACCCCTTAGGCAGTTTAGTCTTCTGAGTAACAGGAGAATTAGCTGGGTTCTTTTCAACTTAACTTTGTATAGTTTTCGAAAACCTAGCCTTTACAAATTTTCACCTGTGGCTGGACAATATACCCATGAGTCAGTCGCAATCCTCCTTTTCTTACAAACCCTGCTTTTTATTCTGATTTCTATATCCTGTAAGACAAAGAAGCAAGTTATTTAGCTTGGAAATTATCATCTGACTATTTGGATTAATAGAGAGGGTCAGAGGCCCATGTAACATAACAATAATGTCATAAAAGTAATTTAAGTTCTGTTTATTCACAGAATTGATAACAGTTCAGTTATCCTTAGTACGGGATGATTATGGTGAAGGAAAAGAACTTGAGTGTATATTTTCTACATAGAAATATATACAACAAACCAGATAGCAATTCAGAGAGATACATATTTTAGAAACTCTACAGACAGTTTTCAAAGGCTGGACAAGTGTCCGAGAAAAAGCTAAAAAAACAGAAGAAATTTCATAAAGCAGGCAATATTTAACTGGGCTTTGAAAAAAACAGGACTTGAGTCAACAAGGGAAACGTGTGTATTTGATAGTGGATTTAACAAAAATACTAATTGTTTTAGATGTTATTACTGTGCTAAATTTAGATCCATTTTAAATAAACTAGATAGTAACTCAAGTTTATATACAATTACTACCTTTGAAACCAAAACCTAGTCATAGTGGGAGCTTCCAAATGCTTTATAGACCTTGGATTTTTACCTAAGAGACACATGACTGAAGTTACAACCTAGAGCAACATCGTTTGTTGGGTGACTGGTTCTCATTTGTGACAACCTGAATAAGGGGGAACTTGTTTTTCCTCACTTCTTCTAGGCAAAGTCAAAAACAGTATTTAAAATACTAACGAAAGGAGTTTTAAAATTGAAATTGACTTGTTTCAGAAAAGAGTCTGGGATAAATGTCCTCAAGCTTTCTGCCTTCATTACGCCCCGAATTGTCCTGTTTAGGCTTCTAATGCCTTTGCTTATATAGATATACCATAAAGGGAAAATAGTATTCTAATCAGAAATAAAGCATTGATCTTTCTCAGGCTGAAAACTACAGCATTCAAATTCCGTTGTAGCCGGGCTTGATGGCTCATGCCTGTAATCCTAGCACTTTAAGGCTGAGGCTAGTGGATCACCTGAAGTCAGTTCGAGACCAGCCTAGCCAACATGGTGAAACCCCATCTCTACTAAAAATACAAAAATTATCCGGGCATGGTGGCGCATGCCTGTAATCCCAGCTACACGGAAGGGTGAAGCAGGAGAATCGCTGGAACCCGGGAGGCGGAGGCTGCAGTGAGCTGAGATCGCGCCACCGCACTCCAGTCTGGGCGACAGAGGAAGTCTCCTTCTCAAAAAAAAAAAAACTGATTATGTTGCCATAAAGGGTCCCTTTAAAAAAAAAAACGCTCTATCCAACGAAAACTAATTAGAAATAAATCTCCTTCCCGAAAGCGATAAAATACTAAAGAATGAGAAACTGACAGTTTACTGAGTTTGTAAGGAAGGCCAAATAAAGGCGGGGTTTGGATTCCTTTGGCGCACCCAAGCCGACCGTGGACTTCCTGGATACAACAACCAATCAGGATGCAGAGGAAGGGCGGGCGTTGCCCGGGCAAATTCAAACTGACAACCGCTGCAACTTGGCACTGTTCCAAATCACTAACCGACGGGGGACCGACGAGTATTTTAATTGGTTTCTAACGTATTTTAATTGGTTTCGAACTTATAATAGAAAATTTCCCATCTCCTTACTTAACTCTAAGATTAGAATGGCAGATCTAAAAAAAAAAAGTCACTAAGGATTAGTTAAATAACTGCTCTACTTCAGACCAAAAAACACAGTAGCAAGTTACAAGGGTTTGTCAGTGGCCAGCAGAGGAGGAATACAAGCACCAGCTCTTTCTTTGAGAACATGGGTGGCTCTTAAAAGAGCCGTTAGGGTTGAGAGTTTGCAACCAACTCACTGTTTACTTAGCGCTGGTGTACTTGGTGACGGCCTTAGTACCCTCGGACACGGCGTGCTTGGCCAACTCCCCAGGCAGCAGCAGGCGCACGGCCGTCTGGATCTCCCTGGAGGTGATGGTCGAGCGCTTGTTGTAATGCGCCAGGCGGGAAGCCTCACCTGCGATGCGCTCGAAAATGTCGTTCACAAACGAATTCATGATGCCCATGGCCTTGGACGAAATGCCGGTGTCAGGGTGGACCTGCTTCAGAACCTTGTACACATAGATGGAATAGCTCTCCTTGCGGCTGCGCTTGCGCTTCTTGCCGTCTTTCTTCTGCGCCTTAGTCACCGCCTTCTTGGAGCCCTTTTTCGGGGCGGGAGCAGACTTCGCTGGCTCTGGCATAGCACTGTGTAGCTATAAAGCGCCAACGAAAAGGAAAAACAGCGTGAGCAGGGTATGACAAGGCGCTTTTATATAGAATCGCTTATGCAAATAAGGTGAAGAGTTGAAGTCTTGTGTCTGATTGGTAGTTATTCAGGGTAACGTCAGAGGTCAGGTCTGCCCAATCAGGATTCGCAAATCCAGAAGACGCACTACTATTGGTTGAAATTAAACTGCAGCCCTAACCAACAACACGTCTTCTTTTTCGCGCCCAATAGTGTTTATAAAAAGCGCCGCCTTTCCCGTTCACTTTGTGGTTGCTCGTAGTGAGTTGCGCTCGCTATGTCTGGACGTGGCAAGCAGGGAGGCAAAGCCCGCGCTAAGGCCAAGACTCGCTCTTCTAGGGCCGGTCTCCAGTTCCCCGTGGGCCGAGTGCACCGCCTGCTCCGCAAAGGCAACTATGCCGAGCGGGTCGGGGCCGGCGCGCCGGTGTATCTGGCAGCGGTGCTGGAGTACCTGACCGCCGAGATCCTGGAACTGGCGGGCAACGCGGCCCGCGACAACAAGAAGACCCGCATCATCCCGCGTCATCTCCAACTGGCCATCCGCAACGACGAGGAGCTCAACAAGCTGCTGGGCAAAGTCACCATCGCACAGGGCGGTGTCCTGCCCAACATTCAGGCCGTGCTACTGCCCAAAAAGACTGAGAGCCACCACAAGGCGAAGGGCAAGTAACTATCTGTACTAGTTTGTGGCAGCTCAAGTAAAATCGAGTCCAAACCAACGGCTCTTTTCAGGGCCACCCACGTCTTCTCTAAAAGAACTTAACATTTATTCCATGTGAAAGAAAGTGAGACATGGACAAGACTCTAGTCATAAATTACCCATCTTTTTGAAAACAGTGTAGCGAACACCGCAGATTTAAAAGAAAAACTAGAGGGAAGGTGGTCCAGATTTTACCACGCTTAAAAGTTAAGATGTGAACAAATCTCTTAGGCCATTACTTAATTTTAAACTTAATCAGTGTGTGTCCACAGAGCACCAGTGGCTTCGTGAGTTCTTGAAGCACTTTGGCCCAAAAGAGTTATCGCCCGGGCTAGAATTTAGCAGACAGCTGTTCCACGCGGGCCAGGGCGGCATGAAGAAGTCCCGCCGCTACGTGCCCGGCACAGTGGCCCTGCGCGACGTTCGGCGCTACCAGAACTCCGAGCTGCTGATCAGCAAGCTGCCGCTCCTGCGAGAGCTCGGCGGTGACGCCGCTGCACGAGAGCGAGGCTGAAGAACTTTGTGACACAATAGTCCACCTCCCTGCAAAGGCTCTGTCAGAGACTCACATCTTTCCTGATGGATAGCTGTGAAGCATTCTCTTACCCACCCTACTGCATGTTGCAAAGTATTCCTTTAAAATGAAGTGAGTAAAATACTGGGATGACGTTATCTGGAGCCCAAGAAAGATGGCTCATTTGGAAAGGCCTAATATCCCAAGTTGCTTACCTAGAAGAACTTGACAGGATAGTTAATAATAAACCTTAAAACCCATGAAGAAATCTGAGGTAAAGTGTTAGCACACAGACTGTTAAAATGTCTGCCTCACAGATAGGAGGGAAAATATATAGAGGATTATAATATGGTTCAACAAATGTTGATGAGTATTAGAAATGTACATTAGAAATATTAGAAATGTTTATGACTATTAGAAAAGTACAGGGTATTGGGCGTTCCTGACACAAACTGAGGCCTCCTAGCAAGACTGGCAGTTTTCTGTAAAGGAGGGTTATTTACTACGGTAGTGCAAATAACTTTTGGTGTTGTAGCTAAATAAGGAATACTCATGCCAAGATTGCACAATTGTGCCTCCTCCCTCTGTTCACTGAACTCTGATGTAATTTTTTTTTTTTTTTTGAGACGGAGTCTCGCTCTGTCGCCCAGGCTGGAGTGCAGTGGCGCTATCTCGGCTCACTGCAAGCTCCGCCTCCCGGGTTCACGCCATTCTCCTGCCTCAGCCTCCTGAGTAGCTGGGGCTACAGGCGTCTGCCACCATGCCCAGCTACTTTTTTGTATTTTTAGTAGATACGGGGTTTCACCGTGTTAGCCAGGATGGTCTTGATGTCCTGACCTCGTGATCCACCGGCCTCGGCCTCCCAAAGTGCTGGGATTACCGGCGTAAGCCACCACGCCCGGCCCACTCTGAAGTAATCTTAAGAAGACGTTAACTCATTTTTCTTGTGTATTGTAGACACTTTTGGCTGTCTGGTAACATGGAAAATCTCAGAATGATGTTTTAAGTATATAAAATGCCAAACAAAGTTAAATTACAGTTATCAAAGTATTTTTAAAACTTCATAGTGATAAATGAGACTATATAGTTATATTGTTAATATAGTTAACACATTACATGATTTGGTGAGCCTAATTGCTGTTACTAATTAGAGGAGTAAAAATGTTTCACGATAACTCAGCAATTGTAATGAGAAATGAAACATCTAATGTCTTTTGGGTTACAAAGTAACAGGTACTGAGATTTGTGGCCTAAATTCATAATAAAGTGAAATGTTCAAGTTCAGTCAAGGTTAAGTTTTTAAAAATAGATATTTTACTACCCAAACTCACAGACTTCCCCTTCAACACCCTCCAATTGCTGAATTTTTTCCTTAGGGGCATTGTGACATATAAGTACGGACCTCAGGTTAAAAACTCTTGCTCTAAAATTTGGTCAACCTACCCCATTTCTTTTCAGCTCCTTTTCTCTAGATACCTCCTCTTCCTATCTGGAATTTCTTTAGCACTTAGTCTACTGACATCTCATAACCTTTTACTGTGTCTGTTTCTTGTTCTTAAAATATAACTACTTCCAATCCTAGTATAAATACGATGTTTTGGAACAGAAACAAGTGCTGACAATATCTAGCAAAAATAGGTACTTGAGAGGCCCCCCAAATAGTAAAATATTTGGCTTTTTGATGGATTTTTATACTGTGTAACCCAATAATTTTACTCATTTTTGAATTGCCCTGTCTTTAAAGGTCTTTCAACTTATTTAAATTAATATTTAATAAATTTCACAATTAAATATACAGTGGTTGGACACAGGATGTACTTTGCAAGTGTAACTGTTACTGGAAAGGGGTCCCAATCCAGACCCCAAGAGAGAGTTCTTGGGTCTTTCTCAAGAAAGAATTCAAGGCAAATCCATAGAGTACAGTGAAAGCAAGTTTATTAGAGAAGTAAAGAAAATTGTTCTTTTGTTCTATTCTAAGGATATTTATAGTTATTTCTTGACTACATGCTAAACAAGGGGTGGATTCTTCATGAGTTTTCTGGGAACGGGGTGGGCAATTCCCCAACTGAGAGTTCCTCCCCCTTTTAGACCCTATAGGGTAACTTTCCGACGTTGCCATGGCATCTGTAAATGGTCATGGCACTGGTAGGAGTGTCTTTTAGCATGCTAATGCATTATAAGTAGTGTATAATGAGCAGTGAGGATAACCAGAGGTCAATTTCCTCACCATCTTGATTTTGGTAGGTTTTGGCTGGCTTCTTTACCGCATGCTTTTATTAGCAAGGTCTTTGTGACCTGTACTTTGTGCTGACCTATTCTGTGACTACAAATGCCTTAAGCCTCTGGGAATGCAGCCCAGTAGGCCTCAGCCTTATTTTACCCAGCCCCTATTCAAGATGGAGTTTCTCTGGTTTAAACGCCTCTGACAAAGTTTGCTGCCAGATTTGTTTTGTAATGTGAAAGAATGTGAGAACTCAGAGTTACTCTATTTGAACTAAGTTTATCTTGATAGTCAGTTATCCTGTTAGAAAACAGACTGATTAGCATAACATTTTTTTAAAATGTTATACTGCGTGTATGTTTACTATTTCAGAACTAAATTTACCGTCAATTTCAGAAACTAAAGAGTCTGACAAACTCAAATATCCTTGTAGGGGAGGCAAAATTTTACCTCTGTCCTCTTAAGAGTTTTTATGGCTGGCCTGATAATTAAACTGACATAAGATTAAGAGGAGAAAACCATATAAATTTAATATAAATTTTATGTGGCATGGGACATGGGAGCTCTAATAATAGACCCCAAAGAAGTAGCAAAACCTAAATGCTTTTATAGTAGGTTGAATGGAGTAAATTGTGGAAATGTAACTATGTAGGAAGGCTAAAGGAAAACAAGAATTATTTTAAGATCTGCTTGGACAGAATTCTCTTGGTTTCAACTTCCTGTCCTTGATGAAAATGTTCTTTTCCTTTTGGTACAGGGAGGACATCTTCCACAGGGGAATTTTAATTCCTGCTTTTAAGGGGGTAAAAGGGAACGGTCAAAGTGCCTTTCTTGTACCTACTCTTTTTAAAATTGCCTGTATCTCAGAATAATTCTTATTCCAAAATGGCATATTTTGGGATGGCATGCTCTGCCACCTTTTACCATTCATTGCTATCCTTGTCACTAATTGCTATGCGAAAACTCATGAAATCAGATACAGAAAAAGGCTTCTGATTAGTGAGAAGCTCAAGTAGAGAAATATACTTGTTAACTAATGTTGGGGAAATACAATTTTAAAATCTTCTCCCAAAGAAGACAAAGGAAATAATTTTATTATTGAATAAGCATTAAACCAGGGAGAGTTGCTTATCACAGGAAACCTTATGAAGAGGTTGCAAAAGCAGAAAGAAATCTTGCTTATTATGTATGGCTACATTGGATAGGTTTTGCAATTCGAAGTCAGGTGACAGCTAAAGTTCAGCCCATTTTCTCGCTGGAAACTGGGAGACAGACCACTATCTTTTTTAATGATTAACATTTCAAAGGGATGGCTCTCCAGGCATTGAGAAAATATTCTGAGTTATAAGGCCTATTTAGCCATTAAAAGGATTTACATACATTTTAAAAGGACAGAGAAAGACATTTTGAAAGTGATGGGAAAGGAAAGGGAAGTCTTTTGTTTTCAACAGATAATTAAGCCTCTCATTTTTAATTTGTATTTACCCTTAGATTAACGTATTCAATTAACCTATGCTACCTTACCCTCTTTACAACATATACTGAATTCAGCTACAGCAAGTTACAGCCAGTCATATCAATTTTTTTTTGTTTTCCAAAGGTGTATGGCAAGTTTTCTTTTATTGCAACATAAATGCAAAAATTTCTAAAGTATTTTAATGAAAAGTTTATCTTCATTTACTTTATGACATTTAAGTGGAATACTTTGAAAATACTTCAAGCACTGCTGTAAGGTACTCATTAAAATAAAGAGTAGCAAGAAAATCACCAAATGGGCCGGGTGCGGTGGCTCATATATTCAGTATATGATAATAAGTTCCTCAAATCAGTGGGGGAAATAGTTAATGTATTGTGCTGACTAACCAACTGATTAACTTTTTGAAAAGTTATTTCTATATACAAGAAATCAAGTCCTTATTAGTAAAGTTAGATTACTTTAAATGGTTCTACCCAGCATTAGTTAAGGTTGTAGGCATATCAGGAACTGCTACTGGTGCAGGGGCCAAGAGAAAACCTCCCTTTTGGCCTCTGAAAGTTCACTGAAAATCAACTGACAAGATTAATAAGAGAAAAGGCATACAAATTTATTAAGGTACAGGGCTGAGGACCACAGAATATTACCCCAACCCCCCAGTGGGGTACAGAAGCTTATATACTCTTTCTCAGAGGCAAAAGAGGAGATGGGTAATGTAGACAATTCTTTGAGGAACAGTAAATGATTATTAGAGAGAAGGAATGGACCAAGGAGACAGAAATTAACTTGTAAATGATTCTCTTTGGAATCTGAATGAGATCAAGAGGCCAGCTTTAGCTTGTGGAAAAGTCCATCTAGGTATGGTTGCATTCTCGTCTTCTTTTCTGCAGTAGATAATGAGGTAACCGAAGGCAATTGTGCTTCTTTTGATAAGAAGCTTTCTTGGTCATATCAGGAAATTCCAGAGAAAGTCCCTCCCTGTATTTGGGGAAGAGAAACAGGACAAAGTTAGAGGGACCTTGATTCTTAGACTTGTTTCTGAGAACCCTCAATTTTCAAAAACACCCACCATTACCAAGCTCGATATTTGGGGGGATAATTCTCCACCCCAAACACTAGAAATGAAAATAAGTAGAAAAGAACTTAGCAATATACCTGAACGATCTTTAAATTCTATGAGTCTATCTTGTTCTATTGCTAGGAATTTAGCATATGGAGTATATTTCCATTGTATATTAAGGAGAAAAATGCCACAAAATAGCATAGTTCCATACAAATAATGTTAAAGGAAAACATGCATATATGCAGAGATAACATTCTTTTTGCTTTATGTATCTTCTATAATGTTAACATTTTTGTTATGAGGCAGGAATCATGTTAAATGAAAAAAGGAAAAACAGCCTAGGTCTTGAGGATTAAAAAGGACTGAAGGAGAACAAGAGGGAGTAGAGCACAGCAGGCCTGTTTCCCTTTTAGGTCCCCTCCCCCAATGCAGAGGGACTTCCCGCCAAAGCTCTTCCGGTTTTCAGTCTGGTCCGCAGAGGTTACCCATAAAAGAAAGCTGCCATCACAGGCAGCAGACCTTTGTTCTCTGACCACTTGATAATGTCAGGACGCGGCAAAGGAGGTAAGGGCCTGGGGAAAGGGGGTGCCAAGCGCCACCGCAAGGTGCTGCGCGACAACATCCAGGGTATCACCAAGCCAGCCATTCGGCGCCTTGCTCGCCGCGGCGGCGTGAAGCGCATTTCTGGCCTCATCTATGAGGAGACCCGCGGAGTGTTGAAGGTGTTCCTGGAGAACGTGATCCGGGACGCCGTGACCTACACGGAGCACGCCAAGCGCAAGACGGTCACCGCCATGGACGTGGTCTACGCGCTCAAGCGCCAGGGCCGCACCCTCTATGGCTTCGGCGGCTAAATGGCATTTTGAAGCCCAGTCATTCTCTAAAAAGGCCCTTTTTAGGGCCCCTAAGCTTTCAACAAAAGAGTTGAAATGACTGCAAACTGAGTCTCTTAATAGGGCCATTGTCAGTGAGTTCTGTCATCCTATTTTACAAGATTAACTCGACGCCGAAAATGGGCTGATGACTACAGGTGACCTTGGGCCGAGATTTTTCCAAGGCCAGAAGAGCCTCTGCTGGCCAGTAACTTCTGGCGGCTGCCTGGAAATTGCCTGCAGCCGGTTTACCGCTCGGATTAGTTTAGAAAGCCAAGGGGTCTGCGGTCCAAATAGGGGCGGGCTAGATAATTAACTTCCCTCTGGACCTTCAAATACGTCTCAGGAGATAATGAGTTTGATGGGCTCCACTAAATGCTAGAACCTCCAGGAAAACTTCGTGGTGGCTGGTTTAAGAGGACTTGGCGGGCACAGAGCTCTGCATGGGGGGGAGGGGGACAGACCATGCTTTTACTACTGTAGAACAGTAGGGCAGTCTTAAGAGTCTTAGTAATAATATTCCTTTATATGTTTGCCTTTTAAATACTGGAATATATCAAGTATACAAAATGCGCTGGTGACCACACCACTTATTCAAGTGCATCTAAAATCCTTATGTCCCTTTCTCAGTAGCACAGCCCTCCCTTTTTCCTATCTAGAATTAACTAATATTCTAGGATAAACTGATATTCTAAATTTGTTTACTGTTCCCACGCGTTTTAACTTTAGATGCACATACCCCTAATCTATTTTAATCGTCATGAATTTTTACATTTGCTCTTGAAATATATCCGTGTTGAAATGTGCAGTTCTAGGTTATTTTTACCATTAATCTAGTTTTCTAATGTGTCAGTAAATACTTTATTCATTTCTCTGTTGATTTTTTTTCCTCATTACAAAACAGCACTGTATACAGCTGTGCATTTTCTGGTTACATGGAAGTGGAATTATTTGGTAAATGTGCATATTCAACATGAATAAAAATGAACAATTTGCTTTCCAGGGTAGTATTTTAAATTTATACTCCCATATTCCACCAGCAGTGCTTGAGAGTTATTGTTTATCAGCATTTCCTAATGTGAAATCGGAGTTTTTCTAAATGAGATTTTTGGCTATTTGGAGATTTTCCCGCTTTCCTCGGAATGGTCTATTCAGATTCTCTACAGTTTTTATTTTATGAGATTTGATTTGTAAATATTCTTTATATATTTGAGTTTTAACTTTTTGTCAGTATGTGACAAATATATTCTGTCACCTTGTGGGTTTGTTTTTAACTGTTCGTGATATCTTTGGATGTGCAAAATTTTAATAATGTTGGATTTATATTTTTTATAGTTTTTGAATGCTGCCTTTTCATAAAGGAGTTATCTGACTTCCACTTTCCCCAGGAGCTACAGGCATCAATCTGGGGGAAAAAAAAAAAACAAAAAACATTTAGGCGGCTTATGTCCTGATTTGGCTTGAATTGGATAGTAAGGCTTTTCTGAAATCGCTGTAAGAGTAGCATCAAGAGCGAGCTAAGGGAAGACCTGATAAAAGATTGATCTTACTTTCTAAATAAGCAATGATTAACAATACCTAAAATTTTCAAAGTATTACAAAAGGGACAAAAGAAAGGGTGAAAGAGGAAAGTAATGCCTAAGATACACTGAAAGTTTGTTGAAAATTGTTAAGTGCTTTACATGGATTATCTCGTATCTCATATTCTTGTGAGATAGATTTTATTACTCTTATTTTAAAATGGCAAAAGAGGCCAAATCAAATAACCAATTCACAAATGTTAGATTTTATGACCCAAACTTGTCTTTCTTTAATTTTTATTATTCCAGGAGCATAGATTCAAATTGCCCCGAACATACACTCACTCAAACCTGTAATATTCTTAATCACACTCTCTTAGTAGATAGATAAGCCATCACAGAGAGTAGTAGTGGTGCTAGTCCTATAATGAAGAATTTGGGGAAATGTGTCAGGACAGATGCAAAACCTGCTTGTCACTTAATCCCAATTGGAATGAATTATTTTCATGTGTCAGTTTGTGGGCCTGAGAAAGTCGTTTTTATTTTGTGTCTATATAGTTATGTTATTGTTAAATCTGCAGCAATGTAACACGTCCTTCCCTGTCATTTTTCATGTTCCAAGCCCAATGGATTAAACACTCCCTTAGGAAAAACCGTAGTAGGTGGTGATGCCAGAAGGAATTGTAATCCTTTGCATAGTGCCCTAGTGGGTTTTAGGTCAAGTTCTGCTCATTGAGTGTCTTATGGTATAGCACTAGCCATGCATGGAGTTTGAGCACTTACAATGTGGCATGTGACTGAGGGAGTAAGTGTTTAATTATATCTTAATTAGTTTACTTTTAAAAACTGGTGCTGGATTCAATTAGATAGCATTCAAGTATACTTGGAACACCTTAGGGACATGAATCAGAATCATCTTATTCTAATTACAGATCAAGAATTCCCCACGAAAATTTATTTTGATATACCATAAAAGTGTAAAATACACACCAGATTTTGAAGATTTGAAATGAAAAAAGAATACAAGATATTTAATACATTCTGTATTGACTATATGCTGAAACTATATTTTTGATATATTCTGTCAAATAGGATACACTATTAAAATTAACTTTTTTAACTTTTTTTTTGGAGACGAACTCTCGCTTTCGTCCCCCAGGCTGGAGTACAATGGTGTGATCTCGGCTCACTGCAACCTCCGCCTCCCGGGTTCAAGCAATTCTCCTGCCTCCGCCTCCCAAGTAGCTGGGATTACAGGTGCGTACTACCACGCCAGGCTAATTTTTTTGTATTTTAAGTAGAGACATGTTGGCCAGGCTGGTCTTGAACTCCTGACCTCAGGTCATCCGCCTGCCTCGGCCTCCCAAAGTGCCGGGATTACAGGCTTGAGCCACTGTGCCCAGACAATTTTTTTTAACTTTTAAAAATGGTTACTGGAAAGATAAGTACATGTATGACGTATTACATTCCCCCCCTCCTTTTTTTTTTTTTTTTTTTTGAGACAGTCTCGCTCTGTCGCCCAGGTTCGAGTGCAGTGGCACAATTTTGGCTCACTGCAACCTCAGCCTCCCGGGTTCAAGCCATTCTCCTGCCTCAGCCTCCCAAGCAGCTGGGACTACACTCATGTGAAACCATGCCCAACTAATTTTTGTATTTTTAGCAGAGACGGGGTTTCACCATACTGGCCAGGCAGGTCTCAAACTCCTGATCTTGTGATCCACCCACCTCGGCCTCCCAAAGTGCTGGGATTACAGGCATGAGCCATCGCACGTGGCCACATTATATTTCTATTTGAGTAGTGTCTTAAGAGTAACAAACTGGCTTTCAGACACATACAATAAAGACAAAAAAATCCTAGTTCAATAAAGAATGAGAAAGTAGGATAAAGCAAATGAACAAATTTCCCAGGCCCAGTGCGGTGGCTCACTGGCCCGGTTCACGCCAGCACTTTGGGAGGCCAAGGCAGGTGGATCACCTTAAGTCAGGAGTTCAGGACCAGCCTGGCCAACATGGTGAAATCCCATCTCTACTAAAAATATAAAAACTAGCCAGGCATGGTGGTGGGCACCTGTAATCCCAGCTACTCAGGAGGCTGAGGCAGGATAATTGCTTGAACAAAGGAGACAGAGGTTGCAGTGAGCTGACACAGTGCCACTGCACTCCAGCCTTGGCGACAGAGTAAGACTGTCTCAAAAAAAAGAAAAAAATTTCCTTTCCTTCACTTATATTCCTGAAGATAGAGATAAGGTCTTCTCCCAACTGTACTTATACCTCAGGTAATATCAAGAAAGTAGTGACATGATATATTACAATTCATAGGCATTGAGTTGTGAGATTTGCTCCTTTGTATTAAGCACTTGAAGAATTACTAAGTTTTTCCAGCTCATCTAGGGTAGAAAGCCATGCCATTTTCTTAGGTCCACTGACCTCTTTACTTCCAACTTCTAGACTTAAAGATACTAGATAACAGCAGAGACCAAACATATGATTGCCAAGTCCCTAACCACAGTTAAATAAACCTCCACTTTTCAATCCCAGAGCTACTCTCAGTTTCCCAAAGGATGGGAGAATCTGAAGCAGGCAATTATTCTGTGCAAGCGTTCTTCAGCAGGCTGTAACAATTGCTAGATTGAATTGCTGTGGTCCAGAATCACACAGCAATTATTGCAAAGCACTGAACTACTCTTTAAAAAAAAAAAAAAAAAAAAAAATTTATGAGACAGGAGACAATTTAGCACATTCAACTTTTTAACAATTTAAAAGAGATTATGAAATATACAAATAAATAAGTTAAAAGAGCCCTATTTTTGCTCCAAATTAAGTCAAATTAATACACGTGGCTAATGAGAAAATAGATGACAAAGAGATATATGGTATAATGGAAACAAACAAGAGCATAATGGAATCTTGTTCTGAGTCTAATGATTTGAGCAAAGTAAGCTTTGCATCCATTTAGCTATTTGTAAAATAACAGTGATCTGAACTTTTTGATTCCTTCAAGCTGTTAAATTCTGTGCTATCAGCCGGGCGTGGTGGCTCACACCTGTAATCCTAGCACTTTAGGAGGCCGAGGCAGGTGGATCGCCCAAGGTCGGGAGTTCCAGACCAGCCTGGCCAACATGTTGAAACCCCATCTCTACTAAAAATACAAAAATTAGCTGGGCATGGTGGCAGGCACTTGTAATACCAGTCATTCGGGAAACTGAGGCAAGATAATCGCTTGAACCTGGGAGGCGGAGGTTGCAGTGAGCCAAGATCTCGCCGTTGCACTCCAGCCTGGGCAACAGAGTGAGACTCTGTCTGGGGGGGGGGGGGGGGGCGGAATCTGTGCTATCAAGAGAAATAAAATGAGATCATTTTGAAGGGAGAAAAGGGGTGAGGGTGAAAGCAGGAGAAAGTTATGGCCACTTCCACCCAGTATTTCTATTAAAACACAAATGCACTTCCAGAATTTTGTAAAAAGAGCAAAAAGGACTGAAAGTAAATTGTATAAAATCAAGATGATATGTCCATTTGCAAAAATAGTTTGTAAGTCTAAAGGTAATAACAGCAGATAGCTCCAGAGTAAAAATTTTAGTCTATAAAAAGTAGTCAGGTATACCTGAAGGTAGAATTCATTGGCATAGTGTATTTTAGTTTATTTTTTAATTTTATTTGCGACGGAGTTTTGCTCTGTTGCCCAGGCTGGAGTGCAGTGAGGTGATCTAGGCTCACTGCAACCTTTGCCTCCTGGCTTCCAGCAATTCTGCCTCAGCCTCCCGAGTAGCTGGGACTACGGGCACATGCTACCACGCCCCCCCTAATTTTTGTACTGTTAGTAGAGACGGGGTTTCACACTATGTTAGCCATGCTGGTTTTGAATTCCTGACTTCAAGTGATCTGCCCTCCTATATAGGTATAGATATAGATCAGTGCCTCCTATATAGGTAAACAATAAATATAATTATTTGTTGATACATTTCTTAGAATATTAATGTAACCCCAAAATTACTGGTAGGATAAATAAGACTTGGATCAACAGTGAACATATGCTTTGCATGTATGAAGTTTTTCAATATGACCCTGCTAATCTCCAAATGCCTAAGGGCGGGCAATATCCCCAAAGACTAGAACAATGCGTGGCCAAATATGTTAAATACACACACACACACACACACACACACACACACACACACACACAAAATTCCCCTGTGAAACTGGCCTACATTTCTAAATCACAAATTTAGCCAGGTAACAACCTAGCTTAAAATTCGTGGACTCTTTCTTTCACTTGGTTCTTCCAAAAAAGTTTCACACTGCTCATCACCGGCATAGTCATTCTAGCCTCTAATCACACAATAAAACCCACCACCTAATTCTAACCCACCACCTAACACTTAGCTCAAACCCTGTGCTGCTGGGGAAGTTCCCTTCTCCTCTACTCCAACTTCTTGCTTCGGGGCGGACTGTCTCTAGTCTGTCTGTTGTCTCCCCTCTGAATCTACTTGCTTTTCATTTTCCTTTTCTATAAGCTTTCTTGTCAAAAGGAAAAATTACTGATTGGACCAATTGACGCTGAACATGCCTTAAAAACTAGTAAACTATTCCAAAAATCTCCGTGATGATTTCATGTTCCGTTTCTTCACTCCTGAGAAAAGCTGTGCTCCTCCCCTTACCCTTGCAGACTATCCTGCCTGGTGGTCTGGCATCTTCCCGATGTCCCGTGGGCTGCAGAGATGGAATCAGGGGGTGAGGGGGAAGCAAAGCAAGGCAGAGCTGGGTACAGCCTAGAAGAGGTTAAATAAGGTAACTGCTCGAGCGAAAGCCATACGTACTGGAACGCCATCGGGAACCAAATTTACTAATATATAAACTCACGTTAGAACGCCATTACATGGTGGAAAGTACACGTGACACAATAGGCTTTCAACAAGTTCTAACAGGAAGTCACAGCACTCGACACAACGGAAGTATCCATTTTCGCGCCAAGAGCCAGGAAGCACTTTCTGTTAACACAAGTTTCCTGCACATCCCTAATTTTTTAGGCGCCATATTCCTCACTCAGTACTAACAAAGTGTATGTGGCTTCTCCTTAGCCAGACTCGATTACAAGCACTGCATGCATTACTCAGTGTGATAAGATCATGATAATCCCTTTAAAAAGATCGCCCGAATTTAAGCCTGGATTAGGAACACGTGTTTACAGCTCTAATATCGATAATTTAAGTGGCTCTTAAAAGAGCCTTTGGGGTTGGGCTTTAAGACGCTTACTTGGCAAGTTTACTTAGCGCTGGTGTACTTGGTGACGGCCTTGGTGCCCTCGGACACGGCGTGCTTGGCCAACTCCCCGGGCAGCAGCAGGCGCACGGCCGTCTGGATCTCCCTGGAGGTGATGGTCGAGCGCTTGTTGTAATGCGCCAGGCGGGAAGCCTCACCCGCGATGCGTTCGAAGATGTCGTTGACGAAGGAGTTCATGATTCCCATGGCCTTAGAGGAGATGCCGGTGTCGGGGTGGACCTGCTTCAGCACCTTGTACACGTATACGGAGTAGCTCTCCTTGCGGCTGCGCTTGCGCTTCTTGCCGTCCTTCTTCTGCGCCTTAGTCACGGCTTTCTTCGAGCCCTTCTTGGGCGCGGGAGCGGACTTCGCTGGTTCCGGCATGTTGAAGGCGAACTACGAGCCTGAGACGAGCAGCAGATCGAGAAAACGGGAAGTAATGGGAGCAAGGTACCAGGAGTCGTTTTTATATAGGACCTCTCATGCAAATAAGGTGAAGAGTGAAAGTCCTGTATCTGATTGGTGGTTATTAGGGTGACGTCAGAGGTTAGTTATACCCAATCAACCCAATCTGCAAATCCAAAAGACGTACTTCCATTGGTTAAAACTAAGCTACAACCCTAACCAATGACATATCTTCTTTTTCGCGCCCAATAGTGTTTATAAAAGGCGCTGCCTTTCCTCGTTGGCTACTTTCAGTAAGTTGTGACCAGTATGTCTGGACGTGGCAAGCAAGGCGGTAAAGCTCGCGCCAAGGCCAAGACCCGCTCTTCTCGGGCTGGGCTTCAGTTCCCCGTGGGCCGAGTGCACCGCCTGCTCCGCAAGGGTAATTATGCCGAGCGGGTTGGAGCCGGCGCGCCAGTGTACCTGGCTGCGGTGCTGGAGTACCTGACCGCTGAGATCCTGGAGCTGGCTGGCAATGCGGCCCGCGACAACAAGAAGACCCGTATCATCCCGCGTCACCTCCAACTGGCCATCCGCAACGACGAGGAGCTCAACAAGCTGCTGGGCAAAGTCACCATCGCGCAGGGTGGTGTCTTGCCCAATATCCAGGCCGTGCTGCTGCCTAAGAAGACTGAGAGCCACCATAAGGCCAAATAAGGAGCGAGGTTGTGAAAACTGGAAAACAAAGGCTCTTTTCAGAGCCATTCTACACTGTCTTAGAGAAAGCTGGACACAGTCATGTTTGTTTCACTTCATGTTTGCTTCGCTAGATAACATTGTAAAGCGCTTCTTTCGCGGTTGGGCTGGAGCAACTCTTTACAATGTTTCTAAATTAACCCACTGGAAAGCAATGAAGACCCAAAAGTTGTTGTAGGATACTCCGGAGAAGCTTATTCAGCAGGGGTAATAAGTGAAATCAAACGTACAAATCCCTGAAATCTATTTACTAATTCCAGTGGTTTTTTTTTTTTTTTTTTTTTTTTTGAGATGGAGTCTCCAACAGGCTGGAGTGCAGTGGCGCGGCGCGATCTCGGCTCACTGCAACCTCCACCTCCCAGGTTCAAGCGATTCTCCTGTCTCGGCCTCCCGAATAGCTGGGATTACAGGCACACACCACCACGACCGGCTAGTTTTTTTGTATTTTTAGTGGAGACGGGGTTCCACCATGGTGGCCAGGCTGGTCTCGAACTCCTGACCTCAGGTGATCCGCCCGCCTCGGCCTCCCAAAGTGCTGGGATTACAGGCGTGAGCCACAGCGCCCGGCCTCCAGTGTAATAATTCTATTACATTAATAGTGTTGTCAAACAGCCATAAAAATGGGATATACTTGCCATTCTTTAAAGGCAAATTTTGCAATTCTAAGTATTCTTGAAAAGCAAGAAAGGGCAGCCTGATTCTTAAGTGGTCTAACTCTTAAGAGTAACTTTACCCAGGTGATGAAAGTCTAGTGACTCATTTGCATTAGAATTTGATTCCGATGGAAGGAGAATATGGGATGCAGAATTTCCTGAATCCCATATTTGTAAATCCTTAGTCCCATTTCTTTGGAGCAGGTGTATTAATGCACTCTTGTAGTAGCTTAGGATACAACATAGCTTTTTCTGTCTAGCTAATTTGTATTATCAAATTTATTAGATCGGGATTGCTATTGCTTTTGATTGCTTGTCCACATTAATTTACCTACCCTAGGAAGCCCTATGAGTTTCCTTCCTCCGCCCCACCCCCTCTTGATATTACTTGGCCTGCTTTTACTTCATAGCCTCAAGGCTTTCTGGCTATTCCCACAAAATGCCAAACACATTTTCTGTCTTAAGGCCTTTGCACTTTAAATTCCCTCTTCCCCTGATAACTACCTTTCTCACTTTTTTTCAATCTATGTAGGTCTCTGATCAAGTAACACCTATAAAGAGGTCATCTTTGTTTATCTCCTCTCTAAAATGGAGGGCCCCATTACGCTCTCTATGCCTATGGGGATAGGATATATATTAATTGAAATATTACATGTATACATCTTTATTTTTTCTCTACGGAATTCAAGCCACTTAAAAAAGACACCAAAAAATAGTATTAACTTTATGTATTTCACAAAGATTTAAGAGGACATAGTTTGTAATTCAATACACATAGATTTGTTTGCTACTCCCAGTCTTTGCATGCAGAAGCCCAATTGAAAAAGAAATGCAAGAGATGCAGAACGAGAAATTATAATGTAGTGACATATGAGTTCTCGATAAACAGATGCTGAGATGGAGTTTGGGATGCAAAATGTTTATTAGGGCTCAATATCTGTGAAGGGGTGAAGGAAATAGGATTGGGCAAAGGAAAATGTCAAACTATGATACAGGCCAGACAAATGCTCAACCAACCCAGTGGAGAGCTCTGGAGCCAGTATGCCTGTCAAGTTGCCCCCACATTGGGCCAAAGGGGCTCTAGACCACCCTTTTTAACTCCTCTGTGGGTCACTGAATGAGGACTGCCCGGGGAAGGATGCAGCCTTGAGTGGGGAGGAGCTCTGCAGCTGAGGCAAACACTGAGGAAGCTAACAGCTGGTGTCTATCTGCTAACTGTGCTCTCTGCAGTTGGGCTGCAAGCCCTTCCTTGAAGGAGGATCTGGGCAGTGTATTTCCATGTCTATGACATATATTAACATGAATATAAATATCAATGTTAAGTAAGGTCTATGATAGTATCTGTGAGACTGACTTTAGCATGCATAAGTGCATAGCTGGTATTGCTCTTTGACTTTTTTTCTTTTTCTTTTTTTTTTTTTTGAGATGAAGTTTTGCTCTTCTTGCCCAGGCTGGAGTGCAATGGCCTGATCTCGGCTCACTGCAACCTCCACCTCCCAGATTCAAGCGATTCTCCTGCTTCAGCCTCCTGAGTAGCTGGGATTACTGGTGTGTGCCACCACTCCCGGCTAATTTTGTAATTTTAGTAGAGTCAAGGTTTCACCATGTTGGTCAGGCTGGTCTCGAACTCCTGACCTCAGGTGATCTGCCTGCCTTGGCCTCCCAAAGTGCCAGGATTACAGGCATGAGCCTGTAATTACTTTCATCAGGGAATTTAAAGGCCGGGGAGGGGCGGGTCTTTTCTTTTTAGAGAAATAAGAAAATGTACAGACATTCTAAAAATCTTTATTAGTTTGATATACTCCTGTAAGAGCTTTAAATGCCTCAATCATTGCACATGGAAGGTGATAGAAAACAATTATAAAAGAAATGGGAGATTCTTCCACTAACTTTTCCTACCCCAGATTCAGCAAATCTCTTTACTTTTCCTGTACTGAGAAATAATCCAGCTTTGCCCCATACTGAAGAAACTTCAGAATGAATATTTGAGGCTCAAAAGAGAGGAGAGGAAACCTTTAAAAAAACCATGGAATGAGTTTCTGTAGTATGGTGGTTATCACGTTAGTCTCACACGTGAAAGGTCCCTGGTTCGAAACCAGGTGGAAACACATTTTAGGCTGGGTGCGGTGGTTCATGCCTGTAATCCCAACACAAAAACTTAGCCGGGCGTGGTGGCAGCTGCCTATAGTCCCAGCTACTTGGGAGGCTGAGGCAGGAGAATTGCTTGAGCCCGGAAGGCGGAGGTTGCAGTGAGCCGAGATTGTGCCACTGTACTCCAGCCTGGGTGACAGAGTGAGACTCCAGCTCAAAAAAAAAAAAAAAAAAAAAAAAAACACCTATAAGAGATATTTGGTGCCGACCACTTATGGGCTACATATGCAATATGAATGTGCTTATTTATTTCTCACAACCTTTTGAGGTGGGTATTGTTTGGACTCTAATTTGGAAAAGAAAGTGTGGTGTTACTTATCCAATCAGATTCTCAATTAGTAGGAGAAAAAGCTATCAGAATATTATCTACTCAACATGGAACACACACATAACTGCCTTCTCTTAACTATCTGGTCTCATGTGCTTTAGTCTAAGGTATATAGAAACTTGGGTAAGAATTGTTAAAGGGAGATGTTGAAAGGTTCTACCAGAAGAGTATCATGATCATATCTGAATTAATAGATACCAAATGAGAAAGAATAAAACTAGACTTAATTATTCAAACAGTGTTTACAATAGTTTAAAGTGAATAGCTAAAGATTCCTGAAAATGGGAATCACACTTAAAATATATACTTTAAAAAAATATATTTTTAAAACACACACAATTTTTAAAATGCATACATACATGCTTTTCCTCAGTTCCGCCCTTCCCCCTCATCTTCATACCTATTACAGATGGAGTCGTTGTCATGCATTCCTTGTAAGGAATAATTCTGAGAAAATCAAAATAGTAAAGTCACATCTAAAAATATGTGAAGGTTTATACCCCAGAGGAGCTGCATGATTTAAATAATTAACAATGACAAAATATGGGAAATATATGTGATTATGGATAATGAAGGGTGCTTAACTAAAGACGGAATAATATAATTTTATATCAGGCTAACTATTGACATGGCTTCACTTACCTGGGAAGCTAGATTCTATGTGTAATAGTAAACACCTGGGAGGAATAGTGATTGTTTACAAGGCTGACTGGTATCTGGACTCAGAACTGGCCATCAGTAAATCAACTTGAGATCCCAAATATGCCTTGGAATCACACAAAGGAAAACACCAAAAAAAAAAAAAAAAAAAAAAAAAGGAGGTAAAATTGCTGGTGTACGTTGATATTGCTTGACTTATTAAAAGCTAACTTTATTCACAGCAGAATTGCTAACTTTTTTCTATTCACAGCAAAATTGCCATTTTTGAAGAAACCAGTGCATTTTCTAATTTACTTGAAGCTGTAAGATTTAATAAAATTAACGGACTGGAATTAGAAAGTGTATTCAGGGATTGGTCTGTCTGATTCTATCTGGTACTCCTGTAGCTTTGCACTTGCGATTTCCCAAGCCCAGAGTGTTTGTCCTACCAGCCTCTCCTTGGGTAACTCCTATTCATTCTTCAATTTTCATAATATGGCACCTCCTCAATGAGGTATTCTCTTATTCTTAGTTCTCGTTATGCCTTCTGGGTTTACCAGATCAAGTTCTTTTTTTATTTTTTTGAGACGGAGTCTTGCTCGGTAGTCCAGGCTGGAGTGCAGTGGCGCGATCTTCGCTCACTGCAACCTCCGCCTCCTGGGTTCAAGTGATTCTCCTACCTCAGCCTCCCAAGTAGCTGGGATTACAGGCGCGTGCCACCGCTCCCTGCTAGGTTTTTTGTATTTTTTCTACAGATGGGGTTTCACTGTGTTAGCCAGGACAGTCTCAATCTCCTGACCTCGTGATCTGCCGGCCTCAGCCTCCCAAAGTGCTGGGATTAGAGGCGTGATCTTCCGCGCCCAGCCCAGATCAGGTTCTTAAACTCCACATCATCACCGCTTCTCAGCCTTTTGGCTAAGACCAAGTGTTTTCAGCCTTTTGGCTAAGATCATCTGTTCTTATGGGTTTAAACTCCATGTCAATGACTATATTTTGAAAGTAAATATCTTATTTGTATTTTCATTTAATATCTGTAAACACAGCAGCATATAAGCTAAAAGAGGTCAATATGTCAGCCAGTGTCCCATCAGGAGAGATTAGTCCTTCAAATTGGGTACTTTGGGCCTGATGCAGTGACTCATGCCTGTAACCCCAACATTTTGGGAGGCCGAGGCGGGCAGATCACTTGAGGTCCAGAGTTCGAGGCCAGCCTGGCCAACATGGTGAAACCCCGTCTCTACTAAAAATACAAAAAAATTAGCCAGGCGTGGTGGTGGGCACCTGTAATCCCAGCTACTCAGGAGACTGAGGCAGGACCTTGAACCCAGGAGGCGGAGGTTGCAGTGAGCTGAGATTGCACCACTGCACTCCAGCCTGGGTGACAGAGCAAGACTCCGTCTCAAAAAACAAACAAACAACAACAACAACAACAACAACCAATTGGGTGCTTGAAGATTGAAAAAGAAGTGAGCAAGGTGTTAGGAAGCCACAAGAGATAGTGCAGTATTTTGAAGCTAATACCATATATAAGTAATTACCACACCTAGGCCCAAAGGGGCAATGAGAGGAAAGGAAATCTGGAAACAGAAAGAACTCCTTCCTCTCTCTGACATATTTTCACTTTTCATCAGCCAAATTTGACCAGCAGCCAAAGGACAAGGATCAAATTCATGTATAGATCAGCCTCCTAGGGACACAGGATGAAAGAAGGGGACAGTGGGCCGGGCACGGTGGCTCACGCCTGTAATCCCAGCACTTTGGGAGGCCGAGGTGGGCATATCACAAGGTCAGGATATCAAGACCATCCTGGCCAACATGGTGAAACCCCGTCTCTACTAAAAATACAAAAATTAGCTGGGCATGGTGGTGGCCGCCTGTAATCCCAGCTACTTGGGAGGCTGAGGCAGAAGAATCGCTTGAACCTAGGAGGCAGAGGTTGTAGTGAGCCAAGATTGCACCACTGCACTCCAGCCTGGGTGACAGAGCGAGACTCTGTCTCAGAGAAAAAAAAAAAAAAAAAAAAGAAGAGGACAGTGAATCTAGGCTGGCAAAAGTAAATATCTAGCACAGTCCATCCCTTTTGCCCTTTGGCATGTACTATCCTTTTCTCAAGTGAAAAGTCTGCATTGCATTCCAACATGGAATTTGTGAAATCACAGCCAGCTCATGGGGGTGATGCCAGTTTGTTCATAATCCTACTTTAAAACTAAAATGTTAGTCTTCACCTTCCTAGAATGTACTGGGGTAAAAAGTGAGAAGTACTTAGTTAACATAATACAAAGCTGTTATGAACCTTGCTTCTGTAGCTGATCATAAGGCTTAGGTTAGTAATCACAGCTTCCTTCTAAAATTCATTTCTTAGGCCAGGTGTGGTGGCTCATGCCTGTAATCCCAGCACTTTGGGAGGCTAAGGGGAGCAGCTCACTTGAGCCCAGGAGTTTAACATGAGACTGGGCAAAATGGCGAGATTCTGACTCTACACAAAATACAAAAAATTAGCCAGGCATAGTGGTGTATGCCTGTACTCCCAACTATTGGGGAGGCTGAGGTAGGAGAATCACCTGAGCCCGGGAGGTTGAGACTGCAGTGAGCCATGATCATGCCACTACACCCCAGCCTGGGCACCAGCCTGGGCAATGAAATGAGACCCTATCTCAAAAATAAATGAATAAATAAAAATAAAATTCATTTCTTGTTATCCTGACTTCTGTCAGCATGTTGGCTGAATTCTTTACATGGTAGTATAAAATATGCCTTTATTCCTGTGGGATCTGTGTCCTTGTGATCTTTTCTTTATCTCATTGTCACAATTTTTAATTGACCATGGCTTGTGGGCAAAAAACATTTAGAGACTTCTCTGGATTAGTAATGTTTGTTTGTTTGTTTGTTTTTTGTTTTCTTTAACCTCCACTGTACAGCAGACACCAAACTACCTCCTAGAAACTGGAAGCAATCACTCCAAGTAGAGGGACACTTTTCCCTGCATATTGGTTCAGTGGCATGAAAAGACTAAAATGGCCAGAAGCAGTTTTCAGGTTTCAATTGATTTGAAAGGTGACAATGCTCTCTAGTGGAAATATTTATCCACTGGGCACAAAGACACCCATTCCCTCAGAGCTCGATCAAGGTCACAGGGATAGGATACAAAATTGTCTGAATGGATCACTGAGGAATAATGAGAAGTGCCACTCACACCTCTACTTCTTGAGTCCCAGACATGTGCATTCTAGATATGGAGAGATGGCTCTACATATTGGCCACTGTTTTAATACTTATTAATACTATCACATTGGCAATTAACTATCAACATAAGAATTTTGGGGAACACATTCAGACCACAGCAGTTTCTAAGAGGAGGTAGAAATCCAATGTATCAAATAGTGTTGAGAAATCATATAAGTTGAGGACTAACATAGCCATTTCAACTAGTGAAATGTAAAAGATCAGTTTAAGTGGAGTGTTGAAGAAGAAAGCAAGATGAAGGAGTGTAATAAAGAAATGAGATGAAAGAAGATTTGGGTTTGATGACACTTCAAGGAAATATGGCTATAAACTGAAAGACAGTACTATCAATAGCAGAAAGGAAAAGTGAAAGCAAGAGAACAATTCTTTCAGATGAAAGAAATAAAAGCAGCTTTGAATGCTGATGCGAAAGATCCTATAGAGATCAAATAGAATTTTATTTAATAATACAGGAGAAAGAGGAAAATATTGCTGGAACTATGCCCTTGAAAGAAAGAGGGCTTTTAATTATTTCTTACAGAAAATTTAGAAATTCAGAAGTAGAAGAGTGCATGGCATTGGTAAAGGTAGAACTGGTAGGTTCAACTGTGCCAGCCTGTCTCTTATTCTTCCCAGAATCACTGTAGTGAATGTGTCAGATGAAATCTTCAAAATGGCCTTCCAAAATAAGCACAAGGAAAGAGGCCTTTTTCTAGGCCTATGACATCAAAGATACAGCTTTTCCCTCTTTTTATGGAGAAGCACATGCAGATCAACCCAATTTCCAAAAACATCCCAGCAGAAAATGCTGAAAAGCACTTTCATTCACAGCAGCTTTCTAAATGGGGTTGGGGAAGGCCCTAAGCAAAGGAAAAGGAAAGATCTAACTCAAAGAGACTTGAGACAGAGGCAGCTTGCATTTCCTTCTTACTGGCTGCATTTTCTTTGATGGAGCTCATGTCTTTGAGACTGAGAAAGCCCTTAGGTCACTTCCCTGATCAAACAAATTAATGTTAGGGCTGGGTGCGGTGGCTCATGCCTGTAATCCCAGCACTTTGGGTGGCGGAGGTGGGCGGATCATAAGGTCAGGAGATCGAGATCATCCTGTCTGAAACAGTGAAAACCCGTCTCTACTAAAAATACAAAAAATTAGCCAGTCGTGGTGTCACGCGCCTGTAGTCCCAGCTGCTCAAGAGGCTGAGGCAGGAGAATCACTTGAACCCAGGAGGCGGAGGTTGCAGTGAGCCAAGATCGCACCACTGCCCTCCAGCCTGGGCGACAGAGCGAGACTCCATCTCAAAAAATAAAATAAAATAAAATAATAATAATAATAATAATAATAATAATAATAATAACAATGATGCTAGGAAACAGGTAATTCTTCATTCAGTAAACCTATTAGTAATTAGAATACTTTTGTGTAATCCAGACAGAGGAAAGGAGATAAAGAAAATTTTAGGAAATTAAGCACATTATTTTGGCTCTGCTGAGAAGCTTTATTATGGATAGCTGCAGGGGTAATTTTGAACTCCCTTCATTTTTAAATTTATTATTATTATTTTAGAGGGAGGATCTTGCTCTGTAGCCCAGGCTGCAGTGCAGAGGCACAATCATAGCTCACTGCAACCTCAAACTCCTGGATTCAAGTGATCCTCCTGCCTCAGCCTCCCTTGTAATGGGGACTACAGGCATGCACCTCTGTGCCTGGTTAAATTTTTTTATTTTTTTTGTAGAGACAGGGTCTCACTATGTTGCCCAAACTTGATTCAAATTCATGGCCTCAAGCAATACTCCTGTCTTGACCTCCCAACCTTTCTTTAAATTATTACCAATCTTTTCCCATCAAAGGTCAAAAGGCAAGCCTGCTGAACTAGGCCAGATGCTGCTGGGAGAAGTTGCTTTCATAGAGCTTTGGATGGTAGTCTCTGCCCACCCATTCATTCATTCTGCAGCCAAACTATATTGATAAAGAACCTACCAAATGGGGAGCCCTAGTGATAGATTATTGAACAAAATAGATATTCCTCGTCTTGGGGCATATGGAGCGGGAGGATGGAGGCTGACATTAATCAAATAACTCTGGTATTATACATTACAAACTGATATAAGAGCACTAAAGGAAAAGTGAAAAAGAATCAAGTGGCCGGGCATGATGGCTCACGCCTGTAATCCCAGCACTTTGGGAGCCCGAGGCGGGTGGATCACTTGAAGTCAGGAGTTATAGATCAGCCTGGCCAACATGGTGAAACCCCCTCTCTAATAAAAATACAAAAATTAGCCCTGCGTAGTAGCTTACGCCTGTAATCCCAGCTACTCGGGAGGCTGAGGCAGGAGAATCGCTTGAACCCGGGAGGTGGAGGTTGCAATGAGTCGAGATTGTGTCATTGCCCTCCAGCCTGGGCAACAGAGCGAGACTCTGAGAAAAAAAAAAAGAAGAAGAAAGAGAAAGAAAGAAAGAAAAGGAAGGAAGGAAGAAAGAGAATGAGAGAGAGAGAAAGAAAGAAGGAAGGAAAGAAGAAAAGAAAAGAAAGAGAGAGGGAAGGAGGGAGGGAGAGAGGAAGGAAGGAAGGAGGGAAAGAAGGGAGGGAAGGAAAAAAAAAAAACCAAGGAACCATGTGTTGCGTGGAGACGGGAGGTCAAGAAAAGCTTCCTTGATTTGAAAAGCTTTCTTGAGTTGAAGCTGAAGCATTAAACAAATTTAACCAGGTAAAGAGAAGAGGCCGGGCGCGGTGGCTCACTCCTGTAATCCTAGCGCTTTGGGAAGCCGAGAGGGGCGGATCAGTTGAGTTCAGGAGTTTAAGACCAGAATGATTTTACAGAAAGAAAATCATTTGGTATCAAGGGGAAAACACGACCAGGACCTTGACTCTAGAGGCTACGTTCCTAAAACAGCAAGCGGGGCAGGAGGGAAGTCCCACGGAGCTTTGGAGCCACAGGAGAGGCACTTTTATCTCCCTCTTCTGGCAAACTAGGTATGAAAGGGAGAAAGAAATTTCACTCTGAGGTGCGAGCGCCGCCGGACATTTCCTGACGGCTCAGGTGGGCAGGCTGAGTGCGCGAGCGCCTCACTGGCTTCTCATAGGTACCTGGGTCAGGACGAAGCCACATAGTTCCTCGTGATGAGAAACTCACTTCTGGCACCTGTCGAGATGCCAGATTCCATGCCAAGCCCCCGAAGATTCTGACTAGTTTGGCAAAAAATGGGATCTGGCAGGTCCACTTCAAAGCAGCGCCCTCTTCCTTTTGTTGCCAAAGATCTGAGGACCACACTGCTAAACTGAGCAAGAAACATGCGTGGGTTGGAGATAGAAGTGAGAATAATGAGTTTACAAGCACAGTATTACCAACCCCCAAAAACAACCACCACGCTGGGAAAATTCCATATAATGAAACTTAATGTGTTACCTTTGGCTTCTTTGCCATAAGCAAAATATTGGGGACGGGGAGTGGATAAGGAAGTAAACTGGGTAGGTGTGTAAATAAGGACGAAAGACTGCACCATTCTTTAGATGACAAAAACAGACGTTTCTGGGAAATAAGCAAAGGAAGAGCCCCACAAGCAGCGGCCTCTGGTGGCGTGCCGTGATCGTATAGTGGTTAGTACTCTGCGTTGTGGCCGCAGCAACCTCGGTTCGAATCCGAGTCACGGCAGTACCTTGATGTCGCCTCAATTTCTCAACGTACTGAGCAGTACCTTGACGTCGCCTCAATTTTTCAACATACTGGAGTGGAGACAGTCTCGGAAAAACCCTTGCAAAATTGAATTGACTTACGATCTAATCTGTACACAAAAAACACTAGTATTCATCATGGTGCCCCAACCAGTCAGCCAAGCAGAGAGTGTCTACGCTTGTTGCCTTGTCTTTTTTTTCCCCTCTCCAAAGATTCTCTTCCCAACCCTACCCAAGCCCTACAGTCTTGTTGGCATTGGCTGTATGTGAAGAAACTGAGGTAATTTTTTTTTAATGGAAAACTTTTACTTTCAAACACTGGTAGGCATGAGGAAAGGACTGTTCAAAAGGGGATCCAGGTTTGTTGTGGAGATCTTTCTTAAAACACAAAAGACAAATTATTAATCACGCGTTTCTAAGTATCCTAGCTGGACCAATGCTGAAAAACTGTAACCTTTGATCATCTGGAGAAAATTAAAGAAATTTGAGTAATTGAAGGAATTTGGGTGGGGGGGAATAATGGCCCAGAAGAACAGCCCCCATTTCTAGCCCGTTCAGTTTCTAGAATGAGTTCTAAAGAGCCAAGTAGACTGGGTGAGGCGGGAGTGGAGGAGAGCTGATCTGAGATACGGAGGTGGCTGGAAAGAAGTAGTTGGTGCTACCTAGGACCAGTAGGAGGTGGCTGGAGACAGGCAGATCCCCAGAGGCGCTTCCATGAGCCCAGTTCTAGTTAGTAGCACAGCACTCTGAGAACACATTAATGGCACTTCGTCCCTCCTGGCCCTGGTGGAAGGTTAGTATTCAAACAGGTGTGGTGGCTCATGCCTATAATCCCAGCACTTTGGGAGGCCGAGGCGGGCAGATCACCTGAGGTCGGGAGTTCGAGACCAGCATGGCCAACATGGTGAAACCCCGTCTCTACTAAAAATACAAAAATTAGCTTGGCATAGTGGCATAGGCCTGTAGTCCCAGCTATTCGGAAGGCTAAGGCACGAGAATTGCCTGAACCCAGGCAGTGGAAGTTGCAGTAAGCCAAGATCACACCACTGCACTCCAGCCTGAGTGACAGAGTAAGACTCGGTCTCAAAAAAAAAGAATACTCATACTTTTAGCAACTTATCAAAAATTTCAGCAAAAGAGATTTGTTCTTTCCTTCTTGGGGCTAAAATAGCCCCCATTTCTTCTCCAACTGTCCATCCAGCTGACATGGATTCTGAAACTCAGAGATATTGTAATTGAGCTGAGCTGCCTTATACTGTAGGATATCATCTCTCCAACAGGTCAGGTTCTAGGCCTCTTCTCAGTAATTTAATAGCATTTGTAGTGGTTATTCATGTTCACTTGTATCACATTCTACTTCAATTTTCTTTTTAGTCTATTTTATCTTGACTCAGTCTTACAAGAGTGAAGACAGGGATCAAGTATGTATTGACCCTAAAGGATCAGTTCTTGTCAATTATTTTGCCACAAGTGAATGATAAAACTGCTAAAGCAATAAACATTTTGATCTTGCAATTCTCCAGAACACATTTTCTCAGATCTTACTGGCCTGAGTAGCAGAAATCTATGGACTCTGACTCAGAGGCTATCTCTTAGTGAGAGAGCTAGGGTCCTAGATCTATTACAGAATAAAATTGTAGTGACAAGTGAGTAATAGGGCTCAATAAAACCCATGCTGTATGATTTGCTCGAAAAGTAGAGAGCTTGCTTGGCGTGTACCATATGATACTCAGTGCAAAGCACATGTTTATCTTAGAGGTGTGAAGTTCTCTGGTTCACAATAATGTTTTGCAGCTTTGAGTGAGCATTGCTAGAAATCTGGTATAAACAGGGGAATTGTGAGATTAAAAGCTTGCATTTTATGAATGCACTAATATTGGTATGGAAGTATCTTACACAGTCTGCCAACCACATTTTCAGAAAGAAAACTGTTTTACTCTACCTATGGCATTCATGGTCTTGAAATGACTTTTTAATATTTCTATGTTTTATCATTCTCATCTCTCCATGGAAATTAATGAAAGTTACCACCTTCTAAGATTGTTCTAAAGATTTAAGGGTGGTAAATGCATGATGGCACTAGCTCAGTAAGGTACAAACAAACAAACAAAATAATAAAATAAGCCATTTTTGGAGCTAAATAAATAAATATCATTGCTACTTAAGTGGTGGAAGGCCTTCATGCAGTAGTAATATTGCAAAGACTGGTACCAGACTCAGCATCTATTTAACTTGACTACAATCCTGTGCTTCTTTGATGCTGATAAGGTAGTTCTAACAATAATAAGAAGGGTTTTGTCTGTCCTCAGTATTGAGGCTTATTTGAAGATCTGAGCAAGGCTTTTTATAAGGCGGATGTTGGCCAAAATGTTTGCTATGATAGGCCATAAGTTTAGGGAAGACACAGATGTTGTGGGAAAAGGTAGGTTCTAGAAAGAATAGCCCCAAAAGTCAGGGAATCAGGAAAAGAACTTTCCTTCTAATGTCAGCAGAAATCCGGATGAAACACTTTAAGCAGGGGTTTCGTAGTGTTAATTTCTCTCAAGGGTGCAGCAATCTATCTGTAGCCACACCACTCCAGCACCTACTTTATGTTGAAATGTCTGCTTGTATCTTGGAAAGATTTCCAAAAGGAGAAACAAAGGGCTTTTCTTCCAGGGTTTTACACATACCAAGATTTATGAAACACCTGTCAGTGAGAAACAGAAGTCGGGGAATACATAACTAAGCTTCACAAAAAACCTCAGCCAATAAAGCTGAAAAATTGGTATAACCTGGCTTTGTGATTAGCTAGGTAGTGAGTAGAGGTTCATGACCCACAGGAAATAAATCAGAAGCAACACCAGGCTTGGTTAAAAAATAAAAACTCAACCTCAACCTAAGTAATTTCTCATCTTTCCAGGGTCTTGCATTTTGTGGATGCTTAATGAATGCATATGCAAAGCACCAGGCAGTTATTTAAATATTTCAGGATATTGGTTTCATCTGCTTTTCCCCATGCTAAGCTGCATTCAGCTAAACATTCCATGACTCCTTCTGCATTCATTAAACTGACAAAGAACCTGAGATAAAAGGTCATGCAACTCTGTGAGGCCCAAGTGAGAGGTTCCCACAGCATCCTGTGAGGGCTATCACATTGTACTCTACTTTGTTCTCTACTTCTCTGTATCATCCACGCAGTTTTACAATCTATGTGGGTCTAGAAATTGAGTCTATTTTAACCCAGCAGGCAAATGAGCAGAACAAGACTATGACAGAAGCAAAGATATCCATCCAGGAGAACTCCCTGTGTACACCTAACTCATTGTTTCTAACAGCAGATCTCCTGTTGAGACCAAAGCTGTCTTTGAAACAGAGGGTCTCAAGGTGCCTAGTTTGGGTAAGTGGGAAGCAGGGTGACCACAGATCTCCACGACATCACTGTGTCCTCGTCTAGGCTCACTTTCTTGTGCCAGATTAGATAAAATAGAAGGAAGCATAATGGTTTTACTCAATTGCAGTGAATTAGCTCAGAAGGTAGTGTCGTGGGTTCTATAACCCAGCGGTAAAGAGATTGGTTTCCATATCACTTGTGTTTTTGTTTGTTGTTGGATTTTTTTAGTTGGTTAGTTTGTTTTGGGGTGTTTTTTGTTGTTGTTTTATCTCCCTGTAGAACATAAATTCAATAATGGAAGAAAATTTTGCTGTTTTATTCAATGTTCTTTCTCCAATACCTAGAAAAGTACCTGAAATGCAGTAATGACTCAACATTTGTGGACAGAATGAATGCACGAACAGAGAAATAAATTTAAAATATGTTGCGATATCCAATATTTCCTGTAGGGGGAGATAGTCACCATGAAATAGAAATTTCACTCATTTCAATTTGAAATAAATTCTGAAATCTTGCATTGAAGAAAAGTATTTTTTTTAGTGTTGGAATTGCTGCTTTGTTGCTGGTTCAGAAACACAGATGTGCTTTCTTTGTCACAAAATTAAGTACACTTTTGTCAAATTGATACATTTTACAAAAATGTTATAAATACGATATATCTGAACATATGCCCAACAGGGGCCCTGTGGCTTAGCTGGTCAAAGCGCCTGTCTAGTAAACAGGAGATCCTGGGTTCGAATCCCAGCGGGGCCTTACGTGTTCAATTTTATATTTTCAATAGTATGTTGCAAATACATATGTTGAAAATGCATTAAGGAATTTATAGGTTGTGAAATCCGTATTGAGCGATTAGCACAATTATGGAGAGTCCCTTGCAGGTAACTGCATCACAATATGAAAGGGTTGGGATGAAGGGAAAAATTAATAAAGTTTCTGTTGGTAAAAAGCAATGGGTTTGCTGATGACAGGTAAGACTGGGGATATACAAGTTGTACAAAAAAAAAATCTTGTAATACATAGTAGAGAGTAACATTTCAAATTCTGTTGTAGACGTTCAGTCTCCAGCCTCTTAACCTTGATAGCCATCATTTTCAGCTACATGATAGATTTTGATTATCAGTGTCAGGCAAATAATTAATAAGTCATGGCATTTTGTTTGGAGTCTGATTCACTTTGATTTTTGAAAACAAGAGAGCAACAGTGCAATTTATATTCTCACCATTTCTGTTTTGTATGACCCTAAGAATTGTCTTATTTGTGCATCTAGGATCTAGGGACTCAATGATATCTCGAGGAAATAAATCACAAATGAATGAAGACTTTCCTGAATCTTAAGTGGCATTGCAGTTCATAAACTAAAGTGTACCCTCTACAGCACTGGCCTACTCATTAGGCTTCTCAGTTTTATCTAAAGAGATTTCAAATGTTATTATCAGAGTTCTACCAGAGTCATAGTCTTTTCACTGCTGTAAAAGTAGTCCTGCACTGTGCCTGAAATCATTTATACTTCAGAGTAAATCTGAATTCTGCTTTCTCATTTTATTCATAGCAGTTCTCTCCCACCTACTTTCAAAGGAATGTGAGCAAAAGAGATTGTCACAAGCCTCAGCTTCACTTCTAAGAAAACTGATATTTAAAGGATCCTGAAAATTGGAATGCTGCTATTGAAAAATTTGTAAACAATTGATTAAGCTATGTCTTCAAAGTTTAAGTATAAAAATACAAACTTGAATACTACAGTATTCTCTCCTTCTTGCAAACTAAATTCAAAGAAGGCTGAAAATATCTTAAGATTTATATATTACATGTCATAGTGTTATTCTTGCTCTACGCTTACTAAAAGCTCAGAGAGGAACAAATATGTTCTCAGGTACATTTCAGTTAAGTGGCCCTAAACAACCTGTGTCTGAAATATTAAGTGGAACACACAAATCACATACCAAACTCTCACTACCTGACACCTGTCAGTTACTCCAAACTCAACCTACACATTGAAAGGAAGCTTCAGGTCCGGTGCGGTGGCTCACGCCTGTAATCCCAGCACTTTGGGAGGCTGAGGCAGGTGGATCACAAGGTCAGGAGTTCAAGACCAGCCTGACCAACATGGTGAAACTCCGTCTCTACTAAAAATACAAAAATTAGCCGGGCATGGTGGCATGCGCCTGTAATCCCAGCTACCCAGGAGGCTGAGGCAGGAGAATCGCTTGAACCCAGGAGGCAGAGATTGCAGTGAGCCGAGATCGTACCACTGCACTCCAGCCTGGGCAACAGAGCCAGACTCCATCTCAAAAAAAAAAAAAAGAAAAAGTAAAAGAAAAGAAATGGAAAAGAAAAGAAAGGAAGCTTCCTCCATTATTAACATATTTGCAGACTGTCTCACAGCCTGGTTTTGAAAGATGAGGAAGTAGAATTCTCCCTTCCCCCTGTTATATTTATGAAAGAAGGGAGAAGTAAATTAAGAGGAATGACAGAAGATGACACAGAATATATGGTGTCAATGTTATTTAAAGCTTTGCAAAATAACAGAGATTCAGTGAATAATTTTTATAGTGACATGAAATATTCTTAGAAAGACAATGATTAAAAGGAATTCAAGAAAGCAAGATAAACAAGAAAGTAAGATAAGATAAATAAAACAAACCAAAATAAACAAAAGATTTGCTGGGTTTGGTGGCTTATGCCTGTAATCCCAGTACTTTGGGAGGCAGGCGGATCACCTGAGGTCAGGAGTTTGAGACCAGCCTGGCCAACATGGTGAAACTCCGTCTCTATTAAAAATACAAAAATTAGCCAGGCATGGTGGTGTGCACCTGTAATCCCAGCTACTCGGGAGGCTGAGGTACGAGAATCACTTGAGCCCAGGAGGCGGAGGTTGCAGTGAGCCAAATCACACTACTGCACTCCAGCCTGGGTGACAGAATGAGACTGTCTCAGAAAAAAAAGCCTTCAAGCAAAACAAAACAAAACAAAACAAAAACAAACACTTGAAAATAAAATATCTGACAGTTTATGAGCAGTAGCTTTGGTTTTTAAAGATATCGATTTATAAATCAAATCTTGAAATATGATGTTTTAATGACTTTTTAAATAATTTTCTGTACTCTAGAGCAGGCAGAACATTCTTCACACAGAGCATTTCATCTCAAAAGCTTTCTGCTCTTTGTTTTAATTCTCCGGTGGCCATCAATTCACTTCTCAGAAGACTAATATTTAAAGGACCACGCGAATTGGAATGCTGCTATTGAAAACCTTATAAGGAATTGATTAAACTGTGTCTTCAAGGTTTAAGTACCTAAAAATACAAACTTGGCATGCTTGTTCCATTAGCAAACCATCCCAACACATATTTTTATTTGTATTTATTATTAGTATATATTTGATATTAAACAAGATGCAATAAGCCATAATTTCAGTTATTTATTTAAATGTTAACTTAGTCACAACTTTACTTTGTTCATTTGAATCTAGCATTTCTAGGCCAGTGGTTTACAATTGGAGATTTGCATCACTTACCTATGGAGTTTTATTAATATGCAAATATTTTAGGACCTACTCCAAGCTTACCAAATCTCCGTTTGACATTATTAATATATTTTTTATGTTTTTATTTTTATTTTTTTAGAGACAGGGTCTCACTCTGTCACCCAGGCTAGAGTGCAGTAGCATGATCATACCTCATTGTAACCTCAAACTCCTGGGCTCAAGCAATCCTCCCATCTCAGCCTCCCAAAGTGCTGGCATTACAGGTGTGAGCCACTGCACCAGCCTTTATTGATATATTCTTGGCATAATCTTATCATGTGGTAATATCTTTGTGGTATATCATGTTGTATCTTAAGACTTTTTTCTTTGTAAAAATTATGTTCATCCACTTTAATAAATTAAATGCAATGTCTACTCTTGTCTTTGAAAATATAATTAATCAGTATGTTCATAACTATTTTGTCTAAAATTGATTTTGGATTGGCTTTATTGTCTTCTTTTACAGGCCACAGAAAAACCAAAACTCCTTATTAGTGTCATTATTTGTATTATGAACTCTCATCAGATATTTCACTTTTTTTTTTTCTTGAGGTGAAGTCTTGCTCTGTCACCTAGGCTGGAGTGCAGTGTGGTGATCTCGGCTCACTGCAACCTCTGCCTCCCAGGTTCAAGCAATTTTCCTGCCTCAGCCTCCCAAGTAGCTGGGATTACAGGCATGTGCCATCATGCCCAGCTAATTTTTATATTTTTAGTAGAAGCGGGGTTTCATCATGTTGGCCAGGCTGGTCTCGAACTCCTGATGTCAGGTGATCCACCCGCCTCTGCCTCCCAAAGTGCTGGGATTACAGGCATGAGCCACCGCGCCCAGCCAGATCTTTCACTTTTGAAAATTGTAAGTAATAGATTAACTATAACCATTTTAAGTCTTTTGTCATCTACATATAGTTATTTTGTTTTACTTTGATGCTGCATTGAAAGCCCTTGCAATTAGCTATAGGCCAGAGTGCTTTATCTTCAACAAAGAAGAACTCTCAAAACCTTATGGAAAAAGACTATGCCAGGTACTTTTGGGTACAGGCTTCTGAGGGCATCACTTAAGCAACTTTAAGACCATATCATTCTACCAAGGCAGCATTTCCAAACTCTAGTCAAGAAACACATGGTCTCATGAGAATGTGCTAGGGAAATAAAACAATCCTGCCAACAAAAATACCCTTCTGTACCAATAGAAGAAAGAACATCCTTTATTGAGTGTGCATTAACAGATGTACATGTATGTAAGGCAGCATAAAGGTGATGACAAAATTAGAACAAAATCTCACTCATCTTACATAGCAAAGCTGAAAAAAGAACAATAATTCCTCTTAACTTCTTGAAAAGCAAAGAGCTGCACCTCATGACACTCTCCCATTCATCTTTGAGAGAGACCCCTGACCTAATTCTAGAGCTACCTTTTCTACATATCTAAAGTTTATTTGGTCCACCAGCTTGGAAATAGCCCTACATTGCAAAATCTGGAGACTAGGTTTAATCTTTTTTTTTTTCTTTTCTTTTCTGAGATAGGCTCTCCCTCTGTTGCCTAGGCTGGAGCACAGTGGCGTGATCATAGCTCACAGCAGCCCCAAATTCTCCAACTCCTGGGCTCAAAGGATCCTCCCCACCTCAGCCTCTCAAGTAGCTAGGACTACAGGTGTACATCACTACATCCAAGCATTTTTTTTTTTCCTTTTACAGATGGGGGTATCACTATGTTGCACAGAGGCTGATCTCAAACTCCTGGGCTCAAGCGATCCTCCCGCCTTGGCCTCCTAAAATGTTGAGATTACAGGTGTGAGCCACTGCACCTGGCCTAATCTTTAAAAATACTAATCTCTGCTGAAGATTAGCATAAGGACTCAGACTCACTATGTCTACAAGGAAACTCTATAAAGAGAAATGGGCACTTTGCCATACATGAATGGAGAACATAATTTTCATTTACCCTTACAACTGCTAACTGGAGATCCAGTGGGGCCAGAATTAATTACCTAGAACTACATGAATTTATGAGGGATGGTTGTAGTTATTATTTAGAATATTTTTGATGTCTTTTTAGTGTTCTATTTTCTGAATGCATAAAAAAGCACTTTCTCTTTCCTCTCTTTTTTTTTTTTGAAACGGAGTCTCGCTCTGTTGCCCAGGCTGGAGTGTAGTGGCACAACCTCGGCTCACTGCAACCTCCGCCTCCTGAGTTCAAGTGATTGACCTGCCTCAGCCTCCCAAGTAGCTGAGAGTGCAGTGATGCGATCTCCGCTCACTGCAACCTCTGCCTCCCGGGTTCAAGCGATTTCCCCGCCTCAGCCTTCCGAGTAGCTGGGACTACAGGCGCGCGCCACAGTGCCCGGCTACTTTTTTGTATTTTAGTAGAGACGGGGTTTCACCATGTTGGCCAGGATGGTCTCGATCTCCTGACCTCGTGATCCGTCCGCCTCAGCCTCTAAAAGTGCTGGGATTACAGGCGTAAGCCACTGCTCCTGGCCGATTTTTTGTTTGTTTGTTTTGTTTTATTTTGTATTTTTAGTAGAGACGGGGGTTTCACCATGTTGACCAAGCTGGTCTTGAACTCCTGGCCTCAAGGATCCACCCACCTCGGCCTCCCAAAGTGCTGGGATTACAGGCATGAGCCACCGCGCCCGGCCTCTCCTCTTAAGCTATCTATGTTATGAGCCATTTACTCATAACAATTTAGCAGACTTTGCTTTTGTAAACTAAAATTAAACATTTGTAAATATCTTATTGTCCCTACCTGACCTCTCTAAAATTGGGAAACTCTTATTAAGTATTCTTATTTTCATGGCATTATAGGTATTTGCATAGGTTCAGTAAGAATCTGTCCTTTTTTTCACTAGGACATAATTGGAAACACTGGTCATGCAACCAAGGCTTTGCCTCAAATGTCGCATTTGAAAATGGTGTTCATTTGATCAGGTATAACCACACATTTTTTAAAAAGTAAGGTTGACGTTATGGAGACTTACAAAGCAATCTCCAGGAAACTAGCCTGATACCTTGTTTCCAGTGTTCCTAGCCTTCTAAGTGAGTGTCTATAGAAGGACATTTCCTGGCAGGCCCAAGAAACTCAGAATGTTTTAGGGACTTTGAGAAGAGAGGTATTCACTCAAATTTACAAGTACTGCAGGTTAAATCTGGTCATGAGGTCTTGGCTTCTGAACAAGCAACTAAGAACGAAAACAAATAATAAGAGTCTTTATTTAAAGTCCAATCTGTGACTCCTTGTGAAAACTTCCAGCAAAGCAAACTTAAGACAGCCTATATGCTTCACAGATGTAATCAGGTCAAATTAATGACCTCATTCTTATTTTATGACGAAGAATATTATCCTTTTTTTGACAAGAATATTCTTTTGAGATTATTTTTGGTCAAAAGAGGGTAAGTCTGTAAGAAAATAATTTTGTTTCAAATGAAAACTATGCATCGTCTAAATACAGCATATGCTTCTGGGATATCAGGTTCTAGCCTTTTATTATCTTTGAGTTATTTTACAGTTTTTTGTAAATTAATAGGCATGCAAATTCTATCTTGTCCAGTACAGTTTCAGTTGATTTCTGACATGGTTTGGATGTTTGTCCCCTCCAAATCTCATGCTGAAATATGATCCCCAATGTTGGAGCTGGGGCCTGAGGAAGTGTTTGAGTCATGAGGGTAAATACTTCATGAATGACTTGGTGCCCTCTCCTCAGTAATGAGTTTGTGTGAGAGATCTGGTTGTTAAACCTGAGCGTTCTCACGAGGAATCTCAGATTGGACTTTAAAAAGAGACCAGGACTTTCCTTCTCTCTCTCTTGCTCCCTCTCTCACCATGAGGCGCCTGCTCCTGCTTCACCTTCCCCATGAGTAAAAGCTCCTTTTGGCCTCACCAGAAGCTGAGCAGATGCTGGTGCCATGCTTGTATAGCCTGCGGAACCATGAGCCAAATAAACCTCTATTATTTATAAATTATCCAGCCTCAGCTATTCCTTGATAGCAACGCAAAATAGACTAACACAACTTTCCTCCCACAGTGGAAAAACCAGTTTTCTCTCCATTTCCAATGTAATTCTTCTACTCCATATAAATTTGTGTTTTTTGACTTTCCCTTTAAACTGGTTATAACATCTGTCTGATTCCTTCACTGAATCAGCAAAATAAGATATTTAATCTGTATTCATTATTTTTATTGAGATAAAATTTACATAACATAAAATTAATCATTTTAAATTGTACAATTCAGTGGCATTTAGTATGTTTACAATGTTGTGCAGTCATCATTTCTATCCACTTCCAAACATTTTAATCACCTCAAAAGCAAACTCTATACTCATTAAGCAGTCACTCCCCATTGTTCTTTTCCCCAAATCCTGGCAACCATTAATCTAAGTTCTGTGTGTATGAATTTACCTATTCTGGATATTTCATTAAATGGAATCATACACTGTCAGCCTTCTATTGCTTAGCATAATGTTTGAGGTTCATCTGTGTTGTGTATATATGAGTACTTCATTACTTTTTATGCTGAATAATATTCACTGTATAGATGTACCATATTTTCCTTGTGCCTTTATCAGTTGATGGATATTTGTGTTGCTTCCACCTTTTGGCTATTGTGACAGTAATACTATAAATATTCATGTACAGGTATTTGTTTGAAAACCTGCTTTTAAATCTATTGATTATATGCATAAGGGTGGAATTGTGAGTTCATATGGTAATTCTATGTTTAACTTTTTAAGGAACTACTAAACTTTTCTACAGTGGCTGCACCATTTTACATTCCCGTTAGCAATGTATGAGAGTTCCAGTTTCTCCATATTCTCGCCAACACTTGTTATTACCTGATTTTTTAATTCTAGTCATCCAAGTAGGTATGGAGTGGTATCTCACTAATTTGCATTTCCCTAATAATTAATAATGTTGATCATCTTTTCATGTGCTTGTTGGTCATTTGTATATCTTCTTTGAAAGAATTCCTAGTCAAGTCTTTTGCCCAATTTTTAATTGGTTTGTTTTCTTTTTGTTGTTGAGTTGTAAGGGTTTTTAAAAATATACTCTGGACACTAGACCCTTACCAGATATATGATTTATAAATATTTTGTCATTCTTTTTTTTTTTTTTTTTAAGACAGAGTCTCACATTGTCGCCCAGGCTGGAGTACAGTGGCATGATCTCCTCTAACTGCAACCTCCACCTCCCAGGTTTGAGCGATTCTCCTGCCTCCCGGCTAATTTTTTACATTTTTAGTAGTGATGGGATTTCACTACATTGGCCAGGTTGGTCTTGAACTCCTGACCTCATGATCCACCCACCTTGGCCTCCCAAAGTGCTGGGATTACAGGTGTGAGCCACCACACCCGGCCTTTCTGTTATTCTTTAGGCTGCCTTTTCACTCTTCTGATATGTCCTCTGATCCACAAAAGTTTCTAATTTCAAGAAGTCCAATGTGCCTATTTTTCCTTTTGTTGCATGTGCTTTTAGTGTCATATCTATGAAGCCATTGTCACATTGATGGTCATGAAGATTTATTCCTATTTTTTCTTCTAGGAATTTTGTAGTTTTAGCTCTTCCATTTAAGTCTTTGATCCATTTTGATTTAGATTTTCCATATGGTACAAGGTAGGGATCCACTTTCATAGTTTCACCTGTGAATTTTCAGTTATTCCAACCCCATTTGTTGAAGAGATTATTCTTTCTCTCATTGAATTGTCTTGCTGGTCCTTGTCAAAAATTAACTGGTCATAGGTATACGGCTTTATTCCTGAACTCTCATTGATCTATATGTATATATGCCAGCACTGCACCATTTTTATTATTGTAGTTTTGTGGTATCTTTAGAAATCAGAAAGCACAAGTTCTCCAACTTTGTTTTTCTTTTCTTTTTTTTTTTTTTTTTTTTTTGAGATGAAGTCTCACTCTGTCGCCCAGGTTGGAGTGCAGTGGCATGGTCTTGGCTCACTGCAACCTCCACCTCACAGGTTCAAGTGATTCTCCTGCCTCAGCCTCCCAAGTAGCTGGGACTACAGGTACATACTACCACACCTGGCTAATTTTTGTATTTTTAGTAAAGACAGGGTTTAACCACGTTGGCCAAGCTAGTCTTGAACTCCTGACCTCAAGTGATCTGCCCACCTCAGCCTCCCAACGTGCTAGGATTACAGACGCGAGCCACCACGCCCAGCCTGTTTTTCTTTTGATTGCAATAACATATGAATTTTAGAATCAGCCTTTCCATTTCTGCAAAAAAAAAAAGTTATTAGGATATTAATAGGGATTGCATTAAACCTTTAGATAGCTTTGGGGCAGAATTGCCATTTTAATAATACTAAGTCTTCCAATCTTTGAACATGGGATATTGTGATGGTTAATTTTATGTGTCAACTTGGCTAGACCACAGTACCCAAACATTTAGTTAAATACTATTCTAGATATTTCTGTAAAGGTATTTTTTGGGTGGGATAAGCATTTATATCTGTAGACTTTGAGTCAGATTGCTCTCCATAATGTGAATGGGCCTCATTCAATCAGTTGAAGAGAAAAAAAACTGATGTTTCCTAAGGAAAAAAGAATTCTGTCAGCAGAATGCCTTCAGACTCCAGCTGTATGATCAATTCTTCCCTGGGTCCCCAGCCTGCTGCCCTACCATGAAGGTTTTTTTTTTTTTTTTTTTTTTTTTTTTTTTTTGAGAAGGAGTCTCGCTCTGTCACCCAGGCTGGAGTGCAGTGGCGCGATCTCTGCTCACTGCAAGCTCCGCCTCCTGTGTTCACGCCATTCTCCTGCCTCAGCCTCCCAAGTAGTTGGGACTACAGGCGCCCGCCACCATGCCCGGCTAATTTTTGTTGCTGTTGTTGTTGTTGTTGTTGTATTTTTAGTAGAGACGGGGTTTCGCCGTGTTAGCCAGGATGGTCTCTATCTCCTGACCTCGTGATCCGCCGGCCTCAGCCTCCCAAAGTGCTGTGATTACAGGCGTGAGCCACCGCGCCCGGCCACCATGAAGGTTTTAAACTTGTTTCCACAGTTGCAGAAATCAATTCCTGAAAATAAATCCCCCCTCCTATATACATACACACACACACACACACACACACACACACACACATCCCATTGGCTCTGTTTCTGGGGAGAACCTTCACTAACACACATGCCTTTTCTTTTATTTACATCTTCTTTAATTTCCTATTAAAAAAATAAAAGTTTCTTCCTAATTCTAATTAAGAATGTTCTTACCTTAGGAAAGTGAAAGAACTCTAGTTAGGGCTTGCAGAGGTACTAAACCAACACACCTTTTATCCCAACCTCAACCCTGGAAAGATAAAGCAAAGTGAAAGAAAATGCACAGCAAAATAGATATAATCCTGAAGATTTTTAAAGAATAATTTTTTAAAATTAAACATTATGCAAATACGTGCCACACTTGCTTTGTCCATGCATATGCGCTATACACAATTTTGAAAAATACTGTGTTGTCCTCTTGTTTTAAAAGTTATATACAGGCCGGGCACGATGGCTCACGCCTGTAAATCCCAGCTCTCTGGGAGGCCGAGGCGGCGGATCACCTGAGGTCAGGAGTTCGAGACCAGCCTGACCAACGTGGTGAAACCTTGTCTCTACTAAAAATACAAAAATGAGCAGGGCGTGGTGGCACGTGCCTGTAATCCCAGCTACTCAGGAGGCTGAGGCAGGAGAATCGCTTGAACGTAGGAGGCGGAGGTTGCAGTGAGCCGAGATCACATCACTGCACTCCAGCCTGGGTGACAGAGCGAGACTCTGTCTAAAAAAAAAAAAAAAAAGTCATATACAAAATTTTGTTTTGTTTTGTTTTGTTTCGTTTCTTGCTGCCTAGCCCCTTCGTCATCCCAAGATTTTCTTTACAAGGACCTGAGCATAATTCACTCATTACCTTGGGGTATGAGGGCAAGAGTCAGACTGTGTGGTGGGGGTGTGTTTGTGTAGGGGAGGAGGGGAAGAGGCCTTTTATCGAATTACAACAAAATGTCTGGTTTGGACATGAAAAGCAGTGTCAAGGAGCTGTTTGAAATTTTAACTGTTCTATACTCAGGAAAAAGAAAAAAGAAGTCAGCTTTGAGAATGAAGCTATGTTACAAGTTAAAGCTGGAGGGCTTTTAGTGTGTCTGTTACAGCTTCCTTTTCTTTTTCTTTTTCGGTTTTTTTTTTTAAAGGCAGGGTCTCATATCTGTCACCCAGGCCGGAGTGTAGTGGCGCGATCTCGGATCACTGCAGCTTCTGCCTCCTGGGTTCAAGAGATTCTCATGCCTCAGCCTCCTGAGTCGCTGGGATTAAGGGAGCACACCACTATGCTTGGCTTTTTTTTTTTTTTTTTTTTTTTTTTTTTTTGTATTTTTAGTAGAGATGGGTTTTGGCCATGTTGTCCATGGCTGGTCTCAAACTCCTGACCTCAAATGATCCACCCACTTCGGCCTCCCAAAGTGCTGGGAATACAGACCTGAGCCACCGTGCCTGGATGTCTGTCATAGTTTTGTTGGTGGCCTAGAGTACTGTTGTACAATGTTTTATCTACCTTTTCATTAAAATATAATTTACTTAAACTTTGCATCAACAAGACTTCTGGTACTACAGACCAGCGGTGTCAGAATAGGCTTAGTGCCTCCTTGTTGATATTTGTTTTGTTTGTTTTAATTGCAATGAGCACTCTAACATCTTTAATCTCTTTCAGCAATGTTTTGTATTTTCCAGAGTACAATTCTTGCATCTCCTTGGTTAAATTTATTCTGAAGCATTTTATTCTTTTCGATCGTATGCTTATTTTTATATCTGTATGAGAGCTACGGATTTAGCTTTTTCTGAAAGTCATCTTTTAACAAATGAATATGTAATTTCCTTTGATCAACAGAGTGTTATGGATCCCCTACTTGAAGACTCTTTGGAATATCACATGGCTTCATATAGAGTTTTATTCACATTATTAAAGTAAAGGTGTAATCTTCTCTCTCTCTCTCCAATCCTGCTTATATACTTCCTATCCTCAGTTGTGGGATGAACTTAAATGGTCTAGATTCAGCCGGGCGCGGTGGCTCTTGCCTGTAATCCCAACACTTTGGGAGGCCGAGGTGGGGGTGGGGTTATCACCTGAAGTCAGGAGTTCGAGACCAGCCTGGCCAACATGGCAAAACCCCGTGTCTACTAAAAATACAAAAATTAGCCGGGCATGGTGGCGGGTGCCTGTAATCCCAGCTACTCGGGAGGCTGAGGCAGGATAATCACTTGAGCCTGGGAGATGGAGGATGCAGTGAGCCAAGATCACACCACTGTACTCCAGACTGGGCGACAAGATGGAAACTCTGTCTCAAAAAAAAAAAAAAGTTTTATTTCTGTACAGCATATAATGCTGTTTGAAAGCATTACAAGTGTTGCTAAATTAGACATCTCCAAGGCATATCAAGTGAAAAAAGCAGAATGTAAAATAGTGTGTATAATGTTATATTTTACATAAGTAGAAAGGAAAAGTAAAATGTATTATGTATATTTGCACCTATTGCACAAAGAACACTAAGGAGAATACATAGGAAACTAAGAAGAATTGTCATATATAGGAGGTAGTGCTGAGAACTGAGCAGATGTGGGTTATGAGGAAGAAGAAAATCTTCACTTTTAGTTACTGTTTATGTGAATGTATTAACTTTTCATATATATGCATATCTATATCCTTAATTTTTAATGGATCCTAAGAAGCTCCCTCTTTTTTTTCATTCTTACTGTGTTGATGTTGAAAATTATTGTCCCTCATTTTGAAACCATATTTCATCTTACACTGCACTGAAGAGAGGAAGATAACCCAGGATAGATAGTAGGAAGTGTGGGTGGGTTAACAATTTCTTGTTTTGTTAGTTTTTCTATTACTTCCTTAACAAACTACCACAAATTTAATAGCTTAAAACAACATCCATTCATTATCACACAGTTCTGTGCGTTATAAGTCTGGCAGGGTGTCATCAAACTAATACCAAAACGTCAGCAGGCCCGGCCATGTTCCTCATGGAGGCTCTAGGGGAGAATTCGTTTTCAAACTCACTCAGGTTGTCAGTAGCATTCAGTTCCCTGCAGCTGTAGGACTGAGATAACGGTTTACAGGTTGTTCACAGTTTCTAGCAGATGCCTGAGTTCTCTGGCTGGTGGCTCCCTTCGTTTTCAAAGTCAGCAACTACCTGTGGAATCCTTCTTATACTTAAATCTGTATATATCATCTAATATACAATGGACTAAGTAGTAGGTACTCTTCATTAATTTATTCTAAAGAAATCTTTTTCAGTCGCTGACTTTGAGCTACTTACTGTTTTTGACGTGAAAAATCACAGCACTGAGCAAAACAGAGGGAGCCCCTTCCCTTTGTGATTCGCCCACTATGTCCTTGGCGCTGTTTTTGAGCCATTATTTACCTCATTATTTATCAATATTGTTAATGTCATTTTCATAGCAACCCATGTTTTAAAATAAGAGAAGGGTAAAAATATGTTGGGAGGATGAAGAGTGAAGGAAGAAATGTAAATGAGACACGTGCCAGGCACACGGGGACCCAGTGACCAGACTCCAAGAAAGCGCAGGACAGGGCTGGGCGCGGTGGCTCACGCCTGTAATCCCAGCACTTTGGGAGGCCGAGGCGGGCGGATCACGAGGTCAGGAGATCGAGACCATCCCGGCTAAAACGGTGAAACCCCGTCTCTACTAAAAATACAAAAAATTAGCCGGGCGTAGTGGCGGGCGCCTGTAGTCCCAGCTACTTGGGAGGCTGAGGCAGGAGAATGGCGTGAACCCGGGAGGCGGAGCTTGCAGTGAGCCGAGATTGCGCCACTGCACTCCAGCCTGGGCGACAGAGCGAGACTCCGTCTCAAAAAAAAAAAAAAAAAAGAAAAAGAAAAAAAGAAAAAAAAAAAGAAAGCGCAGGACAGAAAGAGCGAGGTGCTAAGACTTAGAGTGGACCCAGAGGCTCTGGCCCTCCTGTCTCCCACCACGCACTCCATTTTTGTCACATTTCAAACCTATCGCTTTTACGATATATGTTCAAAAATTGTTTAATGAACTGTAAATGGCTTGGTAAGGGCCGCATCGTAAATGGCTTGGTATGGGCCACATCGAGAACAGCTGTCAAATATAAGCCTAAGGCTAACCACGGATCTATTTTAACACTGAGCAGTTGTGGCTGAGTGTCTGGAGCTTGGCAGAAAGCAACGTCACAAGTCTGGCTTTTTCCCACGTAGACTGAACCCTCGCCCTCAAAGCTACAAACACAACAATTTAACCAACTGAGTGATCAACTAGGAGAAGAATCAATATGATCTCTTTCAAAAGCTTAAAATATGTCAAAATAGTATTATCTCAGAAAGTTTTTTTTTCCCAAAATAATACAAGACATTATCGAATTCTTATTTAACCCTTTTCTAAAATCACCCACCCACCTCATTGAATTTCCTTTAAAAAATCTTCATCCTGGCCGGGCGCGATGGCTCATGCCTGTAATCTCAGCACTTTGGGAGGCCAAGGCAGGCGGATCACCTGAGGTCAGGAGTTCAAGACTAGCCTGGCCAACATGGTGAAACTCCGTCTCTACTGAAAATACAAAAATTACCCAGGCATCGTGGCACACGCCTGTAATCCCAGCTACTTGGGAGGCTGAGGCAGAAGAATTGCTTAAACCTGGGAGGCGGAGGTTGCAGCGAGCCAAGATCGCGCCGCTGCACTCCAGCCTGGGCGTCAGAGCAAGACTCTGTCTCAAAAACAAACAAAACAAACAAATAAGAAAAACCTTTTCATCCTAACTCGTATATTATTTCTTCAAAAGAATAAAAAACGTGCAAATCTAATGCTTGTCTAGCTATTGCGACCACATTTACAAATGGATAGGCAGCGCTCCGGAGTTGGATGTAAGACGGTAGTATACAATCCAGGTGTGGTCGATTTAAGAAAAAAAAAAAAGAAAAAAGAAAAAAATTCCTGTCTAGCTAGTGCAACTACATTTATAAATGGATAGGCGAGGCTACGGAGTTCGATGTAAAACCGAAGTTTACAAGCGAGGTGTGGTCGGTGTAAAATAAAAACGAAAAAGAAGAAAAAAAAAAAAAACAAACCCACGGAAGTGGCCCGTACGGGGATCGAACCCGCGACCTTGGCGTTATTAGCACCACGCTCTAACCAACTGAGCTAACCGGCCTCCTTGGTGGGAGGGTCTTTTCTTATGTTTATTTAAATCATACCTGATCCATGCCCGCTGAATTTTTTTTTTTTTGTAATAGAAGCGTTACTTTCCCTTTTATTAATAAAATATATTTTTTTTTAAGAAAAGGAGAATTCCTCACTGTAGGCACAGGAAAACCATGCTGTTTCAGGGAAAACAATCTCAAACCACTGATTCTGACTGGAGAAAACTCAGATTCAACGACCCCAAGCAGGGCTTCCTTCCCCTCACCAGGTGAAGGACTCAGAACAAACCAAAAAGCAGCTCCAAGCTTGCGATCGCGGCCAGTTCCTCACGGAACCAACCGCAGAGCCGCCGCAGGTTCGCAGGATCGGAGGGTTCGGAGGACTCGGAGGGTGCGGATTCCTCTCTGCTCCTTGAGACCATTCCAGCCAGGTGGGCTCTTAGGCCTGGGAACCTGGGAAAGTGCACTGTCTCGCCTCCTGGCCTCGCGGTGGTTCCGCAGTCACCAGGACCCGAAATTCACAGCTGTGCGTCCTAAGCTTGCAGCTCCACAAACGATAAAATCAGACTTGGCCCTGCAGTGCCGGGCACCGGGCCCTTGGTGATGCTCGAGTGCCGGGCTGGCATCGGCGTAAATGAAAGGACCAGCGGGACGGCTCCTTTCAAGAGTCTCTGACTCCTTCCGTCCCGGGAAGACCAAGACACCCACATCTAAGACAAGGGAAGTCACCATTATCTACACCAATGATAAACGCCGGTATCTGGGAGGAACTGAGCCCAGGACCGGGTCAGGCAACTCAGAGTGTTGGGACAACTAAGTCCCTCTTCAAAGACTCAACTTTCTTGTCATAAGTTGCAAAAGTTGTACGTCAATCCTGCCTGCCCCCCGCCCCCCACCACACACATACACTCCTTTTTTTCGCAAATCCAGGGTTTACCCTATTTGCCAAAGTTTAAGTCTTAGCCAATCGGGATCAGCTTAGATTGTGCGGTCCAACCCCAGCCAATAGGGGAAGGACACAGAAACAGGAACTGCGTTAGGATTAAAAACTCCTTACCTCCTTTGTTTGGTGTGCTCTTGCAATTGTAACAGGCAAGGAGCACCCTTCTGCAGAAGTAAAGATGCCTTGCTGAGGAATTTTCTAAGTGAGGGTTTCTTTTGGCTACACCAAGCACTTGTTTCCAGTAAATCTTAGGGACTCGTCCGGGATCCCATTCTCCTTCGGGAGGGGCTAGCGATTATCTTTCATGGGGAGACGCGTCCCATTGCCTCGTGGTGGCCCCAGGAGCGGAGGATCGAGTCCCGCCCGAAGTGACGAATAAATCCGGACTCTCAGCAACGCGGACAGTAGGGAGGATCCTTAAGAATTCTGTGAGACCAGCTTGGTCAATACGGTGAAACTCCGTTTCTACTAAAAATACAAAAATTAACCGGGCGTGGTGGTGCGCGCCCTTAGTCCCAGCTACTTGGGAGGCTGAGGCAGGAAAATCACTTGAACCCGGGAGGCAGAAGTTGCAGTAAGCCGAGATCATGCCACTGCACTCCAGCCTAGGCAACAGAGCGAGACTCCGTCTCAAAAAAAAAAAAAAAAAGAATTCCATGGCGACCACAGGTAACTCTGTGCACAGACCAAGGTAAGAAACGTTGCTATTGGGGCGGCAAAGCCTTCCTTGGTGGTTGGGGTCTCTGGAGTTTTAAAGTGTGTGAGTGAGACATACCACTGGGCGCAAGGCGAGTGCGGAGTCCGGACTTGGTTCCGTGGTCACCTCATACGGCTTAGGGCGGTTTTCCAATCAGGGGATTCCACCTACCCGCCAATGCTAAGAGGTGCCTAAAATTCCCGCAAGGGAAGCAGCCAATAAGGACGAAGTGAGTGCTCACGAGAGTGCAAGAAACCTCCAGTGGAAAAAGGGGAGGTTGAGCCTCTAAGACACGGGAGTGCAAGAGATCTCTAATATTATATATTAAGCCTCACCAACCTCCAGGATGGGAAATAACCCCAAGTAAGACAGAGACTCTAAAAGGCCAAGCAGACAATAAAATTTCCCTCACAGTCCCCTAGGCCTAATGTTAAAATACTGGAAGGATAATGAAAGGACCAAACACAAGAAAAGACAGCAAATGATAAAGTACTGCTGTTTTATTTGGACTAAGGAACCCATCCTCAGACCTTCGGTCTTTTGGCCAAAGTTTGGGTGGGACGAGGACTGGATATGCCAACTCCTGATCCAGTATGTCAATGATAAAAGCCCAGTTTCTCAAGAGGAGATAGATTATGCTCTATGTTGGAGACAAGGACCTGTCCTTCTCTATCCCTTAAAGGACGAAAAAGCAAAGCCAAACTCAAAACCCCCCAAAGACGACCTAGCTAAGTCATATTCTATATCCAAAGATGCACGGGATCCTCTAGACCACCTTCCCCTGCCTACCTCTCCGCCCCGACTGAACAACAGCCCTTCCCGCACCTACCCCTCTGCCCCAAGCTAAAACTCCGTCCCTCCCCCATATAACCCTGCCCCATGGGCCTTGACACCACACACCCCCGTTGGACAGCCACTCGAACATGCCCCTCCCTTAGGAAAGCTCCAGTGGCAAATAGAACAATGCCAAAGGGATATTCAAAACTTTCCTTTCCTCTCTTCAAAGAAGTCTGCCCCAACCTTTTTTCCCTTGAGGGAAGTACCACTAGGAGGAGGGGATATTGGCTTCGTAAATGCCCCCCTTAGCTAGTGAAGAAGTTAGAAATCTAAAAAGGAGACTCAAACCACTGTTAGATGACCCTTTTGGAGTCTCAGATCAAATTGACCAATTTATGGGGCCACAACTGTATACCTGGGCTGAATTGATGTCTATTCTAGGTATTCTCTTCTTAGGAGAGGAAAGAACCATGATCTGCAAGGCTGCTATGATAGCCTGGGAGCGCAAGCACCCCCCTCGTCAGAATGTCCTTGCAGCAGAGCATAAATTCCCGGCCCAGGACCCTCAATGGGATAACAACAGTGCGGCTCACCGGGAAAACATGAGAGATAGGGATATGATAATTAAAGGGATTCAGGAATCAGTTCCTCCAACCCAAAACATTTCCCAAGCATTTAATGTACAGCAAGAGAAAGATGAAGGGCCCATGGAATTCTTAAACAGACTTAAGGAACAGATAAGAAAATACGCAGGTTTGGACATAGAGGACCCACTAGGACAAAGGATGTTAAAGCTCCACTTTGTCACCAATAGTTGGCCAGACACTATAAAGAAATTATAAAAGATAGAAAATTAGAAAGACTGTCCCATAGAGGAACTTTAAAGAGAGGTCCAAAAGGTATATGTACGGAGGGATGAGGAAAGGCAGAAGCAAAAGGCAAAAATTATGCTGTCCACCCTACAACAGGGAACTTTTCAACAGGCATCCCAGGGAAATAGAACTTGTAAACCTTCTGAGTACCAGGCTGCCAGACCCTATACAGGAAGCAAAGGGACGAAACCTGAGAATCAGGGAACCAGGAGGGGGAGAAGGAAAAACAGATGTTTCAGATGTGGAAAGCCAGGACATTTTAAGAGGAAATGTCCCGAATGGGAGAGGGAAAAGAAAGTCCTTTCACTCATGACATTTGAAGAACAGTGGGCTCAGGGGCTCTACGTCTTCCATCTTGAGTCCCACCAAGAGCCCTTGATAAATTTAACGGTGGGACCCAAATTGGAAATAGTCACTTTCCTGGTCAATTCGGGAGCAGCTGGCTCCTGCCTATGTTTTCTCCCATCAGATTTATCCTGTTCAGCCGAAGACCTTACTGTCTCAGGAGTTAAAGGGGAAGGATTCAGAGCAAAAATTCTAGAGGAAACCGAAGTCAAATATAAGAATAAGTCGGTTGCTACTAAGTTCTTCTTAATTCCTGAAGCAGGAACTAATTTATTAGGAAGGGACTTAATGTTAAGGTTAGGCACAGGCCTATATGTTAATCAAGGAAAACTCCTTACTTCCTTAAACGTACTCACCACTTCAGAAGAAAGCCGCATCCATCCCAACGTATGGTCGAAAGAAGGGAATCGAGGATGGGTTCCTCCAATCCATGTCAAATTAAAAACTCCTGGGGAAATAGTGAAACAAAAACAATACCCTATTCCCTTGGAAGCCAGGATAGGTTTATAACCTATAATTGAAAGCCTTGTCCACGAAAACAATACCCTATTCCCTTGGAAGCCAGGATAGGTTTAAAACCAGGATAGTTTTAAAACCTGTAATTGAAAGACTTGAACCCTGTATGTCCCCTTATAACACTCCAATATTGCCTGTAAGGAAGTCAGACGGGTCATACCAGCTAGTGCAAGACCTCTGGGCTATTTACCAAATAGTTCAGACCATCCACCCTGTTGTTCCCAATCCTTACACCATTTTCAGTAGAATCCCGCATAACCACCAATGGTTCACGGTGACAGATTTAAATGATGCCTTTTGGGCTTGCCCTTTAGCAGAGGACAGCTGGGACAAATTTGCCTTTGAGTGAGAGGACCCTCACTCCGGTCGATGGACAGTCTTGCCCCAAGGTTTACAGAGTCCCCAAATCTATTTGGTCATATTTTAGAGCAAGTCCTAGAAAACTTCTCCCTGCCTTCATCCATATGCCTACTCAAATACGTAGATGTCCTGCTCATTTCAGGAGATAACAAGGATCAAGTAACAGCAATTTCAGTTAACTTCCTAAATTTCCTAAGGGGACAAGGATTACGGGTCTCAAAGAACAACATCCAATTCATAGAATCTGAGGTAAAATATCTAGGACACCTAATCAGTAAAGGTGAACGAAAGATAGGATCCGAACGAATTGAAGGTATCCTGTCTTTGCCTTTACCTGAAACAAAGCAGGAACTTAGGAAATTATTAGGATTGGTTGGATATTGTCATCTGTGGACTGACTCTTATGCCTTAAAAACAAAGCCCCTATATCAAAAACTCACTCAAGAAGGACCAGACCCCCTCCTTTGGACCCCATCAGAGATCCAACGGTAAAAGAATTAAAACACCTACTTGTAACTGCCCCTGTTCTAACTTTGCCCTCCTTAGAACAGCCATTCCATCTTTTCATTAATGTAAGCAAAGGAGTGGCCTTAGGGGTACTCACCCAAAAACATGGAGGCCACCGGCAGCCTGTAGTCTTTCTGTCAAAAATCCTTGACCCAGTAACCCGTGGATGGCCCGAATGTGTTCAATCCATAGCAGCAACTGCCTTGCTAACAGAAGAAAGCAGGAAAATAACCTTTGGGGGAAACCTCTTCGTAAGTGCCCCTCATCAAGTCAGAACCATTCTTAATCAGAAGGCAGGGAGATGGCTCACTGACTCAAGGATTTTAAAATATGAAGCTATCTTATTAGAGGGAGATAACCTAACACTAACCACTGACAATTCACTCAACCCCGCTGCTTTCCTAACAGGAAATCCAAACCAGGAGGAATGTGAGCATAACTGCTTAGATCTAATCAGTTTTCAAACTAGAGTCAGACCGCATCCAGGCATGAAACCCCCTTCCAAACAGGGCATCACCTCTTTATAGACGGCTCCTCCCAGGTCATTGAAGGAAAAAGGCACAACGGGTACTCCATAGTTGATAGGGAAACCCTCACAGTGGTAGAGTCAGAAAGACTGCCAAATAAGTGGTCTGCCCAAATATGTGAACTCTTTGCATTAAACCAAGCCTTAAAATCCCTGCAGAATCAGGAAGGAACTATTTACACTTACTCCAAGTATGCCTTCGGAAAAGATCTGGACTGAACGAGGCCTCATCAATAGTAAGGGCCAAGATTTGGCCCACAAGGAATTAATTATGCAAGTGCTAGAAAATCTTCAGCTGCCGGAAGAGATTGCAGTTGTCCATGTCCCAGGACACCAAAATAACCCATCTTTTGAAAGCCGGGAAATAACCTCACAGATTAAGTAGCTAAGCAAGCTAGCAAGCTGCCTATTCCCAAGAGGCACCCATTTTCCATCTAACCCCTTGTCTTCCCCCTCCAGCTGTGATCTCCATCTTCTCCCACACAGACCAAGAGAAACTCAAGAAAATAGGAGCTAAGGAAAGCCCAGAGGGGAAGTGGGTGTGGACAGATGGAAGGGAAATGCTGTCTAAACCCCTCATGAGGGAAATATTGTCACAGCTTCACCAAGGAACTCACTGGGGTCCTCAAGCTATGTGCGATGCAGTCCTTAGAGTCTATGGGTGTGTAGGGATATATACCTTCACTAGGCAAGTGGCGGATGGTGCAGAAAAACTAATAAGCAAACCCTAAAGAGGCAACCTCCCGGGGGAAGAAACCCAGGGTTGAGGCCGTTCCAAAGCATCCAAGTTGACTACACTGAAACGCCCCCAATAGGCCGTCTTAAGTATTTAGTAGTAATAGTAGACCATCTCACCCACTGGAGAGAGGCCATCCCCTTCCCAAGCACAACAGCTAGTAATGCAGTCAAAGCCCTTTTGGAACATATCATATGCAGGTTTGGACTAACAGAGAACGTTCATCTGGAAAATGGGACCCACTTCATTGCACACATCATTAAGGGGCTAACCCAAGTACTAGGAATAAAATGGGAATATCATACTCCCTGGCACCCGCCCTCATCAGGGAGGGTAGAAAGAATGAATCAAACTCTAAAAAAATCTCCTAACCAAATTAATCTTTGAAACCTGGTTACCATGGACAAAATGCCTTCCCATTGTCTTACATTGCCCTCGAATTCCCAGTTAACCAACACCAGCCTCATCAAAAGTTGGAAAGAGGGAAAGCTCGAACCAACATGGGAGGGACCTTATCTAGTACTCCTAACCACCGAAACAGCAATCTGAATGGCCGAAAAAGGATGGACCCACCACACTTGAGTGAAAAAGGCCCCATCCCTTGCAAAGTCATGGACTGTCGACAGCCCCCAAACTAACATTCAAAAGGGTTTAATCTGTCTTTTTCTTCTTTCTTTAGCTACCCAAGGATATCTTATCATCAGTATAACCCAGTCACCCTCCCCCAAAACAATTACATTTGATGCCTGTCTTGTCATGCCCTGCAGGGATGTCCAAAGTGAAAGACAGCTAGCCTCTTCAGAAAAGTAACTTTGTCCCTCTAAGATAGACTGTACTGCCTACAAAACTGACTCTTGCACTGAACGGGCATGAATCTGGCATTAGTGGTTTTGCTATACTTGGGGAGATGTTATATGGACTACCAAGTATCAGGGCTGGACCTCCTCAGAGGGTTGCACCGCCCTAAAACCCTACCTCCACTTCACCAAAGGAACCACCCCCTCTAATTGCCAATCTCACCATTGCAACCCAGTACTTATCTCTATTAATACCCCTACCTCCACTAACCCTGCACCCACTTTAGAGCGCTTTTATGGCCTAGGAGCAGATATCACTGGAAAGGACCCTATAGGCTTCTTTGAAATGTGCTTGGTTCCTCCTTCTCCATCTTGTACCATTACCCCCTCCCACACAATTAAACCATTTCTCGCTTCATGCCGAATGACAAAACCAAGTAGCTATAGTAGATGTCAAGGACTTGAAGCAAACCCTAACCATAGAAACCAGGTATCAAGATATAAATGCCTGGCTGGAACGGATTAAATATTCTGTTCGCACTCTAAATAAAAGCAATGGTTACGCTTGTGCAATGGGCAGGCCAACAAACCCAAATTGTTCCTTTCCCACATGGATGGGCCAACCAACTTGGCATGGATTTTATGGTAGGCCTCTTCCAGCATCCCACAGCCTGGGGAAACAAGTCATGCACCACTCTTTCACTACTTTTCCCAAAGGTAAAGAGCCCTATGGAACTGCCCCCAAGGGACATTTAATCTCCAGCTCTCGATGCCAATTTTACCTTGTGTCTCTCACAGCAAGGGAAACATTTGACATACCTTGGAAACCTGACGGGATGTAGTGGGCCTAAACTTTTTTAAGAGCTAACCACTCAGTCAGCCCTAGTCTATCCCCAAGCAGATGTGTGGGACCTAGTCTATCCCTGAGCAGTATTGTGGGGGACCAACATTGGGTACACTGCCAAGCAACTGGAGCAGCACTTGCGCTCTGATCCAATTAGCCATCCCTTTCACCTTGGCATTTCATCAACCAGACAGGAAGCAAGTAACCTGAAGAAAAAGAGAAGCCTTTCACGGGTCCTTTGACCTGCACATTACATAGACAGTATCGGGGTCCCGCAGGGGGTACCAAATGAATTCAAAGCTTGAAACCAAATAGCCACCGGGTTCGAGCCTATCTTATTCTGGTGGTCCACTATTAACAAAAATGTAGACTGGATAAATTATATATACTACAATCAGGAGCAATTTGTCAATTATACCAGAGATGCCATAAAAGGAATAGCTGAACAGTTAGACCCAACGAGCCAGATGGCCTGGGAAACTAGAATAGCCCTTGACATGATGTTAGCTGAAAAGGGCAGACTTTGTGTCATGATCGGGGTCCAGTGTTGTACTTTTTTATTCCTAATAATACAGCCCCTGACGGGACAATCACAAAAGCCTTGCAAGGCCTTACCACCCTAGCAAGTGAATTAGCGGAAAACTCTGGAATAGACGACCCCTTTATGGGCCTGATGGAAAGGTGGTTTGGAAAATGGAAAGGACTCATGACCTCAGTCTTTACCTTCCTTGCGATTGTTACAGATGTACTCATCCTTGTGAGCTGCTGTATCATACCTTGTATTCGTGGGTTAACCCAAAGGCTCATAGAAGCAGCTCTTACAAAAACCTCCCTCACCTTTCCCCCTCTGTATTCAGATAAGCTCTTGCTCTTAGATAATCAAGAAGAACAAAAAAAAAAAAAACAAATCCTGTTGAAGAAATTTGAAGAGGAAGAACTATAAAACAGAAGAGGGGAAATGGTTGGGACAACTAAGTTGCTCTTCAAAGACTCAACTTTCTGGTCATAAGTTGTAAAAGTTGTAAATCAATCCTACCCCCCGCTCCCCCCCGCCCCACCTCTTCTTTTCACAAATGGTGGGTTTACCCTATTTGGAAAAGTTTAAGTTTTAGCCAGTCAGGATCAGCTTAGATTGTGCAGTCCAACCCCAGCCAACAGGGGAAGAACATAGAAACAGGAACTGCGTTAGTATTAAAAACTCCTTCCCGCTTTTGTTCGTTGTGCTCTTGCGATTGTAACAGGTGCAAGCAGCACTCTTCTGCAGAAGTAAAGGTGTCTTGCTGAGGAATTTTCTGTCTAAGCGTGAGTTTCTTTGGGCTACAATGAGCACTTGTTTCCAACGATAGGGAGGAGGCGGTAAATATCTGCCCTTGCGAGGGTTCCTTTCAGGCCAGGGCCTGATCCACCCGTGGGCAGTGGTAAACCCATAGAGGAGCCAGCAGAGCCCCGGAGTCACCCCGTGCCTGCTGTCTTGTGGACCCTACAATTCTCCCATTTCTTTTATACTTTTCTACTCCTTTGATTCATCCGAAGTTATTGACTCATTTACTCTCTCTCTCTCTGTCTATATACAGGTATGTATCTCATACTTGAAGGACATTTTTTCCCTTTTTTTGTTTTGTTTTTGAGAAAGGAGAGCCATATCTTTCGATGAGCCAGGTCAACTATTTACTTATTTTTGTTTTGTAATTTGTAAATTTTGTTTTTAATTTAAAGATAGGCACAAGATTGGCTGGCGCGGTGGCTCACGCCTGTAATCCCAGTACTTTGGGAGGCCGCGGCGGGGAGATCACGAGGTCAGGAGATCAAGACCATCCTGGCCAACGTGGTGAAACCCTGTCTCTATAAAATACAAACAAAATTAGCCAAGCGTGGTGGCACGCACCTATAGTCCCAGCTTCTCGGGAGGCTGACGGAGGAGAATGGTGTGAACTCGGGAAGCCGAGGTTGCAGTGAGCTGAGATTGCGCCACTGCACTCCAGCCTGGGCAACAGAGCGGGACTCCATCTCAAACAAACAAACAAAAAAAGATAGACACAAGATCATGTTTCTTATCTTTAGCACACTTCATTAACTCTGTTTCTGCATCTACCATGTGAAATAGTAGTTGTCTTTATTTGCTTTGTTGACTAGTAGAAATTTGATGGAAGATGAATGGTAAAACCAAAATTATTTTTTTACTACAGTACTTCTCGGTGGTACCTTCTCTTCTCTTTGTGCTTTACTGCCCCTCCTGCAGCTTTCCAAACCCTGAGAGATTGAGCTCTGCTGACCCAACAGGGTGTCAGCTGTTTGGGTTGCTGGACATTCTCTTGAAGATACATTGGGAAAAAGGCTTATGGGGCCATAAACTGGCAATAAAAATATGGGAGAGTAAGTTGTGGAAAGCCACAAGAGGCCTCTGAAGAGGAAAGCCTTCTTATCGCCATTATGTTCCCATGCTCTGAGTGCAACCTGCTCTCTTATCTATAAACACTGTGTTCAAGAAGAAAGACACTCCTTTGAAGCGTTGGAATGTAGACAGACGTGCAGGCTCCTAGTTAAGCCCGCTCCCACTAGCTACTCTCCAATAAGTTAAAGATACGCTGTTTGGGCACAAAGGAGATTCATTTAAACCGCTATTGCTATAGATTACGCCTGTAACACGCTGCCTCCCTTTCACCATTTCGCCCTAAATGTCTGCTTTTTGGATCTAAGTGATTGTACTCAATAAATAGTGTGGAGACCAGAGCTGGGCGCCTTTTGCAGCCTCCATTTTGCAATTGGCCCCCTGGCCCCCACTCTTTATACACTCTTAACCTGTCTCTTCTCATTCCTTTGTCGCCACCGGACTTTAGGTACCCTAAGGGTGGTATTGAGGCTGGTCCCCAACATTCTGGTGCCCAACGTGGGGCTCGAAAGAATCTGATGAAGGAATGCTCGAGCGTGTGAAACGGAGGGCTGATGGACGAAGGACTCCCGAGGACGAAAAAGTTTTTAAGCTCTGCAGGTAAGCAGGGCACTTGGAGAAAGCCAGGGACACAATGGGGAAAACTGAAAGTAAGTACACCACGTATTTGAGCTTGCTAGGGCGGCTGTTGAAGCGTGATGGCGTAAAAGTTGGTACAAAAAATCGTATGAATTAATTTCATGCTGTAGAACAATTTTGCCCTTGGTTCCCTGAACAGGGAACTTTGAAATTAAGAGATTGGGAAAGAGTTGGAAAGGACCTTTAAAAAGCACGTAGAGAAGGAAAGGAAATTCGTTTGCCTGTTTGGTCAGTTTGGTCATTGGTGCGTGCCGCACTGGAGCCATTTCAGACAAATGATGAGGCTGAGTCAGAGGAGGAGAAGGAGGAGTTTGATAATCAGGACTCTGAAACGCCTCTACCGAGTACTAGCCAAAAGGAGAGTCCGGAAGTAATTTATGCCAATCCCCCCAGTCTTCCTAAACCTATTCAGAAACTCATTCAGCTCAGGGTTCCTCAAGAGGAATGTCCGGAATGGCCACCTCCTCCTCAGCCGAGTGAGTGCAGGCGGAGGGAGCCTGAGACTCCGCTGCCGAGACTCGGCTGGCCGCGCTCATTATTGCCCGACCCGCAGTTCATTATGGAGAGGGGGTAATTCAGGTTCGCCCTGCAGTTCATTACAGTGAAGGAGCAATTTCCCTTAAAATGGATGACCCAGCGCCCTGTCTGGGTCGAACAGTGGCCTAAGGAAAAATTGGGGGCGCTTTATGAAATAGTTAAAGAACTACTAGAAAAAGGATATATTTCACCCACTTTCTCTCCTTAGAATTCCCCAATAGTTGTAATTAAGAAAAAGTCCGGTAGATGGCACATGCTGACCGACTTGCGAGTGGCCAACGCTGTAATTCAACCGATGGGAGCCTTACAACCTGGGCTCCCATCCCCCACTATGCTCCTTAAAGACTGGCTGCTCATTATTATAGATTTAAAAGACTGCCTTGTTTTACAATTCTTTTAGCAGAGGCAGATTTCGAAAAATTTGCCTTTACTGTCCCTGCCATTAAAAACAAAGAACCTGCAGCCAGATATCATTAGAAGGTTTTACTCCGGGGTATGTTAAACAGTCCCACAATCTGTCAAACTTTTGTAGGCAGAACTATCCAGCCTGTTAGAGATCAATTTCCAGATGTGTGCAGCAAAAAATAGAGATCAACCTATTCAATGTTATTCATCTTTACAAAAGGCAATTACAAACGCTGAATTGCGTATAGCACCTGACAAAATTCAAACAACCACTCCTTTTCAGTATTTGGGGATGCAAGTACAGGATACAGCCATTAAGCCTCAAAAGGTTCAAATTTAAAAAGATTATTTAAAAACCTTAAATGATTTTCAAAAATTGTTAGGAGATATTAATTGGATTCGGCCCACCTTAGGAATTCCTACTTATGCTATGTCTAATCTCTTCTCAATATTGAGGGGAAATTCCAACTTACAAAGTAACAGAGAACTAACACCGAGGCCATAAAAGAGTTAAAAGTAATTGAAGACAAAAATTCAACAAGCCCAGGTCAGTAAGATTGACTCAGACTCGCCTTTACAATTCATTGTGTTCCCTACTTCACATTCCCCAATGGGGGTTACTGTTCAAAATAATGATTTAGTTAAATGGTCTTTTTTTGCCACATAATACCATAAAAACACTCACAGTATATTTAGATCAGATGGCAATTCTAATTGGACAGGCTCGTCACGAATTGTTAAACTTTGTGGCACTGAGCCCAATAAGATTATAATTCCAATAAATAAAAATCAGGTAAAACAGGCATTTATTAACTCAGTTACATGGCAAGTTAATTTAACAGAATTTGTTGAATGTATTGATAATCATTATCCTAAAAATAAAATTTTCCAGTTTTTAAAATTAACTACATGGGTTCTTCCAAAAATTCCTTGTGATGCTCCTTTGGAAGGAGCTGTGACTGTTTTTACTGGTGGGTCTAGTAAACATTAAAAAAAGCGACAGTCTGGTGGAGACCACATAATCCAATCACTCGATCTGAATTTACTAACATTCAAAAAGCTAAGGTTATTCTGTTTAATTATTAAAGAACTTTTACAGCCTTAAGTTCGCTCTGGAGCCCAGTCTGTGTGTTCTTTTTCTTCAACTTCAGCAATTGCTAAACCAAGATACACATCCTATTTTTATTACACACATTCGAGCTCACAGCTCTCTGCCTGGCCCATTGGCTTACGGCAATAATCAAGCAGACCTTCAGGTTATGACATCACTGCTTGACCAAGTCACCCAATCACATCAATTTTCCCACCAAAATTGAAAAACTTATCTAAATAATTTCAACTTACACAGAGGCTGGCTAAGCAAATTATCCTACAATGCCCAGATTACCAGCTCACAAGCACGTCCCCTCCTTCAACAGGTGTTAACCCTAGAGGATTAGAACCTAATCCATTGTGGCAAACAGATGTTAAACACATCCCTAAATTTTGGAAACTAAGATATGTACATATATCCATTGTTACCAACATTCATCTAATTATTACACATTAAAAAAATAAAAGAAAAAAGTAAAGAAAAAAGACTAAAAGAGACAAAAATCAAAACAAGATGCAAAAAAAAAAAAAAAAGACTGTGAAAAAAACGAAGTAGAGGCCGGGAGCGGTGGCTCACGCCTGTAATCCCAGCACTTTGGGAGGCCGAGGTGGGTGGATCACGAGGTCAGGAGATCGAGACCACGGTGAAACCCCGTCTCTACTAAAAGTACAAAAAATTAGCCGGGCGCGGTGGCGGGCGCCTGTAGTCCCAGCTACTCAGGAGGCTGAGGCAGGGGAATGGCGTGAACCCGGGAGGCAGAGCTTGCAGTGAGCCAAGATCGCGCCACTGCGCTCCAGCCTGGACGACACAGCAAGACTCCATCTCAAAAAAAAAAAAAAAAAGTGGAAAAAGGGAAAAAAAATCGGCTGGGCGCGGCGGCTCATGCCTGTAATACCAGCACTTTGGGAGCCCAAGGCGGGCAGATCATGAGGTCAGAAGATCGAGATCATCCTGGCTAACATGGTGAAACCCCCGTCTCTACCAAAAATACAAAAAATTAGCCAGGCATGGTGGCAGGCGCCTGTAGTCCCATCTACTTGGGAGGCTGAGCCAGGAGAATGGCGTGAACCCAGGAGGCAGAGGTTGCAGTGAGCCGAGATCGTGCCACTGCACTCCAGACTGGGCGACAGAGCGAGACTCCATCTCAAAACAAACAAAAAAAACTAAGAAAGTTATAAAAATGTACCTTTAGTAAAAAAAAGTTATAAAACAAAAATTTAAGACATGTTAAAAATTGTCTGTGAAAGTCGTGAAAAATGTTATTAAAAAATTTATGCAAAAAAGGTTGTATAATTTTTGTTTCAAAGGTCTAAGCAGGCCGGGCGCCAGTGGCTGACGCCTGTAATCCCAGCACTTTGGGAGGCCGAGGCAGGCGGATCACGAGGTCATGAGATCGAGACCATCCCGGCTAACACGGTGAAACCCCGTCTCTATTAAAATACAAAAAAAATTAGCCAGACGTGGTGGCGGGCGCCTGCAGTCCCAGTTACTAGGGAGGCTGAGGCAGGAGAATGGCATGAACCCGGGAGGCGGAGCTTGCAGTGAGCCGAGATCGTGCCACTGCACTCCAGCCTGGGCGACAGAGTGAGACTCCATCTCAAAAAAAAAAATTAAAAAATAAAAATAAAGGTCTAAGCAAGTTTTAAAATGATAATTGTAAAAAATTATGTGTGTAAACACATTTGCTAAAGTTAAAAAGGTATCATCCACTTTTTCTATAAACTAAACATTAAAATAAAACACAAGTTTTTCTGTTTTTTTATTTTTATTGTTTTTTGAGACAGAGTAGCTGGGACTACAGGCGCCCGCCACCATGCCCAACTACATTTTTTTGTATTTTTAGTAGAGACGGGTTTCACCGTGTTAGCCAGGATGGTCTCGATCTCCTGACCTCGTGATCTGCCCGCCTCGGCCTCCCAAAGTGCTGGGATTACAGGTGTGAGCCACTGCGCCCAGCCCACGAGTTTTTCTTAAAACACTAACCTGCTCTTTAAAGATTGTAAAAAGTCTCTTAGCGCAGGCACCACCCCTAAAATTTCTAGTATCAGCCTAAAGACTATGTCCTCATCAAAGGATGAAAAGAAGAAAAAAAAATTCAAGCAAGCCTAAAAAAGACTCTACAGAAATTGCAGCCTCAACAATGTGACTTCCACAAACAACACAGGCCCCAGACATTACGCTGAAAAAACAGAAGACTAAGCCAAATAATTTATTCGTTTTTAATTATCTCATTTTGCCTACTACCTATACCTGCTACACTCTATTAAGCTCATATCTTAAATCTGCCTTTCTTCTGCCCTGTTACTTTAAAAAACACCCCCTTCTCAGCTTCTAATAACATAACTGCTTGGCTAAAATAAATTAACATACCCCGAGTGGGGTTCCTCATTAATAACATATAGTGAACTAAGATGCCAAGTAACACTACAGGTCACTTTTTGACCGGAAAAAAATGTTGCTAATTATACTCAGGTTTGTCTTCTGTTATTTACTAATGCTAGGATGCAAAGCTGAAATAAGAGCAGTGAACTCCTCACCTGAAAAACCTGTGGCTACAACAGACCGAAATTATACCTATTGGGCAGATGTCCCATTTCCATCTTTAATTAGGCCTGTCACTTGGTTGGAACCCCCGGTTGAGGTTTATGTTAATGATAGTGTTTGGATACCTAAGCCTACAGATACTCATAGGCCCTCTCACACAAAAGAGAAAAAAATGTTAATAAATGTGTCCATAGGTTATTAGTTCCCCCCTCTTTGCCTAGGGCTGGCTATCAGTTGCCTAAAAGGCTACTGACAACATTGGCTAGTTAAAATTCCAGGTCATAATCAAAGACCAGTATCCTATCATTTATTGTCTGGATAGAGCCTGGATCATTCACAGAGTTTGGTTCAATTGAAACAGTTTAAGCCCAAAAAAAAGAGGTGTCAACAACCTCCACAATGGTCAAAAGATTTAGAAATATTAATTTAAAAGAATTGCAATTATTTAAAATAATTCCTATGCAATCGTCGTTAGTTGGTCCCCTAAGGGGACCTTTACAGTTAATTGTACCAATCAAAATAATAGATGCAAAACAAAACTAAAACAAATTCTATACTGTCAAAGAAACGACACTACTTACACTAAAAATCGTGCTCATTTTCCCATAATTTGGACCAATTTTAGTATGGCTGGCCCACATCCAAAAATGATTAATCCAGTAATAGGCCCTAAACATCCCAAATTATAAAAGTTAATAATGGCCCAATCTCATATTCAGGTTTAAAAAGAAAAATATTAACTTGATAGAGAAGGTAAGAGACTTCAATTTGTGTATCAGTTTTCTTCCAACCGAACAGTGCCCATTCAGAGTTGTGTCAAGCCTCCTTTTATGTTGATGATCAAAAATATTAATATTCAACCTACTTCTCAAACTATTATTTCTCAAAACTGTCACCTTTTCACCTGTGTTGATTCCACATTTGGTGTGAAGCCATCTGTGTTGCTGATGAGGGCTATAGAAGAAGTTTGGTTACCGGTTTCCCTCAATAGACGTTAGGAAGCCTCTCCTTCCATTCATATTGTCACAAAAATGTTGAGGAGTGTTTACCAAAACAAAAAGATTTATTTTTACCCTTATAGCAGTAATTATGGGCCTTATTGCAGCCACAGCTACTGCTGCGGCTGGTGAAATTGCTTTACACTCCTCTGTTCAAACTACAAAATATATAAATAATTGACAAAAAAATTCCTCAAAATAGTGGAATTCTCAGACCTGGATAGACCAACAATTGACAAATCAAATAAATGATCTTAGACAGACTGTTATTTAGATGGAAGATCATATAATGAGCTTAGAGCATCGATTACAAATACAATGTGATTAAAATACTTCTAATTTCTACATAACTCCCTGTTCGTATAATACTACTAAACATCATTTAAAAAAAGTTAGACGTCATCTAGAAAAAAAGAAATAAAAGTTTAACATTAGATTGTAGGGTCCAGCCCTACAGGGCCTGTGGGTTTTTTCTTCATGTGCGGAGATGAGAGATCATAGAAAAATAAAGACACGAGACAAAGAGATAGAATAAAAGACAGCTGGGCCCAGGGGACCACTACCCCCAACGAGCAGAGTGTGGAAGTGGCCCCGAACACAGCGAGAGAGAAATCCTCATTGGGTGCCAGATGTAGGGTCCAGTCCTACAGGGCCTGTGGGTTTTCTCTTCGTGTGCAGAGATGAGAGATAGTAGAAAAATAAAGACACGAGACAAAGAGATAGAAGAAAAGACAGCTAGGCCCAGGGGACCACTACCACTGATGCACAGAGTCCATTAGTGGCCCCAAATGCCTGGACGCACTGCTATTTATTGTATACAAGACAAGGGGGCAGGGTAAGGAGTGTGAGTCATCTCAAATGATTGATAAGGTCAAGCAAGTCACGTGTCCATGTGACAGGGGGCCTTTCCCTTTGTGGTAGCCAAAGCAGAGAGGGAGGACAGCATACATCAGCATTTCTTCTATGCACTTATCAGAGATTGATCAAAGACTTTAATACTTTCACTAATTCTGCTACTGCTATCTTCTAAGAACTTAAAAGGAGGAGCCAGGTGTACAGGCAGAACATGAAAGTGGACAAGGAGTGTGACCTTTGAAGCACAGCACCCCAGGGAGACGGCTAAGCCTCCGGATGACTGTGGGCAGGCCTGGCTAATGTCAGGCCTCCAACAAGAGCTGGTGGAGCAGAGTGTTCTCTAACTCCCCCAAGGAAAGAGAGATTCCCTTTCCCAGTCTGCTAAGTAACAGGTGCCTTCCAAGGCACTGACACTACTGCTAGACCAAGGTCTGCTAAGTAACGGGTGCCTTCCCAGGCACTGGCACTACTGCTAGACCAAGGAGCCCTCAAGCGGCCCTTATCTGGGCGTGACAGAGGGCTCACACTCTCGTCTTCTGGTCACTTCTCACAATGTCCCTTCAGCTCCTAACTCTGTACGGCCTGGTTTTTCTTTGGTAATAATAATAATACAAAGATTAATACTAAAAACTAATGATTAATAATATCCATTATAATCACCTCTGTATTCTATTTCTAAAATAACTTTTTCTTATCATAATTATTTTCTTTATTATACTGGAAGAGGTTGTGCCTTCAGTCTCTTGCCTCAGCACCTGGGTGGCTTTCTGCCCACATTAGATAAGGCCAAATTAAAAGACCAGGTTTTTAAAGCATCTCAGGCTCATTTAACTCTCCTGCCTGGGACTGACATTCTCACTGAAGCTACTGATGGACTTTCAGACATAAACCCTCTTAAATGGATTAAGACCATTAGAGGATCAACTATTGCAAATTTTGCTTTAATGTGTATCTGTTTATACTGTTTGCTTTTAGTCTACAAATACAGAAGACACCTCTAGAGAGAGACCAGACACCACGAACAAGCCTTAATAACAATGGTGGTTTTTAAAAAAAGTGGGGCATATTGGGAAAAAGGCTTGTGGGGTGCCTGCATAAGCTGGCCATAAAAATATGAGACAATAAGTTGTGGAAAGCCACAAGAGGCCTCTGAAGAGGAAAGCCTTCTTATCGCCATTATGTTCCCATGCTCTGAGTGCAACCTGCTCTCTTATCTATAAACACTGTGTTCAAGAAGAAAGACACTCCTTTGAAGCATTGGAATGTAGACAGACGTGCAGGCTCCTAGTTAAGCCCGCTCCCACTAGCTACACTCCGATAAGTTATAGATACGATGTTTGGGCACAAAGGAGATTCATTTAAACCGCTATTGCTATAGATTATGCCTATAACACACTGCCTCCCTTTCACCGTTTCGCCCTAAACGTCTGCTTCTTAGATGTAAGTGATTGTACTCAATAAATAGTGTGGAGACTGGAGCTTGGTGCCTTTTGCAGCCTCCATTTTGCAATTGGCCCCCTGGCCCCCACTCTTTATACACTTTAAACCTGTCTCTTCTCATTCCTTCGTCGCCACAAAGACTTTAACTACCCTATGGGTGGTGTTGAGGCTGGTCCCCAACAAAGATCTCTCTCCACTTAGAAAGCTTTGGAGGGGCTTCTCTCAGCTCTCCAGTCCTGGTACTTGGCAGCAGAAATACAAAGTGCGCTAGATTGATTTCTCTTAGTTTTGTGGCTGTGCTCACCAACTTCAAAAGACTTTGCACCTGAGGATGCCTCAGTGGATATTCCTCTCCACTTTCCAGCCTGCCCATTCACCTTCTTTTGGGATGCTCTCCTCTAGCAGAGACAACTGGCAGTGGTTTTTTGGCTACTTGGAATTCTGTGCTTGGGTCAAGTAGGCCCACAGGCAAATCTTAAAAATCTTTTGGAGTTTTGATGGCTTTTTCCCTCATTTAGTATTCAAGGGTTTCTCTTCCTCTGCTTGTCTGCCCATCTGCCAGGAACAAGGGCAGCTAGAAACCTCTTTTCTCATATGAAGACCTCTTTCTAGGTGGAATTTGATTAGATTCCTTTGTATCAATTCCCTGGTGGGTTCAGAAAATCTACTATTTTGTAGCTTATGCTCTTGCTTTAGTTATTAAATAGAGAGAAACAGACTCTTGCAATTTTCTACAACTTAACCAGAAATGGAATTCAGTGGGGTGTATTTTTAAATACATTTCCTGATTTCTGTGCCAAAATGCCTTTTGTCATGTCTTGAAACTATTTCCTTTAAGATACATAGCAACAGCCTAGCCACTCTCACTTAGAAAACTAACCGTTTGAGGGTCCACTTCATGCCAGGTGCTTTGCATGTTGTTTTAGGTAAACTTTAAATCACACCTCATTGATCCAATGGATATTGAGATAGCCATTATTGTTCTTATATTTAAGTTATGCAAAGTCACAAATAATGTCAACATGATGACACAAAAACATCAAGAAGTGAAACGGCTAACTACCTACAAGTGCATTCCTAAGCTTTACTTAGACTTCTAGATGAATCTGCTGGTCACATGAAGAGTGACAGGATGTCACATAAGCATTTGTTTACATTTCAGAAAGTTACCTTTAATAGTGTCCATTGATTACACAGATGTTTACTGAGAACGTGACATGATCCAGTCTAGTCTTTTTTTTTTTTTTTGGAGAGAGAGTCTCGCTCTGTCGCCCAGGGTGGAGTGCAGTGGCACGATCTCAGCTAACTGCAACCTCCGCCTCCCAGGTTCAAGCAATTCTCCTGCCTTGGCCTCTGGAGTAGCTGGGACTACAGGCGCATGCTGCCACACCTACCTAATACTTTGTATTTTAGTAGAGATGGCATTTCACCGTGTTGTCCAGGCTGTTCTCGAACTCCTGAACTCAGGCAATCTGCCCGCCTCAGCCTCCCACAGTGGTAGGATTACAGGCGTGAGCTACCGCGCCCGGCTGATCCAGTCTATTCTTTACTGTGGTCATAATGGCCCCCAAACCACACGTGGTCTCTCCTCCACTCTTCCAGACCTCAAAATCCAGAGCACTCATGACTTCTTAATAATTGCTTAAGTATCCAGATGGTCTTCTCCACCTAGGGAGTATCTTTATTTTACCTTATGAAAGATCTTCTTGGCCGGGCGCTGTGGCTCACAACTGTAATCTCAGCACTTTGGGAGGCCACCACGGACAGATCACTTCAGGTCAGGAGTTCAAGACCAACCTGACCAACATGGTGAAACCCCTTCTCTTCTAAAAATACAAAAATTAGCCAGGTGTGATGTGCCACGCCTGTAGTTCCAGCTACTGGAGAGGCTGAGGTGGGAGAATCGCTCAAACCCAGAAGGCAGGTGGAGGTTGCAGTGAGCAGAGATCACACCACTTCACTCCAGCCTGGACAACAGATTGACACTCCGTCAAAAAAAAAAAAAAAAAAAAAAAAAAGACAGGTGCAGTGGCTTATGCCTGTAATCCCAACACTTTGGGAGGCCGAGGTGGGCAGATCACGAGGTCAGGAGATCAGGACCATCCTGGCTAGCATGGTGAAATCCCATCTCTAATAAAATTCAAAAAATTAAATGGGCGTGGTGGCATGCACCTGTAATCCCAGCTACTCAGGAGGCTGAGGTAACAGAATTGCTTGAACCTGGGAGGTGGAGGTTGCAGTGAACCAAGATCACACCACTGCACTCCAGCCTGGATGACAGAGCGAGACTCTGTCTCGGAAAAAAAAAAGAAAAAAGAAAAGAAAAGTAATGTCTTGGCTGGGCACAGTGGCTCACACCTGTAATACCAGCACTTTGGGAGGCTGAGGCGGGTGGATCACCTGAGGTCAAGGGTTCCTGACCAGCATGTTGAAACCCCCTCTCTACTGAAAATACAAAAATTAGCTGGGCGTGGTGATGTGCACCTGTAATCCCAGATACTTGGGGGGCTGAGGCAGGAGAATCACTTGAACCCAGGAGGCAGAGGTTGCAGTGAGCCGAGATCACACCATTCCACTCCAGCCTGGGCAACAAGAGTGAAACTCCGTCTCAAAAAAAAAAAAAAAAAAGAAAAAAGAAAAAGAAAAAAGAAACGTCTCATCATATGTTTTCCCCATTCTCTAGTTGGTTCATATGTTTTATTACTGTTGAGCTCTGACAAGTGCTTTATACAGTATATTCTAGATACTAGTCTTTTACTGAATATGTTGTTTGCAAATATTTTCTCCTATCTGTAGCATGTCCTTTCTTACTATTATTAGACTCTCCAGCAGAGCAAAATGTTTTTTATTTTGATGGAATCTCATTTGTAAGTTTTTCTTTTTATGGGTCATGTTCTTGGTATCAAATCTAAGAACTCTGCCTAGCTCTAGATCCTGAAGATTTTCTCCCATGGTTTCTTCTCCTTTTTTTTTTTTTTTTGTAAAATTTTTCTTGTATTTACATTTTACATTTAAGTATGTGATGCATTTTTATGTATTATTTGTATAAAAAGATTTCAGTCAGATTTATTTTATACTTATTTATTTATTATTTATTATTTATTTATTTATTTGAGATGGAGTTTCGCTCTTGTTGCCCAGGCTGGAGTGCAATGGCGTGATATTGGCTCACCACAACCTCCGCCTCCTGGGTTCAAGTGATTCTCCTGCTTCTGCCTCCTGAGTAACTGGGATTACAGGTGTGCAACACCACACGCAGCTAAGTTTTTGTATTTTTAGTAGAGACGAGGTTTCTCCATGTTGGTCAGGCTGGTCTTGAACTCCCGACCTCACGTGATCCGCCTGCCTCAGCCTCCCAAAGTGTTAGGATTACAGGCGTGAGCCACCACGCCCAGCAAGCTTTATTTTTGTTCCTATGTTTGTCCAATTGATACAATAAGTACAATGTTAGAGTGAACCCCAAAAATCTGAGACAGGTCTCAGTTAATTTAGAAAATTTATTTTGCCAACATTCAGGACGCACACCCATGTCACAGTCTCATGAAGTCCTGATGACATGTGCCCAAGGTAGTCAGAGTACAGTTTGGTTTTATCCATTTTAGGGAGACATGAGACATCAATCAACATATGTAAGATGAACATTGGTTTGGTCTGGAAAGGTGGGACAACTCCAAGCGGGGGGAGAGGGCTTCCAGGTCATAGGTAGATAAGAGATAAATGGACCAGGCGCAGTGGCTCACGCCTGCAATCCTAGCACTTTGGGAGGCCGAGGCGGGCAGATTACCTGAGGTCGGGAGTTCGAGACCAGCCTGGCCAACATGGAGAAACCCCGTCTCTACTGAAAATACAAAATTAACCGTGCGTGATGGCGCATGCCTGTAATCCCAGCTACTCGGGAGGCTGAGGTAGGAGAATCGCTTGAACCTGGGAGGCAGAGGTTGCGATGAGCCGAGATCGCGCCATTGCACTCCAGCCTGGGCAACAAGAGTGAAACTCCGTCTCAAAAAAAAAAAAAAAAAAAAAAAAAAAAAAAAAAAAAGAGAGATAAATGGTTGCATTTATTTGAGTTTCTAATTAGCCTCTCCAAAGGAAGCAATCAGATATGCATTTATCTCAGTGAGCAGAGGGGTGGCTTTGAATAGAATGGGAGGCAGGTTTTCCCTAAGCAGTTCCCATTTTCCCTTTAGCTTAGTGATTTTGGGAGCCCAAGATATTTTCCTTTCACATTTGCTATAGAGTTTTTATAAAGATGCTGTTTATCAAATTGAGGAAGTTCATGTATTCCTATATTTTTGAGAATTTTTCTTTTAATTAAGAATTGGTATTGAATTTTTCTCCTCATCAATTAATATAATAATGTGATTTTCTTCCTTTGGTGTGACTATGGTACATTAATTACGTTGACTAATTTTCAAATGTTGAACAACCCTAGCATTCTTTTTTTTTTTTTTTTTTAGACGGAGTCTTGCTCTGTCATCCAGGCTGGAGTTCAAAGGCGAGATCTTTGCTCACTGCAACCTCAGCTTCCCAGGTTGAAGTGATTCTCGTACCTCAGCCTCCAGAGTAGCTGGAATTACAGGCACATGCCACCATGCCCGGCTAATGTTTTGCATTTTTAGTAGAAACAGGGTTTCCCAGCGTGGGCCAGGCTGGTCATAGAACTCCTGACCTCAAGTTATACTCCTGCCTTGGCCTCCCAGACCTCTGAAAGTGCTGGGATTACAAGTGTGAGCAACAACGCCTGGCCATGAACCACCCCTGCATTCTACTTGGTGATTATCTTGGTTTGCTAGGGCTACCATAGATGGGTGGACTTAAACAATGGAAATGTATTTTCTCGCAGCTGAGCCTAGAAATCCAAGAGCAAGGTGTCAGCCGGTTTGATTCCTTTTGAGGTAGCTCTCCTTGACTTGCAGAAGGCTGCCTTCTCGTTGTGTCCTCCCATGATTAACCACTCAGTCTGCGTGTTGCCTGTGTCCTAATCTCTTTTTTTTTTTGGAGACCGAGTGTCGCTCTGTCGCCCAGGCTGGAGTGCAGTGGTGCAATCTCGGCTCACTGCAACCTCTGCTTCCCGCTCAGCCTCCTACCTCCTGTCTCAGCCTCTCGAGTAGCTGGGATTACAGGCGTGTGCTAATTTTGTCAGGCCTGGCTGAATCTTGTATTTTTTTTTTAAAGTAAAGACAGAGTTTCGCCATTTTGGCCAGGCTGGTCTCGAACTACTGACCTCAGGTAGTCTGCCCGCCTCGGCCTTCCAAAGCGCTAGGATTACAGGCATGAGCCACTGCGCCCGGCCCCTAATCTCTTCTTATAAAGACACCAGTAATATTGTATTAGAGCTCATCCATATTCCCTCATTTTACTTTAATAACTTCTTTAAAGATCTTATCTCCACATATAGTCACATTCTAAGGAACTGGGAGTTAGGACTTCAGAATATACATTTTGGGAGAACACAATTCAGCCAATAACAGTCATAGTGTATAATTCTTTTTCTCTATTACTGTATTCTATTTGATAATATTGTGTTAAAAATTGTTGTATCTGTGTTGATGAGTTGTATTGGTCTGCAGTTTTCTTTTTTGTGCTGTCTTTGTCAGCCTTTATTTATTTATTTATTTTTTTGAGACGGAGTCTCTCTCTGTCACTCAGGCTGGAGTGCAGTGGCGCGATCTTGGCTCGCTGCAAGCTCCGCCTCCTGGGTTCACGCCATTCTCCTACCTCAGCCTCCCAAGTAGCTGGGACTACAGGCGCCCACCACCAAGCCCGGCTAATTTTTTTGTATTTTTATTAGAGAAGGGGTTTCACCATGTTAGCCAGAATGGTCTCCATCTCCTGACCTCGTGATCCGGCCGCCTCGGCCTCCCAAAGTGCTCGGATTACAGGCGTGACCCACCGCGCCTGGCCTATTTTTATTTTTTTGAGACAGAGTTTCGCTCGTGTTGCCCAGGCTGGAGTGCAATGGAAAGATCTCGGCTTGCTGCAACCTCCATTTCCTGGGTTCAAGCGATTCTCCTGCTCAGCCTCCCGAGGAGCTGGGATTAAAGGTGTCTGCCACCATGCCCAGCTAATTTTTGTATATTTAGCAGAGACGGGGTTTATCCATGTTGGCCAGGCTGGTCTCGAACTCCTAACCGCAGGTTATCAGCCCGCCTCGCCCTCCCAGAGTGCTGGCATTACAGGCGCGAGCCACCTAGCCTGGCCTTAAACAAGTTCTTATAAAAAGAGAGAGGAAAAGTCTCAGGATTCATACTCTTGGGATGTAAATAAATGTCTCCAGAGTGGAAGATAAGATAAGCATCTCCGTGTTTATAAGCCTTAAAATGTCTCCATGGTTCCAGGAGAGAGAAATTGTATTATCCTTCAAATGAGATAACACTTTTGAAATGTGAGAAGCAAATTGGTCTAGGGAAACCAGAACATTCACTAATGTGTCAATTTCCCTTGCCCAGAAAGCCAAACCATGCAGAACATGAAAATATTCACTTCCTGACAACACCTTTCAAAAAGAGAGATTTAAGGTAGTCTGATGTCTCATTCTATTTTCACTAATTCTTTAAATATGAAGACTTTTTCTTTTTTTCTTTTCTTCCTTTTTTTTTTTTTTTTTTTTTTCCAGATAGGGTCTTATTCTGTCACCCAGGCTGGAGTGCAGTGGAGTGATCTTGGCTCACTGCAACCTCCATCTCCCAGGTTTAAGTGCTCTTTCCTCCTCAGCCTCCCAAGTAGCTGGCACTACAGGAGTGCTCCACCACACTCAGCTAATTTTTTGTAGAGATAGGGTTTCACCATGTGGCCCAGGCTGGTGTTAAACTCCTGAGCTCAAACGATCTGCCGGCCTCGACTTCCAAAGCATGCTGGGATTATAGGTGTAAGCCACCATGCCCAGCCTTGAGGACATATTTTCAAATGTATTTTACATTTTACATTTGCCCAGTTTTCCAATTTTTAGGCAAAACATTTATCAAACAAAAGATGGCATCTTAAGCAGTTTTTTCTTTCTTATTTTATTGGTCCTTAAGGCTGATTACTCCTTTTGTGAGCTATTTCTGAAGACAGTTATTTGTCAGAAGACTGTGGGGATTTTTCTCTTATACTTATTCATTTATACAATCCAGAAATTAGCAGGATCAAAACTAGTGGAAACACATAGACACTTACAGCTTTTTATTTTAAGGTCAAAGTACTTACAACATTTTAATTTTAATTTTAATTTTTTGGGATGGAGTCTCACTCTGTTGCCTAGGCTGGAGTGCAGTGTCATAATCTCAGCTCACTGCAACCTCCACCTCCCAGGTTCAAGCAATTCTTTTGCCTCAGCCTCCTGAGTAGCTGGGATTACAGGCATCTACCACCACATCCAGCTAATTTTTGTATTTTAAGTAGAGACGAGGTTTCATCATGCTGGCCAGCCAGGCTGATCTTGAACTCCTGACCTCAGGTGATCCTGACCTCAGCCTCCCAAATTGCTGGGATTACAGGCGTAAGCCACCGTGCCCGGCCTTAAAACATTTTTAATAAGCCCACAGAGTCATTTAGCAAAGGAAGCCCACTCTTCCTTCATCCTGCAAAGTTAGTATACAGCTGCCAGAAAGAAAGACGGCTAAACTTCATCCTCTGCAAGCTATCTGTTTTTTAAACATTATCCTTATGGCCTAAGCAAGGGAGAAAAACATCTTTTCTCACCAAGTTCATGGCTGAGGCCTCTATAACAAAATACAGATTAAACAAGAGAAAAGCATACAAGTGTATTTAACATAAGCTTTGTGTGATATGAGAGACTAGAAATGAAGACCTAAAGAAACAGGGAAACATTTGTAGTTTTATGATAGGTTGACGAAGAGAAGATAGTTATGCAGAAGTATAATTGTACAAAGAGGGTGTGATGTAAGGATAATAAACTGGGGGAATTTAGCAAGGCTTACTTGTTCAGGTTCTTCTGTGTGTCCCTGTGTCTTCAGAGAAAAACATGTTCCTTTCCTCCAGTTATAGGAAGGGCACCTCTGGAATGAAGATCTCCTGACCTGCTTTAGGGGAGAAGGGCTACGGAAAAGTGAGAGTGACCTACTTGCTTCTGTGGTTTTGTCAAATGTCAAGATGTCATATCTCGGGGTAGCATGTTCTGAACCCCATCATCTGAATTATCTTATTTAGTTATTTACTTGGTGGTTGCAAGAAAGCTCCCCAAAACAGGAACTCTGTTTTATTCATAACTATATTTCCAGAGCTTTTTGCCACAAATTCCTATGTAGTGTTTGCATTTCTGATCACTTGCTTGAATTACCTCTACTATTGTTTATTCCAGAACTACTCCTTTGGCTTCTGCAATATCAGTTGTCCTGACTTTCTTTCTATTCCTCTGATACTTGTCATAGTCTTCTTCATAGGACCCTCTTCTCATAAAATTGCAGGATCGAAACTCTTTTTCTTTTTTTTTTTTTTTTGAGACAGCGTCTTGCTCTGTCACCCAGGCTAAAGAGTGTAGTGGTGTGATCTCGGCTCATTGCAACCTCTGCCCCTCAGGTTCATGCGATTCTCCTGCCTCAGCATCCTGAGTAGCTAGGATTACAGGCACGCACCATGACGCTTGGCTGATTTTTTGTATTTTTAGTAGAGACAGAGTTTCACCATGTTGGTCAGGCTGGTCTCCAACTCCTGGCCTCAGGTAATCCACCCACCTGGGCCTCCCAAAGTGCTGGGATTACAGGCGTGAGCCAAGGCACCCGGCTGAAACTTCTTTTAAACCACTTAGATTGGAATGCTGCTGTTGAAATTGAATTGGGTGATCTTTACTATCTCTTGAAGAGCTACTTTTAAAAAATAGTAACAGTTGTATTAATCAGGGTTCTCCAGAGAAACAGAACCAATAGGAGGTGTGTATATACAGAAAGATATTTATTTTAAGGCATAGGTTCACACAACTGTGGAGGTTGACAAAGATTATTTGTTTGGTCAAACTTTAGTCAGGCTCCTGAACTGTCTCCAGGGCCCATCTGTGTTCTTCCTTGTAAAACCAGTTTTAGCAAGAACCCTGATAAATCAGTTTAACAACAATCCCCTACCCTTGATATCTGCTCCCCCTCCATAGCTGATCAGGTTCCTCATCCTCCACCATCCCCCAGGTAAGGTCTGATGGCCCTGGCCTGTCTTCAGCAAGAATCCTGTTAGGTCTGTTCAGCCAGAATCCCCTTACCCCTGATGCTTCCTCTTAGTAATTTTCCATCCACTGACCACCCACCACCCCGATCCTTGGCTATAAATTCCCACTTGTCCATGCAGTATTCAGAGTTGAGCCCAATCTCTTCTCTACTGCAAGACTCCTTTGTGGACCCTATTACCTACCATGGTGGTCCTGAATAAAGTCTCTCTTACCATGATTTAATAAGTGTCCTTAACCGAAGAGCCTCAGATCGCAGCCCGCTGCCACCTGCGTCCTGGGCTAAGAGGCAGCATCAAGGATAAGGGGCATTCCGGCTAAACAGACTTAACAGGATTCTTGTTACCTGCCCGAGGTCCTTGTCAGTTCTTAAGGACAGGTGCTTTGCATTATCCTCCAGCACTCTCCCACCCACTGCAACATTCCCCTCTCACCATGCAGGTGGTAAGTAAATTTTGGTTGAAAATATTTATCCAGCAAGAGATGAATTGCCCGGCTAATGTCACTGCCGGACGCCCGGGTAGTCGCCACTTGGTTTAAAGGCGGAGCTGTTCTTGCATTTCAAAGAAATCCAGATTCCGAAAGTAAGTAACAACCATGCCCGTGGCCCGGTTCCTTTCTCTTACACTCTTCCAAGGACCCCTTTTAGACCTAGAGGAAACCCCGCAGAAGTGACAGGGAGAGGGGGAAAGCTCTTTTACAGTGGCGAAACCACGTGGCTGCGAGAGCTTCTCAGGGAGAGCTCCTGTTTTCAAAGTCTGGCAAATTTATCAGTTTGATTTTTCTTAAACATTTATATTTTTATGGAGTAGAAAATCTACCAAACGAGTAAAGAATGTTTCCGCCTGGTTTCAAACCGGGGACCTTTCGCGTGTGAGGCGAACGTGATAACCACTCCACTACGGAAACAACTGTGGGAAAGGGTTACCCACATCCCCCCCGCCCCCATCCCCACCCCGCCGCTTAACTAAGAGGGCTTTGCCTGAAGGGCCTGGACTGCCTTATACGTCTGTTTAGAAAATGATCGTTGTGGTGCAGTTCTCTCCTTTTACTGTTTTCGAAAAGAAAAGCAATTCATAACCAAGCTTCCCCAGGGCTCCAATTCCCGCACAAATTTCAAACATGGAAAGCTAGAACGGAATGCTACAGAATTTTATTTCAAGACCTCCCTATGCTGTCTATGCACGTTTCTTTATCTGCAAAACCCGCCCCGATAGTCATATCTTGGTGACTTTTGGGAAAACCATGAAGGAGCGACCTGAGACCAGGAGATGATTGGAGGCCATCAGCACTTTCTGCCATAGCTGCTCTCATCATTTTGTTTGCAGTCAAATAACTAGAAGTAGTCATGGCTTCTGGGAAATATAGGGAAGCAGATGAAACATGCAAAGAACACCACCAACTCTGCTACAGAAAGCAAATGCAAAAAGATACAGTCTTTGCCCCCAAGGAAATCAGAGTCTAGTAATGTCTTCCTTATAAGATCATGATGATATATTTTTTCTATTGTCTTATTGCCCAAAGGTATAGCCATTGAAGACAAGAATCAAAACAAGATTATAGTTCATCTAACTTTTGAATCTTATGCTCTTTCTAGCACAATTGTACTGGACACATTATATTAAGGCAAAATATTTTAAGTCATCTTGGACTTGTAGCCTCTACAACTGTGAGAAAAGTAATTTTTGTTCAATCCACTCAGTCTGTGGTATCTTATGGCAGCTCAAGTTTACTAATACAGGTGTGTTTACTATAATGAGTACAAGCAGTAATCAGAATAGTCTGACTCAGAGATCTTTGACATTGATGACTATACTATATAACATCCCTAGAATTAAAATAAGTATGCAACTTATTAATATCTTACTTGATCTATATAAGCAGAAAAGTCTAGTAGATAGAAGTCTGACCTGAATCAGCAAAACAGAGAATCATGGCCTCCCAACCAATTCCCAGATATGAGCCAGCTTTGACTGAGGAGAAGGTAAGCTTCTCTTGAGAAAGAATACTCATAGCTTAGTACAAATTTATACTGTTATTCTTCCTCCCTTCTCTAAAGGGGCCTGTATCCATTTACCAGAGTGACTGTGCTTTGGGAAAGGGGAAATAGGCAGACTTTTCAGGAATTACTAAACAAAGATCCTGAACTGACATTAATTCCTAGAGATACTAAGCATCACTATTGTCCACCTGGCAAATTAGGGACTCAGAGAGGTCAGACATTCAATGAAATTTTGCCTCTGGTGCATTTCACTATAGGCACAGCAGATCCCTGAACCTACTCTGTAGTTATTTTCCCAATTCCAAACAGAATATTTATATTGTTTCTATGAGTGATAGAGTGCAGGCTATTATGGTATAAAAGGCCAAGGGGAAGCCACTGGAAATTCCTCTACCTATGAAAATTATAAACCGAAAGGAATATTGTACTCCTGGAGGGATTGCAGAAAGGATGGCACCATCAAGGACTTGAAAGATGCAGGGCTGGTGGTTCTTAGCATATCTCTATTCAACTCATTATTCAACTGCGGAAGACAAATGGATTATGGAGAATGATGGTGAATTATTGAAAATTTAGTCAGGTAAATATTCCAATTGCATCTGCTATTCCAGATGTGGTTTCATTAATGGAAATATTAACACATCTCCTGGTACCTGCTATGCTGTTATTGATATGGTTAGTTCTTTTTTCTCTATACTTAATCATTAAGACCATCAGAAGCAGTGGTCTTTTAGCTGGCAAGGCCAGCAGTACACCTTATCTGCCCTACTGTTGCAGGACTTTTCCTTAGTTCAGCTAAAGATGGGGTTCTTTGTCCCACAGCCATGAAAATTCAGGCTTGCAGACAATTTGGTGAGTAAGACAGGGTTTTATTGGGTGAAAAGGGAAAAAGGGGGAAACAGGGACTCTCGCAAGGCCAGAGTCCCTCCACTAGAGCGCTTCTACTTCCTGCCCAGCAGTTGGAATCCCAGGTTCCACATAGGAAGAGGAAGGGCCAGGATCCTCCCAGCTGCAAACATCATGAACTTCCTGAGGCTCCACCTCAGTGGGTAGGCTGGTTGGAATCCAGGGACCCCCTCCCACCTGGCTGTCTCACTACCTTGGGGATATATTGAGTCTCTAACCCTGTGTCACCAACTAGTCCACAGGGAGTTTTATCACCTTACCATTCCATAGAACATCATACTGGTCTCTTACATTAATTATATTTTTAGTGACAAGAAGGTAGCAACTACTCTATAACATTGGTAAGACATTTGTATGCCAGACGGTGGGAAATAAACCTCACAAAGAATCAGAGCCTTACTACCTCAGTGAAATTTCTAGGTGTCCAATTGTCTGCAACATTATGAGTTGCTGCATCTGATACCTTTTCTTATTAAGAAAGCGGTGGCCGGGCGCGGTGGCTCACGCCTCTAATCCCAGCACTTTGGGAGGTCGAGGCGGGCGGATCACGAGGTCAGGAGATCGAGACCATCCTGGCTAACACAGTGAAACCCCGTCACTAATAATAAAAAAAAAAATACAAAAAATTCGCCGGGCGTGGCGGGCCCCTGTAGTCCCAGCTACTCGGGAGGCTGAGCCAGGAGAATGGCGTGAACCCGGGAGGCGGAGCTTGCATTGAGCCGAGATCGTGCCACTGCACTCCAGCCTGGGCGACAGACTCCGTCTCAAAAAAAAAAAAAAAAAAGAAAGAAAGAAAGTGGTACAATACTGAGTAGAACATACTGAGTAGAACTCTTTGGATTTGGGAGGCAACATTTGGGCACGCTACACCAAACCATTTATCAAGTAACCTGAAAATATCCCAGTTTTGAGTGGGGGCCTAGAACAGGAAATGGTTCTGCAACAGGACCACGTTGCAGCTCAAGCGACTCTGCCACTGGGACCATAAGAACCAGAAGAATTGATCTTTCTTCAAGTGTCAGAGAAGAGGGATGTTATCTGGAGGCTTTGGCAAATTTCTACAGGTGAATCACGGCACAGAACTTTAGAATTTCAGAGCAAAGTTTTGCCATCCTCTGTGGGTAACTACTCTTCTTTAGACAAGTAGCTTTTACCAGCTTTTTTTTTTTTTAACCAGGTTCTTAGTACAGTCTGAATGCTTGACCACATACCACCACATTACCATATGGCCTCAGATGCAGATCTTGAACTGGATAGTGTGTGTTACCAAGCCATAAATTTAGACATGCACAGCAGCGTTCCATTATCAAATGGAAATGGGATGTATTAAATAAAGCTTGAGCAGCTCCTAAAGGCACAAGTAGGTTGCATGAGGAAGTGGCACAGCTGTTTATGGCATCTACTCTTGCTATATTGCCTTCTGTTTATTTGTGTGTGTGTGTGTGTACATCTACATCTATGGCCTCATAAGAGTTCTAAATGACCAGTTGACTGAAGAAGAAAAAACTCAAGAATGGTTTATAGATGTTCTGTATGTTCTGTACAATATGCAGGCACCACTTGAAAGTAAACAGCTGCAGCCCCACAGCCCCACATACAAATAAACAAGAGAGGCTAGCAGTGAGAATTACAGCATGCAGGGCCCTATGCGTATGTGTTTTTGATGCATAAATAGTAACCATTTAGAGGGCTGTGATGGCCGAGTGGTTAAGGCGTTGGACTCGAAATCCAATGGGGTCTCCCCGCGCAGGTTCAAATCCTGCTCACAGCGCTTCTCGGTACCTCTCTCTCTCTTTTTTTTCTAAATCACAAATCGCTGTGACTCTCAGTCTTTCATCTTATTTCACATACAAACTGAGAAGAGGGCCGCGTCCTATCTCGAACTCTGTGTTGGACCGCCCACCTTTACCCTAAGCACCCGGACCTGCTCCTCCCAGCTGAGCCTCAGTGAACCCCTGAGCCCCGGGCGGTGCTTCCATCAAAGATCTACCTACTCCTCAGAGTCCACAGGAAGCCTGGGGCTTCTTGGGCTTTCACAATAGCTGCTCACTTTGTTTTGAGATTGCTAAATGGGAAAGCAGCGACAGATTCTAACGGCAAAGAGGAAATTTTGCTTTAAAAATACAACTCCCCTCAGTCGGGCGCGGTGGCTCACGCCTGTAATCCCAGCACTTTGGGAGGCTGAGGCAGGAGAATTGCTTGAACCCGGGAGGTGAAGGTTGCGGTGAGCCGAGATCAGGCCACTGCAGTCCAGCCTGGGCAATAGAGCGAGACTCCGTCTCAAAAAAATAAATAAAAAATAAAAATAAAAATACAACTCCCCAGGCCGGGCGCAGTGGCTCACACCTGTAATCCCAGCGCTTTCGGAGGCCAGGCGTGGTGGCGGGCGCCTGTAGTCCCAGCTACGCGGGAGGCTGAGGCAGAGAATTGCTTGAACCCGGGGGGCGGAGGTTGCAGTGAGCCGAGATCGCGCCACTGCACTCCAGCCTGGGGCTGGGTGACAGAAAGAGAAAAAAATAAAATTAAAATAAAATAATAATTTAAAAAAACACCAAACAAACAACAACAACAAAAACTCCCTGTACTGATAATAGAAATGTAGGTAAGCATCATTAAGTAGTTCTGTGGTATTAAAAACAAACCAGGCTGATGATAATTTAAAAGATCTAAGATCATAAATATCCATTAGTATGTGTGTGCCTGGCACTCTTAAAAAGAGTGAACAGGCTGGGCACGGTGGCTCACGCCTGTAATCCCAGCACTTTGGGAGGCCAAGGAGGGAGGATCACGAGGTCAGGAGATCGAGACCATCCTGGCTACCACGGTGAAACCCCGTCTCGACTAAAAATACAAAAAAAAAAAAAATTAGCTGGGCGTGGTGGCGGGCGCCTGTAGTCCCAGGTATTCGGGAGGCTGAGGCAGGAGAATGGCGTGAACCCGGGAGGCGGAGCTTGCAGTGAGCGGAGAGCGCGCCACTGCACTCCAGCCTGGGTGACAGATCGAGACTCCGTCTCCAAAAAAAAGAAAAAAAAAGTGAATAGAGCTCTTTCCCTTCGGCGTGCCACTGAAGATCCTGGTGTCACCATGGGCCGCCGCCGCGCCCGTTGTTACCGGTATTGTGAAAACAAGCCGTATCCAAAGTCTTGCTTCTGCTGAGGTGTCCCTGATGCCAAGATTCGCATCTTAGACCTGGGAAGCAAGCAAAAGTGGATGAGTTTCCTCTCTTTGGTCACATGGCGTCAGATGAATATGAGCAGCTCTCCTCTGAAGCCCTGGTGGCTGCCCAAATTTGTGCCAATAAGTACATAGTAAAAAGTTGTGGCAAAAATGGCTTTCATATCCGAGTGCGGCTGCACCCCTTCCACGTCATCTGCATCAACAGGATGTTGTCCTGTGCTGGGACTGACAGGCTCCAAACAGGTATGGGAGGTGCCTTTGGAAAGCCCGCAGGGCACTGTGGCCAGGATTCTCATTGGCCAAGTTATCATGTCCATTCGCACCAAGCTGCAGAACAAGGAGCATGTGATTGAGGCCCTTCGCAGGGTCAAGTTCAAGTTCCCTGGCCGCCAGAAGGTCCACATTTCAAAGAAGGGGGGCTTCACCAAGTTCGATGCAGATGAATTTGAAGACATGGTGGCTGAGAAGCAGCTCATCCCAGATGGCTGTGGGATCAAGTACATCCCCGATCGTGGCCCTCTGGACAAGGGAGGGCTTTGCATTCATGAGGGCTTCCACTGTGCTGCCTCCTCTTAATACTCGCCGTAAATCCTACTTCCTGTCCAAAAAAAAAAGCAAAAACAAAAAAACAAAACCAACAAAAAAAGCAGTGAATAGAAATGAGGAAATTGAGACAAAAGGCGGATACACAACTTAGCCAAGGCTACAAGGAAGGAGTCGGGATAAAGGCGCTGTGCACTGTGGCTGCAATGGGGCCCAAAACTACCGAGCTTCTCACTTTCAGAGGAGAGGACCACCCACCCCCGTTTATAAATACTTTTGCATTTTCACATGCCTATTTCGCCTACATTGAGTCCTTAAATAATATTTAGCCAATTTATCTAATGATGACTGTTATAATTTAACTTTATATTTATATTAACTCCAAGTTTCTAGGTTGCTAAATGAATTTTGTTGTTAAAATGTTTACCATTTTTTTTCTTTTGAGACGGGCAGGGCGGGGGAGGGGTGGGGAGCAGCGCCGTGTCTCGCTATGTTGCCCAGGCTGTTCTCTAAATCTTGGGTTTAAGCGATCCTCCCGCCTAGGCCTCCCAAAGTGCTGGTGTGAGCCACTGTGCCCAGCCAAAATGTTTACCTTTCTTGAATTATTATATCAATTTACCTAATTTGGGGAAGGAAGATGTTTCTTTCTTTCTTTTTTCTTTTCTTTTTCTTTTTCTTTTTTTTTTTTTTTGAGACGGAGTATCATTCTTGTTGCCCAGGCTGGAGTGCAATGGCGCGATCTAGGCTCACTGCAACCTCTGCCTCCCGGGGTCAAGCGATTCTCCCGCGTCAGCCTCCCGAGCTGGATTACAGGCATGTGCCACCACGCCCGGCTAATTTTTGTGTGTGTTTTTGGTAGAGACGGGGCTTCACCATGTTGGCCAGGCTGGTGTCGAACTCCTGACCTCAGGTGATCCACCCACCTCGGCCTCCTGGAGTGCTGGGATTACAGGCGTTAGCCATCGCACCCAGCCTGAGACATGTTTCTTAAAATCTTTTCTGTTGCATAGAGTCTTATAATTACAGAGGAAATTACTTCCTCTGTAATGGTTTTGTGGTTATGGTTGTTTTGTTATGATTCTTTGGAGAATGAGATGGAAAACATATGATGTATACCCCAAGAATGTATTTTATTCCATTTTCTTTTTCATTATCTCAAAATTTTAAAGTATTTTGATCTCTACTGTTCCACACAAAGCATCAGTATCCAACATAAGTATATTAAAAAATGAAATTATTTAATGAATGAACAGATGAACCGACTGCATAAATTAATGAAGCTTTCACAAGTGCAATAGACACAAGGGGGCGGTGGCTCACGCTTCTAATCCCAGCACTTTGGGAGGCTGAGGTGGGCGGATCACCTGAGATCGGGAGTTCGAATCCAGCCTGACCAACATGGAGAAACTCTGTCTCTACTAAAAATACAAAATTAGACAGGCGTGGGTGGCGCATGCCTGTAATCCCAGCTACTCGGGAGGCTGAGTCAGGAGAATCGCTTGACCCCGGGAGACAAAGGTTGCGGTGAGCCGAGATTGCCCCATTGAACTCCAGCCTGGTCATCAAGAGCGAAACTCCATTTCAAAAAAAAAGAAAAAACGGAAAACACACAGGATGATATTTTTCTTTAAAAATTAAAAAAAAAAAAAAAAAAAAGGCCGGGCGCGGTGGCTCATGTCTGTAATCCAAGCACTTTGGGAGGCCGAGGCGCTCTGATCACCTTAGGTCAGGAGTTCGAGACCAGCCTGGCCGACATGGTGAAACCCCGTCTCTACTTAAAATACAAAAATTATCCGAGCGTGGTGGCAGGCGCCTGTATTACTAGCTACTCGGGAGGCTGAGGCAAGAGAATTGCTTGAACTCGGGAAGCGGAGGTTGCAGTGAGCCGAAATCGCGCCATTGCCCTCCAGCCTGGGGGACAAGAGCGAGAATTCGTGTGTGGGGGGGGGAAGAAAATAAGCCTCCGAGCCAGCCAGGAGTCGAACCTAGAATCTTCTGATCCGTAGTCAGACGCGTTATCCATTGCGCCACTGGCCCGTCGTTGTGGGTCTCTCGATTATCTATTCTTCATTAGGATCACTAAGAAAATAGTTGGTTTGCAATACAACCAGGCGTACATTGAACAAGACTGTGGATTCTAGCAAAGCGCGATTGTCTTTGTGGTCAATTTAAATAAGTTTCACTCCCTTCAGATATTTATATTTATAAAGAAATTTTCTGCTTTGGAACATCATGTACATAATAGAGTTACTGTCGTTGACATTTGTTTACTTGATGTGCCCACTTCTTTCTTTTTTTCTTTTCTTTTCGTTTTTTTTTCTTTATGAGACGGAGTCTCCTTCTGTCACCAAGGCTGGAGTGGAGTGGCGCGATCTCGGCTGACTGCAACCTCCGCCTCCCCGGCTCAAGCGATTCTCCTGCCTCAGCCTCTCGATGAGCTGGGATTACAGGCGCGCGCCACCACGCCAGGCTAATTTTTTGTGTTTTTAATAGAGACAGGGTTTCACCATGTTGGCCAGGCTGGTGTCGAACTCCTGACCTCAAGTGATCAACCTGCCTCCCAAAGTGCTGGGATTACAGGCGTAAGCCACGGCGCCCGGCCTGGGAGATGTTTCTTAATGTCTTTTCTGTTGCATAAAGTATGAAATTATTTTCTCTGTAAGGATTCTTTGGTTATGTTTCTTTTGTTATGGTTCTTTGGAGAATGAAATGGAAAACATATGATGTGTACCTCAAGAAAGTATTCCATTTTCTTTTTCATTATCTCAAAATTTTTAAAGTATTTGGATCTCTGATCACTGTTCCACACAAAGCATCAGTATCCAACACAAGTATGTTTAAAAAATGAAATTATTTAATGAATGAGCAGATGCACCGACTGCATAAATTAATGAAGCTTTCACAAGTGCAATAGACACAAGGGGGCGGTGGCTCACGCTTGTAATCCCAGCACTTTGGGAGGCCGAGGCGGGCGGATCACCTGATGTCAGGAGCTGGAGACCAGCCTGGCCGACATGGTGAAACCCCGTCTCTACTAAAAATACAAAAATCAGCCGGGAGTGGTGGCGCGCGCCTGTAATCCCAGATACTCAAGAGGCTGGGGCAGGAGAATCGCTTGAACCCGAGAGGCGGAGGTTGCAGTGAGCCGAGATCGCGCCAGTGCACTCTAGACTGGGCGAGAGAGCAGGACTCTGTCTCATTAAAAAACAAAAACAAAAACAAAAAGCGGGTACATCAATGATAGATAATCGACAGACGCAGACTGAGTGGCCAGTAGTCAAAAGCGCAACCGAGGGCCAGTGGCGCAATGGATAACGCGTCTGACTACGGATCAGAAGATTCTAGGTTCGACTCCTGGCTGGCTCGGGTGTTAATCTTGGCTTTTTTTTTTTTTTTTTTTAAGAAAAATATCCTGTGTGTTTTCAAACTGATGACAGAAACCGGTTCTTAAAGTCCTTTGAAAGAAAATTCATCTGATCTGGCTCTTCACCTTGCACCGTACTGCTGCACATCACAATCGTGACCTTTAAGTCTGGTTTAAAGTTAAGTATCAAACTGAAATTTGAGACCTTAAGTCTCTTCGGAAATTGCTTTTTTTCTTTTTTTTTTTGAGACGGAGTCTCGCTCTGTCGCCCAGGCTGGAGCGCACTGGCTGCATCTCGGCACACTGCAACCTCTGCCTCCCGGGTTCAAGCAATTCTCCTGCCTCAGCCTCCCAAATAGCTGGTACTACAGGCTGACGCCGCCAGGCCTGGCTAATTTTTTGTATTTTAGTAGAGACAGGGGTTTCACCGTGTTGCCCAGGCTGGTCGCAAACTCCAGATCTCAGGCAATTCGCCCTCCTTGGCCTCCCCAAAGTGCTGGGATTACAGGCGTGAGCCACCGCGCCCGGCCTGGAAATTGCATTTTTTAAATCTCCCCTTTCTTTTTTTTTCCCAACTGATACTGAGAAATGGGTTGGTTCAAAGAGATCTCTGGAAAGACAACTCAAAAAATTCAAACATTCGACAACAAAAAGAAGTAAAGTTCTAGGCCGGGCATGGTGGCTCACGTCTGTAATCCCAGCACTTTGAGAGGCCGAGGAGGGCGGATCACCTGAGGTCAGGAGTTCGAGACCAGCCTGGCCAACACAGCTCTACTAAGCATGGCTCTACTAAAAATACAAAAATTAGCCAGACATGGTAATGCGCGCCTGTAATCCCAGCTACTCGGAAAGTTGAGGCAGGAGAATCTCTTGAACCCGGGAGGTGGAGGTTGTAGTTAGCCGAGATGGCGCCACTGCACTCCAGCCTGGGCTGTAGAGCGAGACACTGTCTCAAAATAAATAAATAAAATAAAATAAAATAAAGTTACAATACGTGCTACAAAGTGAATGAACCTTGAAAATATTATGCTAAGGAAAAGAAGCCAAACACGAAAAGCTACATATTGTATGATTCAATTTATAGAAAATGTCTAGAATAGACAAATCTGTAAAGGTAGAAAGTGTTAATATTTGCCAGGGGCTGGAGAAAGAGGGGAATGAGTACGGAGTTTGTTTGGGATGATGAGAATGGTTTGAAATTAGATAATGGTGATAGTTGCACAAGTCTGTGAATACACTAAAAAGCAGTGAATTGTACACCTTCAAAAGTTGGATTTTATGTTATGTTAATTATATCTTAATTTTTTAAATCCAAATTTAAAAAACAATATTGACCTACCGACTTTTTTTCTTTTCTTTTGAGTCTGGATCTCCCTTTGTCGCCCAGGCTGGAGTGCAGTGGCTCCATCTCGGCTTACTGCAACGTCCGCCTCCAGGTGTAAGCCATTCTCGTGCCTCAGCCTCCGGAATAGCTGTGACTACAGGTGTCCGCCGCCACCCCCGGCTAATTTTTGTATTTTTAGGCGGGGCGTGGTGGCTCACGCCTGTAATGCCAGCACTTTGGGAGGCCGAGGCGGGCGGATCACTTGAGGTCAGGAGTTTGAGACCAGCCTGACCAACGTGGTGAAACCCTGTCTCTGTTAAAAATACAAAAATTAGCCAAGCGTGGTTGTGGGCGCCAGTAATCCCAGCTACCCGGGAGGCTGAGGCAGGAGAATCGCTTGAACCCGGGAGGCAGAGGTTGCAGGGAGCCGAGATCGCGCGACTGCACTCCAGCTCGGCCCACAAGAGCGAAACCCGCCAAAAACAAAACAAAACAAAACAAAACAAAACAAAAAAGTAGAAAGGAAGGAAGGAAATTTTGAGTAGAGACGGGGTTTCGCCATGTTGGTCAGGTTGGTCTCGAACTCCTGAACTGAAGTGATCCGCCCGCCTCAGCCTCCCAAAGTACAGGGGTTACAGGCCTGAGCTACCGCGACCGACCGACATTTTTCTTTTTTCTTTTTTTTACTTTGTTTTTGTTTTTGTTTTTTTGGTTTTTTGTTTTTTTCAGACGGAGTGTTGCCCTGTTGCCCAGGCTGGACTGGAGTGCAGTAGCAGGATGTCAACTCACTGCAGCCTCTGTCTCCCGATTTCCAGCGATTCTCCTGCCTCAGCCTCCCGGGTAGCTGGGATTACAGCAGTATGCCACCGCGCTCGGCTAATTTCTTATTTATTTATTTATTTATTTTTGGTATATTTAGTAGAGATGGGGTTTCGCCATTTTGGCCATTATGGTCTCGAACTCCTGACCTCAGGTGATCCGTCCGCCTCGGCCTCCCAAAGAGCTGGGATTACAGGCGTGAGCCGCCGCCCAACCACTTTTTTTAGTATTTTAAATCAAGTATCTTTTTGTTTGTTTGTTTCTTCTGTGCCTATGCTTACCCAGACAGTTTCTTCATTTATTTTCCCCCGCCTTGGGCAGGCTTCCACTCTTCAGACCCTTTCCTGCACAACTTTGTCCCTGAGCATAGGTCCTGGACGTAAAAGAAGGGACATCGTCTGGAGAAATATTGAATTAAGAAAGGCGCGGCTGTGAAGAATAGAAATCAGTGTCTCCCTTAGTCTCTCAGTTCGGCGATCTTGGTAATGCCCTGTCCCATGCCTGCTAACGCGATTCAGCCTCGATATCCCCGTCCAGTCCCACGATCGCACCAAGAAGAGCTTGCGAGCCTTCCTGCTACATACTGACATTAAGAAACCGGACTTGAAAGGGATCCCAGACAAACGTTAAACATGCAACAAGAGGGATAGGGTGTAAGGAAGAGAATCCTTGGGGCGGTGTCTGATAAAACAGATGGCTCTCCTTTCCAGGTGTTTCTGAATTTGATCCCCGACGCCTGGGGCATCGTGGAGGAACTTGCATAGGAAATCAAGGTGTCGCAGGAAAGAGAACACGCACAAGCAAAAGATACCTTAATTTGTAGTATACTCAATATTTATCGTACAGAAGTGTATCGACGATAGACAATGTGCGATGTGATGGGTGCTGGGAACTTAACGAACTCTCCACGCGCCTAGACCTCATTGGATCCACTTTCTCTTGGGCTGTGAGCCGGTAAAAAAAAAAGGGGTGGATGTGGAGGACGGTCCAAAGGATTCGGAGCTCCTTAAAATGCTACTCAAACTTTATTTAGCGCGCTGGAGAATCCCTGAGAAGGAGTATTATACCCAGTTTTCCGGGACTTACCTCCAGTGATTCTACGTCGATTCTTTGATGAGGCCCATTAATTTTTAGCTGGGTGATGCCGACCAGACTGTAAGTAGCACTGTATTCGTGCATTTTCTTTTATCGCCCACTTTTTGCAACTAACACCAACAGAGAACTTCCACGGTAGAAGGTGAAAAATTGAGCGTCTACCGGGAGTGGGACTCACAATCTTATGTTACTGGGCTTTAACCAACCGAGGTAATTCCCTTCTACTTTCAAGATTTTTATTTTTGTTTTCGTGTTTAATAAACGTGTAGATTTCGTCGCATTGTTTTGTTCTGTTCTGTGGCGGCTTTTTCATAGAAAGACAACACCAACCTGGGCATGGTGGCGTGACTCTGTAACTATACTCAGAAGGCTGAGGCGGGAGAATCGCTTAAGGCCTGCAATTGAAGGCCAACTTGGACAACAGAATGAGACCCTCGTCTCCAATAAAATACACAATTTTTTTGAAAAAGACAACATCTCCCCCTTAAACAAAACATTCTCTTCTGAAAATGCATTCTCTTAATCTCCTTTCTTTTACTGATACTGAGAAAGGGGTTGGCTGAAAGAGATCTCTGGAAAGACAACTCAAAAAAATCAAATAAAGAGTACTATTTGGCGGGGTGCGATGGCTCACGCCTGTAATGCCAGCACTTTGGGAGGCTGAGGCAGGTGGATCACCTGAGGTCAGGAGTTCGACACCAGCCTGGCCAACATGGTGAAACCCCATCTCTACTAACAATACAATAATTAGCCTTGTGTAGTAGCAGCCACCTGTAATCCCAGCTACTTAGGAGGCTGAGGCAGGAGAATCACTTGAACCTGGGAGGCGGAGGTTGCAGTGAGCTGAGATCACCCCATTGCATTCCAGCCTGGGCCATAAGAGCGAAACTCCATCTCAAAAAAAAAAAAAAGTATTATTTATCTATAAAAAGAAATGAAATTCTAATACAAGCTATGACATGAATGAACATTGAAAATATTATACTAAGAAAAAGAAGCCTTTGACCTTTGATATGATAAGCAGATTGGGACCCCATCCCACTCCACTGAAAAAACTACAGAGATTGTATTTGAAGATAAAATACTTTCTTTTCTCCTGAGTATTCTAGAGCAGCACTGTCCACAACAGCCACTCACACATATTTCAAAAACATAGTACAAAAACAGAAAGAAAGAAAAAAGAATTCTCATATTTTCTTGATAACATGTTTAAATGATAATATTTGGAGTTAAAATATATTAGAAGTAGCTGGGCACAGTGGTATGCTCTTGTAATCCCAGCTATTCCAGAGGCTGTGGAAAGGGGAATTTCCTGAACCTAGGAGTTTGAGACCAACGCGGGCAATACAGCGAGCCCCCTTCTCTTAAAAAAAATAAAATTAAATTAATTTCACTTGTTTAACTTTACTTTCTTAGTATTACTAGAAAACTTAAAATTACCCACTATATGATATTATATGTTAACTCATATCTTCTTGTGGTTATTGATGTGGTAACATCAGTAAAGTGCTATCAATTTACCAGGGGCACAGTGCCTTTGAGCAGACTCCAGACTCTATAATGCTGTCATATTGCATTTGTTTTTCATCAATAAATACATATGTTCTTCTCTTAAACCAATTTCTTTTTTTCTGTGTGTGTGTGTGTGTGTGTGTGTGAGAGAGAGAGAGAGAGAGAGAGAGAGAGAGAGACGGAGTCTTGCTGTCGCCCAGGCACTCCATGGCAAAATCTCAGCTCACTGCAACCTCCGCCTCCTGGGTTCAAGAGGTTCTCCTGCCTCAGCCTCCCGAGTAGCTGGTATTACAGGCGCCCACCACCATTCCCAGCTAATGTTTGTGTTTTTTAGTAGAGATGGGGTTTCACCATGTTGATAAGGCTGGTCTCAAACTCCTGGCCTCAGGTGATCCACCTGCCTCAGCTTCCCAAATTGCTGGGATTACAGATGTGAGCCACCGTGCCCAGCCTCTCTTAAACCAATTTCTAGGGTGCAAAAATGGTAAACTCCTCATACTAAATTTCTTTTCCTGATTTTCTTTTTTCATTCAAGAGAGATCTATGGGTTGGCTAAAGAGCTTGCTTAGTAAACTGAAGATCCTGGATTTCAGTTTGGTAGGGCTTTCTATAGGCTTTGTAATTTTTACAAGTGTAGCTCTATCTTTGTTGCATACAGTTTAAGGAATTCATTCTTGATGACATCTGTGTTATTCATTTGTTATATGCTGTGGAAAACTAAAAAGCCTGAGGTCTAGTTCATCAATTTAGTTTTTGAGGGTGGCAGGAAGTCTTTAAGGAAGAAAGGAGGAAAGACTGGATGGAATATGCTACATGATGGAAGCCGCATGAACAATCATTCCCTACATGGCATGACTAAAGCACTGTCAATTATTTATTGGGAACAAAAAAATTTTAGAATTTTCAGGTCTGGTGCGGTGGCTCATGCCTGTAATCCCAGCACTTTGGGAGGCCGAGGCTGGTGGATCACTTGAGGTCAGGAGTTCGTGACCAGCCTGGCCAACATGGTGAAACCTGTCTTTACTAAAAATACAAAAATTAGCCAGGCATGGTGGTGGGCACCTGTAATCCCAAGCTACTCAGGAGGCTGAGGCAGGAGAATCACTTGAACCCAGGAGGCAGAGGTTGCAGTGAGCCGAGATGGCAGCCCCTGCACTCCAGCCTGGGAGCAAGACTCTGTCTCAAAAAAAAAAAATTAGTGTTTTCATCTGATGACAATTTCCTTGTCCTATACAATAAGATTACCAATGATTTCTTTTGCAATCATTGAATATTTTGTCTTTTATCTATGACTTTACCATTTGAGAACACGCAATAAGAACTCCAGTAGTTACTGGAAATCAATTTTGTATGATTTTCAATTACAAAATTTCAATTTTGTATGATCTCCACAAAAATTGTTTTTTTTTGTTTGTTTGTTTGTTTGTTTTTTGAGAGGGAGTTTCGCTCTTGTTCCCCAGCCTGGAGTGCAATGGCGCGATCTCAGCTCAACCAACCTCCGCCTCCCGGATTTAAAGTGATTCTCCTGTCTCAGCCTCCCAAGTAGCTGGGATTACAGGTGCCCACCACCATACCCAGTTAATTTTTTTTTTTCTGTTTTTAGTAGAGACGGGGTTTTGCCATGTTGGTCAGGCTAGTCTCGAATTCTTGTCCTCAGGTGATCCACCTGCCTTGGTCTCCCAAAGTGCTGGGATTACAGGTGTGAGCCACTGCACCCGCCTCCACTTTCTTTTCTCCACTTTCATGGAAGTCAATAGAATGGAGCTGGACACTGGAGAAGTTGAGAGGTCTGCAGGAGCTGCTGGAACCAGAAAGCAAAACTCTTTTCCTCCTGCAAAGTCTCTCCAGCACCCACACCTGACAAAATTCAGTGCCAGCTGGCACAAGAAAAAAAAAAATTAAAGGGCCCAGATCCCATTTCAAAAAGCAGTCTAAAAGGATGAATTGCAGGTTGAAACGTAAAAAAAGCAATCATGCGCACAGATGGCTCCATAATGAGCAAGATCGCAGAGCAGTGCCCCCAAACAGTATCTTCCAACTCATAACACACTGAAAACTGCTAAGTAGGTACCATCAATTATGCACTTTTAAATAGTGAGTGATCCATATATGTGCTGTTGTCTTTTTCTTCTGTTCTTTTTGGGTTTTTTGTTTTTTGTTTTTGAGAGACAGAGTCTTGCTCTGTCACCCAGGCAGGAGTGCAGTGGCAGGATCTCACCTCACTGCAACCTCCGCCTTTCTGATTCAAGCGATTATCCTGCCTCGACTTCCCAAGTAGCTGGAATCACAGGCACCCGCCACCATGGCCAGCTAATTTTTGTATTTTTCTTAGTAGAGACGAGGTTTCACTATGTGTTAGCCAGGCTGGTCTTGAACTCCTGAGCTCAGGTGATCGACCTGCTTCGGCCTCCCAAAGTGCTGGGATTACGGGGGTGAACCACTGCACCCCGCTTGTTATTTTGTGTGGTTTTTGTTTTTGTTTTTGTTGTTTGTTTGTTTTGAGACAGAGTTTTGCTCTCGCCGTCCAGGCTGGAGTGCAATGGCACAGTCTCGGCTCACTGCAACCTCCACATCCTGGGTTAAAGCAGTTCTCCTGCTTCAGCCTCCCAAGTAGCTGGGATTACAGGTGCCTGCCACCAGGCCTGGTTGATTTTTGTATTTTTAGTAGAGATGGGGTTTCACCGTGTTGGCCAGGCTGGTGTGGAACTCCTGACCTCAAATGATCCGCCTGCCCCGGCCTCCCAAAGTGCTGGGATTACAGGCATGAGCCACTGCGCCCAGCTTCTTCTGTTCTTTTCAACTCACTTTAGATATTTCTGGATGATCGGTTTACCCTTTCCTCCTCTAGTTCTCTTTTTTTCAGGCTAAGCCACATATATGTCCTTTAAAGTTGCCAATCTGACTGAACCTGAAACACCACATGTAGTTTTTGTATACTTTATCGTCAAACACATTTACTTCATATTTAAATTATTTCCTATTAACATAATTTTGATTTCCAAAACCTCTTTTTTGGTTTTTCGTTTTGTTTTGTTTTTGTGGTTTTTTTTTTTTTTTTTTTTTTTTGAGACAGAGTTTTGCTCTTGTTGTCCAGGCTGGAGTACAATGGCGCGATCTCGGCTCACCGCAACCTTCGCCTCCCGGATTTAAGTGATTCTCCTGCCTCGGCCTCCTGAGTAGCTGGGATTACAGGCATGTGCCACCGTGCCTGGCTAATTTTGTATTTTTAGTAGAGACGGGGTTTCTCCATGTTGGTCAGGTTGGTCTCAAACTCCTGACCTCAGGTGATCCGCCTGCCTCAGCCTCCAAATGTGCTGGGATTACAGGCGTGAGCCACCGCGCCCGTGCTTTTTTTTTTTTTTTTTTTTTTTTGGTTTTATGAAAGCTTTTCTTCATTGGATCCTAGTCCTTGTTATTGGATACAGTATTGTTTCTCTCCCTTCTGAAGATATTAGTGAGATATGATATAATATGATATATGATATAAAGTTTTTCCTGCAGTCTGTGTCCTTAAATTGTATTTTAAAAATCTCTTTTTATATCCTTCCTCCCTCCCTCCATCTCTCTCTCTCCCCCACCTCTCTCTCTATATATATTTGGTGATCCTTGCACTATACACGTTGTATTAGTTTGTTATCACTTCCATAACAAAGTACCACAGATTGTGTGATTTAAACAACAGACATTTATTTTCTTACATTTCTGGAGGCTAGAGGTCAGAAATTATGGTGTCAACAGGATTTGTTTGTTTGTTTATTTTATGCTTCTCTCCCTGGTTTGCAGATAGCCATCTCCTCCACGTCCTCACATCCTCTTCCTTCTGGGTGTGTCTGTGTCCTAATCTTTTCTTTCAAAGACATGTCATACTGCATTATGGTCAATTCTAAACACCTCATTCAAAGGCCCCATCTCCAAAGATAGTCACATTCTCAATTAGTACGTGTTAGGACTTCAAAATATGAATTTGGTAAAGAGGGGAGGACACATATTAATCTTTGACACATATATTTAAGAATAGGAGACTAAAATGCTGATTGAGGCTGGGCATGGTGGCTCAAGCCTGTAATCCCAACACTTGAGAGGCCAAGGTGGGTATATCACTTGAGGCCAGGAGTTTGAGACCAGCCTGGCCAACATGGAGAAATTCCACCCCTACTAAAAATACAAAATAAATAAATAAATAAATAAAAATAGCCGGTTGTGGTGGCACGTGCCTGTAATCCCAGCTACTCAGAAAGCTGAGGCAGGAGAATTGCTTGAACCCCGGGAGGTGGAGGTTGCAGTGAGCTGAGATCCTGCCACTGCACTCCAGCCTGGGTGACAGAGTGAGACTCTGTCTCAAAAAATAAAATAAAATAAAATAAAATGCTGATTGAGAAGACAATGTAGTCATATTTTTCCTATCATTCCCACTAAACACAGTTAAAAACCCTGGACATCATATATAAAACAAACATAAGAAGACTTCGAAAAGTGGAGAGAAGGCAAACTGGTGGGAGAACTTTCGACCTGAGGAAAGACACGTTGGTAAATTTCTTAATTTTTTTTTTTTTAATTTCATGTATCCTGGACTGAGTGCTGGAGAAGCCAACAACCCATCAACACAGACAAAAAAGCCACAGGAAAAGCAAGCTTTCTCTAGCCAAATGACAAGAAAAAGAGCAGCCTAGCAAGACAAAACTTACAGACAATAATTCTCTATTCCAACAGCACACTACAGAAAACGCTGAACTCCAATATCCCTACTCCCTCATTCTCCACCTGAAAGGCCCAGTCGGTAGCCCAAACTCTCACCTTTGGCCAGCAGCTGAGGTGGTTTCAGAGAAGGCCAATTGTGGAACTGAGATCTTTAACCTTATTTGGTAGTATCACTGCCATCTTCACACTTGCTAACCCCAGCCTGATCGGAAGCTCAGAGCACTTGAGTGTGGTTCTTAAAGAGAAAAATAACTTTTGATTTATATGGCTGGGACACCGTGGTTGGGAGAAACCTCCACTGTCAGGAGACAGTAAGTAATCAGTAAGGATCAGTAAGAGGGTTGGGCAGATTTCCAGAAATCAACTTCCAGTCAACCCGGAGATCATAGTCCTAAAAATGAATTGGAGACAAAATAAGGTAAAGTTCCATTGCTTTGTAGGATGTTGTACACCTTTCAAATTTGTTAGTCTCCTCCAGGCTAGTGAGCCTCCATATTACTCACTTAATAGAATCGTCTTCTAAATATCCTGCTATAAATTTCCTCCATATTCTGAAACAGAGCAAGGGGCTATATAACTCTAAATTTCCTCAAAATGGCATTAAAACGAGATCTATTTTCACTCCCCTATCCACTACATGTACACAAACGCCACCAATACCTGAAATTTTGGGGGCTGGCTTTCACAAGGTAAGTTATATTCTTTGGCTTTTCCCAATTCTGGCTTAAGGTGAAACTTCCCTTGTGTATCACACTAGTCCTTCTGTTATTTGGTTTTCAGAATTTTGCTACTGCTTTCTACTTTCCCATTATTGTCCTTTTGTACTTATGAACGGCTCTCTCTCCTTTTTTCTTTTTTCTTTCTTTCTTTCTTTTCTTCCTTCCTTCTCTTTCTTCTCTCTCTCTCTCTCTCTCTCTGAATTTTTGGCTAGAAAGATAGCAGATGCCTGTCTTCAATACGCGATTATTGTAAACAGGTCTATTTCTAACTTACTATGATTTTTCATAATGCTTGATATTCAGAGGATTAACAAAATAATACAGTAGGCAATGAAAAGGATGCTATCCTTTATGCTCAGATTAAAATCCTAAAGGGACTCCAGCCTCCACCTAGAATATAGAAAGTTGGAAAGAATATTGCTCCTAATCTAACAATGAAAAAGTCCGCATAGGCCGGGGGCGGTGGATCACGCCTGTAATCCCAGCATTTTGGGAGGCTGAGGTGGGCGAATCACCTATTACCTGACGTCAAGAGTTTGAGACCAGCTTGGCTAACATGGTGAAACCCTGTCTCTACTAAAAATACAACAACAACAAAAAAAACTAGCAGGGCATGGTGGCTCATGCCTGTAATCGCAGCTACTCGGGAGGCTGAGACAGGAGAATTGCTTCAACCCGGCAGGTGGAAGTTTCAGTGAGCCGAGATGGAGCCATTGCACTCCAGCTTGGGCGATAAGAGTGAAACTCCATCTCGAAAAAAAAAGAAAAGAAAAGAAAAAAGAAAGAAAAGTCCACATAGTCTAGAGAAGCATAATTTTCCTTGAACCCACGAAAAAGTTAAGGTCTCAGACAACCACGTAGCCTGAAATCTATGGAAAAATATGTGCTTCCAAGTAGAAATGAGAAATGAATACTGGCTCAACCATAGCAATAGGATGATGATGAGGCCTCCATGCGAGAGGGTAAGAAAAATTCAGCAAAAATTCAATATTTTATGACTTGCTGAATTTAGTCTAAGTGTTTATGTCTAAGAAGGAAATTCTAGAACCCCTAGGATCAAGTACTCAAGAAGAGTTTTCACACTTTTGCAGGCTTTTCTTCACAATTCTCATAGTACTGCTGTCCTCCATGTTGCAGGAGAATTGGTTCCAGGACCCGCAAGAATACCAAAATCCACTGATGCTCAAGTCCCTTATATAAAATAACCTATGCACATCTTCCTGTATACTTTAAATCATCTCTAGATTATTTATAATACCGAATATAATGTAAATCCTATGTAAATTGTTGCTATACTGTATTTTTTTATTGTTGCATTGTTTTTATTTTTTTCAAATATTTTTGATCCTTGGTTGGTTGAGTCTACAGATGTAGAACCCGTGCTCATAAGAAATGATGGAGCAGGGCAAGAGATCAGAGAAAGCCCCTTTCAGTGGAACAGGACTGAGAGAATAGCCTGTCCCTAAAGAAAGAAAGCTTAAGCACTTACGGAGTAGCAGCAAACATGGTTATATCCAGAGAGCAGAAAATTCACAGGAGCTGAAGAAAGTAAAAAAGAATGAAAATTTCTACTTCAAGGGAGTATTAGGTACAGAATATCAGAGAATGTCAACTTCTGGGAGCAGGCAGAATGACCTCAGAGACCCTGATCACAGAGTCTGCCTGTCTTAGTCTATTTTGGGTTGCTATAACAGAATACCTAAGCTTACGTAATTTATAAAGAAAAGAGTCTTATTTGGCTTATGATTCTGGTGGCGGGAAGGTTCAACCACATGATCATCTCAACAGACATAGAAAAACATTCAATAACATTCAACACCCATTAATGATTTTTAAAAAATTAGTAAACTGGGAATAGAGAGGAGCTTCTTCAACTTGATAAAAAGCATCTGCAAAAAAAATGTAATATCATACTTAATGGTGAAAGACTGAATGACTTCTCAAGATAGGGAATGTCTGACAAGAATATCTGCTCTTACCACTCTTTTTTTTTTTTTTTTTGAGACAGAGTCTCACTCTGTCGCCCAGGCTAGAGTGCAGTGGCACGATCTGGGCTTACTGCAAACTCCGCCTCCCGGGTTCACGCCATTCTCCTGCCTCAGCCTCCGGATTAGCTGGGACTACAGGCGCCCGCCACAACGCCCGGATACCGGCTAATTTTTTTGTATTTTTAGTAGAGACGGGGTTTCTAGTAGAGACGGGGTTTCACTGTATTAGCCAGGATGGTCTAGATCTCCTGACCTCGTGATCCGCCCGCCTCGGCCTCCCAAAGTGCTGGGATTACAGGCGTGAGCCACCGCGCCCGGCCTCTTACCACTCTTATTCAACATTGTTTTAGAAGTCCTATTTAATGTAATTACACAAGACAAATAAATAAAAGCACACAGATTAGATTGTAAAGGAAGAAATAAAACTCTAGTCATAGGCAACATGATTGTCTATACAGAGAATGCAAAATAATCTAAAATAAAAAATAAATATAACCTAAAATAAATAAAAATAAATAAATATAACCTAAAAATAAAATATCTGAAATAGAATAATAAAAGAATATAGTAAGACTGTGAGATAAAAGGTAAATAAATAAAAATCTATTGTATTTCTATGTACAGAGGTACCTCCACTTACGGTGGGGCTACATTCCAACGAACCTATTTCAAGTTAAGAATATAAATCAAGGCCGGGCGCGGTGGCTCACGCCTGTAATCCCAGCACTTTAGGAGGCCGAGACGGGCGGATCACGAGGTCAGGAGATCGAGACTATCCTGGCTAACACGGTGAGACCCCCCCCCCCCATCTCTACTAAAAATACAAAAGAATTAGCCGGGCGTTGTGGCGGGCGCCTGTATTCCAGCTACTCCGGAGGCTGAGCCAGGAGAATGGAGTGAACTCGGGAGGCGGAGCTTGCAGTGAGCCGAGATCGCACCGCTGCACTCTACCCCAGCCTGGACGACTGAGCGAGACTCCGTCTCCAAAAAAAAAAAAAAAAAGAATATAAGTCAAAAATGCATTTAGTACCTCCCCACTAAAAAAACCCATCACAAAGTTTAGAAAATTTAAGGCAAACCATGGTAAGTCAGTTACTGTATTAGAAATGAACAATTAGGGCCCGGTGCCATGGCTCACGCTCACGCCTGTAATCCTGGCTAGATCACCTGAGATCAGGAGTTTGAGACCAGCCTGGCCAACATGGCAAAACCCCGTCTCTACCAAAAATGCAAAAAAATTAGCCAGGCGTAGTGGCAGGCGCCTGTAATCCCAGCTACTCGGGAGGCTGAGGCAGGAGAATCGCTTGAACCCGGGAGGCGGAGGCTGCAGTGAGCTGAGATTGCGCCATTGCACTCCAGCCTGGGCAACAGAGCGAGACTCTGTCTCAAAAAATAAAATGTCTGATTATTGTAGTTTGCTCAGAAAATATAAGGAGCTCTCAGAACTCAATAATAAGAAAACCAAACAATAACGAATATTTAAGCACACACTTTGCCAAAGATTATATATGGCCAACAGATAAACACATATACTTTATGAAAATATACTTTAATCTTTAGGGAAATGCAAATCAAAATCACAGTAAGATACTAATGTATTTTTGCTAGAATGGCTAAAAAATTAAAACATAATTTAAAACAAGCATTGGTGAGAATGAGGGGGAACATAAACTCTAATATATGGTTCCTGGGAATTTAAAACGGTATGAATTGTTGCTGGAAATTTAAGACAGTATGACTGCTTTGGAAAGCAAGTCAGCAGTTTCTCATGAAACTTGTAATACAAAAGTGATAAACACTACATGAAGGTCCAATATCACTGTGAAGAAGGACAGGAGAGAATTCTAAAAATAGCAGGGCTCAAACAACAATTGGTTGCAGTCATCGGATGCAAGGATAGTCTCTCACTAAGTATATACAGCAGTCGGATTACACATATTTTTCTTTTATAAAACTATAACCACACCGAGGATCATTTCCTTTCATTTTCCTGTCAAGATTGATTTAGGTTAGCCAATTATCTCCTGCTCGTTGAAATAAATTTAAAAGCACATTATTTACTTATTGATGTTTTCCTATAATGTCTTAGCTGAACATTTCTAGTCTGAAAGACTATTTGCATTCGACAATCTTGCTCGCATTTGGGATAATTTCTCCTACTTGAGTCTGATTTTTGTAAGGAATATTGAGAGCCTTAATAGTGGAGTTGGGCTTCTCTGAGTCCCGCTCTCTGGCAACAAAAAAAAGCAGTGCTTGTGGGATTCGCTTTTGCCTGCATCAGAGCCAAAGAGAACCTAAACGCAAAATATTTCACAATTTCCCTTCTTTTGGAACTGAATCGCCTGCAGAATTCAGGTCTCTTTAGGTAGAACATCCACTTAGGCTCTCCTCTTCCCACAATTCCTTTTTTTTGAGACAGAGTCTCACTCTGTCGCCCAGGCTGGAGTGCGGTGGTGCGATCTCAGTTCACCGCAACCTCCGCCTCCCTGGTTCCGGCGATTCTCATGTCTCAGCCTCCGGAGTAGCTGGGCTTACAGGCGTGCACCGCCACACTCTGCTGATTTTTTTTTTTTTTTTTTTTTTTTTTGAGACGGAGTCTCGCTCTTGTCGCTCGGGCTGGAGTGCAATGGCGCGATCTCGGCTCACTGCAACCTCCACCTCCCGAGTTCAAGCGATTCTCCTGCCTCAGCCTCCCGAGTAGCTGGGATTACAGGCGCCCGTCACCGCCCTTGGCTAATTTTTGTATTATTAGTAGAGACAGGGTTTCGCTATGTTGGCCAGACTGGTCTTGAACTCCTGACCTCAAGTGATCCGCTCGCCTCAGCCTCCCAAAGTGCTAGGATTACAGGCTTGTCAATGTACTTGAATACATCCCACAGTGATAGGAATGTATTCAAGACTTGAATACACTGTGCTGTTAGGCCATAGGAATTGTGGGAAGAGGCGTCTCCTACTTAATACTGCTCACCGAAGCAATTTCCTTGAAGATTAAAAAAAAAAAAGTAGTGTTGGGCAGAATATTGTTTAATAACCTTCGTTATTATTTGAAGCGTTTACACGCAAAGTGAGAAGGTTGTCATATTAGTTTTTATGTAAGCATACCTGGCTTCCAACTCTGCGGCAGAAACCGCAAACGTCAAAGTACACACCAACGCTTACCGGGAGTGGGGCTCGAACCCACGCGGACACCTGTCCATTGGATCTTAAGTCCAACGCCTTAACCACTCAGCCATCCCGGTGATAACAGCCAGTTTTGTTGTCAACGTTTACTAGGCTAGAATTTGTAGTTTCTGGAAGATTATGAGTAATTTTATATCCGCGAAAACTAGGACCATGTTTAAAAGAGTGTACAAAGTTAATAAATCTTTCTAATATTGCTTGGAAATAAACAAATGAAAAGATATATTTCCAAAAGTATGACTTAATCACTAATTTGCGACAGGCATTATGCTAGGTGTTAGGGAAAGACGAACCATCCCTGATTCCTTGGACTTCCATTAAAATGAGGCGTGTTGAGGGAAATCCACGCCTGTCAATGCTAGGATCAGAGCTGAATCCTAAAGATTCAGCAACCTCCGCCTCCCGGGTTCAGGCGATTGCTGGGTGTAGGAAAGAACATGTCAGAGAAAAGAGTCTCCCATACATTGACATACAGAAGAGTTTTTAATTATTCTATTGTTGTGATTTTTTAAAACATGGACTATACAGTATAATCATCTGTGGATTTTGTAAAATATACTTATCTAGATAGTTTAAATTCCTACATATGACAGACAAAAAAATAATAGAAACGTAGAAAAATAGCTTTATTATCTAGGGGACAGAATAACATTAAACAAACAAACAAAACTAAAAACACAAACAATAGGCCGAGCGTGGTGGCTCACGGCTGTAATGCCAGCACTTTGGGAGCCCGAGGAGGGCGGATCACCTGAGGTCAGGAGTTCGAGGCCAGTCTGGTCAAGATGGCGAAACCCCGTATCTACTAAAAAATACAAAAATTAGCCGAGGGTGGTGGCATGCGCCTGTAACCCCAGCTACTCGGGAGGCTGAGGCAGGAGAATCGCTTGAACCTGTGAGGCGGAGGTTGCAGTGAGCCGAGATCGTGCCACTGCATTCCAGCCTGAGCAACAGAGCAAGACTCCGTCTCAAAAAAAAAAAAAAAACCACAAACAGTAAAGCAAAACACTGATATGGTCTGCTGCACCCAAATCAAAGAAAGCCACAATGGAACAGTAAATAGACAAATACAACCAAAGTAGAAGATACTTGAAATATTTACAAATGAAAATAACTTAATCTACATGATATAGTAAGAAGCCATTAAAATCAGCAAGATCAAACAGCAAGCTCAATAGAAAATGTGTAAAGAAGCTGGGCGCGGTGTCTCAAGCCTGTAATCCTAGCACTTCGGGAGACCGAAGCTGTCGGATCACCAGGTCAGGAGTTCGAGACCAGCCTGGCCAATACGGTGAAACCCCGTTTCCACTAAAAATACAAAAATTAGCAGGGCGTGGTGGCAGGCGCCTGTAGTCTCAGCTGCTCGGGAGGCTGAGGCAGCAGAATCGCTTGAACCCAGGAGGTAGAGGTTGCAGTGAGCCGAGATTGTGCCACTGCACTCCAGTCTCGGTGACAGAGCAGGACTCTGTCTCAAAAAGAAAAAAAGAAAGAAAAGAAAATATATAAAGAATAGGGACAGGGTCCTCATCAAACCCATGATAAGAAGAACCTGAAAAGATTAACATTTTAAATATTTAATATTATCAATATAAAATGCAAGATAAAATAAGTTATTACTCAACCTACATTACATTGGAAGAATTAGAAAGCTTGATGTGTCCATTATTGCAGAAATGGGAATATGGAAGCCCTCATATCCTGCTGGTGGAAGTTTATATTAATGTAGCCATTTTGGAAAGCAGTCTAATACTTTTTACTCAAGTTAAGATTGACACACTCAATGACCTAGGTATTCGGCTCCTAGGTGTATATTCCCCCTCATGTCACAAAGATATAGATTGTATCATATGTGGATGTTAATTGCCTCACTATTTTTCCTCTTCCAGAATCAGATTCAGCCTTGAAGCCAACATTGAACAGTAGATACGTGAAGTGTGGTAAACACATAATATTAAATATTATGCAACTATGAGATGTACTAGAGTATATGTAAATGTACCAATCTTTTTTTTTTTTTTTTTTTTTCTTGAGATGGAGTCTCACTCTTTCACCCAGGCTGGAATGCAATGCCATGATCTTGGCTCACTGCAACCTCCACCTCCCTGGTTCAAGGAATTCCCCTGCCTCAGTCTCCCGAGTAGCTGGGATTACAGGCACACGCCACCACGCCCGGCTAATTTTTTTTGCATTTTTAGTAGAGATGGAGTTTCACCATGTTGGCCAGGCTGGTCTCGAGCTCCTGACCTTGTGATCTGCCTGCCTTGGCCTCCCAAAGTGCTGGGATTACAGGCCTGAGCCATAGCGCCTGGCCGCATGTACCAATCTTAAAAAGAAATTTTTTTTTAAAAAGATACTTGGCCGGGCGCGGTGGCTCACGCCTGTAATCCCAGCACTTTGGGAGGCCGAGGCGGGTGGATCATGAGGTCAGGAGATCGAGACCAGCCTGGCTAACAAGGTGAAACCCCGTCTCTACTAAAAATACAAAAAATTAGCCGGGCGCGGTGGCGGGCGCCTGTAGTCCCAGCTACTGGGGAGGCTGAGGCAGGAGAATGGCGTTGAACCCGGGAAGCGGAGCTTGCAGTGAGCCGAGATTGCGCCACTGCAGTCCGCAGTCCAGCCTGGGCGACAGAGCGAGACTCCGTCTCAAAAAAAAAAAAAAAAAAAAAAAAAAAAAAGATACTTAACACAATAAGATTTTCCCTTCTGTTAGCACTAATCATTCTGCTCTCTGGCATTCAAAATCTTGCTACTTGCTACTGCTCATCATTTTCTCATCTTTTTGTCCCTGTGTATTTATGTCTTTAAACACCCTTAATGCTTTGTATAAGTGTAGTTTGGAATAAAGAGAAAGCAAAAGCTGTGCTTAATTTGCCATCATTATAATTAGGTCTATCTGTGACTTACTATGATTTTTTCTCACCATGGAATCCTAAGGATTGGTAAAATAGTGTGTGGTGATATCCACTTGTGGTGATAGGGAACCATCATTTTATTGGGATCAAATACCAAAGAGTCTAGAAAATAAAATTTTACGTCAAATTTTCTTGTCTCTCATTTCACCACTTCAGTCTATTGAGGTTAAGCTGAAAGAACAAATATCACATCCAGGACAGAACCTCATTTGCAAGCTGCTTGCTATTTTTCTGACCACTTTCCCTAAGTTCTGACAAATGCTGGCTCAGTTACTACTATTCCGCCTTCCTTACCGCTCCAACTTTTCAAAATATAGAGCTAAAAGCCAGATCCACATGAGCTGCCCTAGAAAGACGCAAATGCCTTTATATCCTGGGCATTTTCTATTCCTGGGGTTCTGGACTCAAGACCTTCTCAGGCCATCTGAATCCCTGGCCTACTCTTTGTTGGCTGAAGCTGGCAGCTTTCCACATTTTTCACAGCTTCCATGCTAGTCTCAGAAATCAGCTGTTAATTTGGTATTCTGAATGTTTGGCAATTGTAAGCACTTGGGCTTTGTGGAGGGCCCTTTATGGAAGCCAGAAAAAAATGAGGAAATGTTAGCCAGACCCCAGAACCCTGTAGTCTGCTGGAGCAGGCAACCAGATGATAACAATTGTAAAATAATTCATTGGTCTCTCTATTATGAAATTTAAAAAGCAGGATAAAGGGATCAGTCCTTGGTTTATTTTGGATCTCCTGCAGAGCAAAACCATGACCTTCTGCATATAACACACAGTGATAATCACTACACTAACACAAAATGTCATAGCTGAGGACAGGTACAAATGCTAGAAAAAAAATGGCTACAGTAAAATCCAAGGATAGTCTCACTACAAGATAAAGTAAGGAGAGTATTTCAAGTGCTAAACAATTTTATATGCATCTCAATTGGCACAAGTTTGAAAGACCCATCAATTACAATACACTGAAAAAAGGTAAGTTTAGATATCCAAAACTGAACTCTTGATTGTTACTTGTTCTCATTCATTCATTCACTAAAGAAATGTTAATTAATTCTCTACTAAAAGTCCTAAGCCAGAGACTATTAAGTAGCTGGGAATAAAGCAGTGGACACGACAGACAAAATATCCTTTTCCTCATGGAATTTATGTTTTAATTCCTATCAAATAGCTGTTGATGATCAAATATGCTATCTTTTGACGAAAATTTTTACCATAGTTAGCAGAACTCTATCGCTTCTTTAGGATTTATAAAATCTAGCCTACTAGATGCTTTTCACTATGCTAAGGATGAGATAATTATGGATGAGGAAGCTTATCCTCATGTTCATATATATATATGTATATAAAACAGCAAAAAATACATAGTGTGAGAAGCATATATACATATATATACATATGTGTAAATATACATATGTATTTATTACCAATTACCATGTATGATATATAGATATTTGCTCATTGGTAACTGATCCTAATGAATACGGTTGTTCTGTCTTGATTTTAAACTTCCCCTTACACACCCAAGCTATTTATTTCTTGTTATACGCCTTTGCATGAACACTGCGTCTGCCTTTTGTTTCAAACCTCAAGAAAGAGTCTCATTTAGGAGTAAGCGGGACTTTGAATGAATCTCACTGACAGGCTGCTAGCATGAAGAAAAAAATACTCGAGGTCACCAATATCCTGCTTAATTTTCAGTCATCGAGAAATGAACATTAGAGCGTCTTATGAGAGCAGAGAGCAGAGAACATACCAAAAAAAAAAAATGAACTGAAATAAAATTTCCCGAGAGACTGCCTGATATTTCCCCGCCCTGTGCTTCTGAAGGAATTGAAGCTTCAGGAGAAGCATTTGCTTGATTTCGAGTTGTCGGGTTTTAAACTATGTATTCTAAGAATTAGAAAGTGTAGGGGAAAATATTACCCCTCTGCCAAAGATATACCCTGACGGAACGGATAAATTTAAAGTTCATTTTAACTAATTCAAAACTGAAAAACACTCTCACTAAGCGAGTTTCCGTAGTGTAGTGGTTATCACGTTTGCCTAACACGCGAAAGGTCCCCGGTTCGAAACCGGGCAGAAACAGAGCGTAGTTTCGTTTTTTTGGTTGTTTTTTTTTTTTTTTTTTTTTTTTTTTTTTTCTTCTCTTGAGAAGGAGTCTCACTCTGTCTCCAGGCTGGAGTGCAGTGGCGCGATCCCGGCTCACTGCAACCTCCCACTCCCTGGTTCAAGCGATTCTTCTGCTTCAACCTCCCTAGTAGCTGGGATTAGAGGTACGCACCACCACGCCCAGCTAATTTTTGTATTTTTAGTAGAGACGGGAGTTTCACCATGTTGGCCAGGATAGTCTCGAGCTCCTGACCTCGTGATCCACCCGCCTCGGCCTCCCACAGTGCCGGGATTACAGGCCTGAGCCAGCGCGCCCGGCCCATAGTTGTTTTGTGAAATTCTGAATCTGTTTATATATATATATGTGTGTGTGTGTGTGTGTGTGTGTATACACACACACTATATATATGTTTTATATATATATAAACATATATATAAACATTAGTTATATATATATAAACATTATATATATATAATTTTTTTTTGAGACGGAGTTTCGCTCTTGTTGCCCAGGCTGGAGAGCAATGGCACGATCTCGGCTCACTACAACCTCCACCTCCCGGGTTCAAGCGATTCTCCTGCCTCAGCCTCCCTAGTAGCTGGGATTACAGGCATGCGCCACCACGCCCGGCTATTTTGTATTTTTAGTAGAGGCGAGGTTTCTCCATGTTGGTCAGGCTGGTCTTGAACTCCCTACCTCAGGTGATCCGCCCACCTCGGCCTTCCAAAGTGCTGGGATTACAGGCGTGAGCCACCGCGTCCGGCCCAGAACTGGTTTTCAATCAGTTCAATCTGTCAGTAACAATCGCTTCTGTGAACACACTTTTGAAAACCAATCAGTGTCTGCTCCTGGCTTCGGAAAGTGAGCTGATCAGGGATGGACTCACTCCAATAAACATACCTATGAGTGCCGACCAAACAATGGCAGTCTCTGACAAGTAACCATGCTCCCATAGATTATATCAACCTAATGAAAAAAAGATCAGCCATCTGTTCTGTTTTCAGGGACTGTGTTTTACAATATAGCTCTCCCTCGAATGAGCTTTGATTTTGTCTTTTTAAAGTATTGAGCGGTGGTTTCGTCATCCTTTGAAAATGACCCTTTGTCAGATCTGAAATGTCTAAGTTTCGTTTCTTGCTGGGATTATTTTTACCATTTATTTTTCACATCTGTAATTCTGTGTATTCTATAAAATGATATAATCTTTACAACCACTTTGTTTTGCTGTAAATGTAGACCTTGGCAGGCTTTTGCTCCTTTATATATGTTTATCAGTCAGACTGGGCAAACAAAATCCCAATGTTTGAAAACACACTCTAATGGCGAGTCTTCAACAGTCACTCCACAAATATTTACCGAATGCCTACTCTGTCTTCAGAGCCATTCTGAGACCTGGTGATCTGGAAGAAAAAAGAAAAAAATTATGTCCTCAAAGACGAAAATTCTGATGAGAACAGACTGAGAATTTAATATGAAAAAAAGGAAAGCAAAATATGTATGCATTGTTTCCCATTGTGATTATCTTAATAAAAAATATCAATTTCAACAGTGTCCAAAGATAGCTCCAGGGGTGAGCAGACCATCAGGTAGAGGAAGCACGTGACAGGCACAAGCAGACTCCATAGGCTGGATCCTGAGAAAGGGACCAAAAAAACATGGAGTTCGGATGGACAGCGGGCATCAGACACACATCCAACCCCAGTGCTACCCCCCTCTCTAACACCCTCATTTTCTTCACTAAAATTTCTGTCTTAGGGCGTCATGTCACTTGTTCCATAAGATTTTCTTTTTTCTTTCCCAAGCTCCTTTAGAGGAGTGCAAGACTGAAATGGGTAGGTGTGACTGCTGAAGAAGAAATGGCATCATTTAATTCCGACTTTAAATTGAAGAAGCTGTTATTTCCGATGTATAGCTGGATGTGAAGTGACTGCGGCAAAATCGGAGAGAGAAGGTGAGAACCCTCGTGGCCCGTACGGGGATCGAACCCGCGACCTTGGCGTTATTAGCACCACGCTCTAACCAACTGAGCTAACCGGCCACCCGGAAAACAGTTGTTCTTTCAATTTTAAAAAAGCAAAATGTTTGTTGTTTTTGTGTTTCTTTAACACTAAAGGAAATTCTTTTCCTCTCCTCAAAGGGATGTCTTTTAAAATAATTTTAATTGCGACTACGTAATATTGTTTCTTCAAACTTCTGTTGGTGTTTTGCATTTTCCCTTCCTGCACTCCCGCAGGGAAGAAGGAAAACAAAAACAAAAACAAGGACAAGGCCAAAAACTCTACCTCCAGCAGAAAGGAACTTCGCCTCTCCCGTGGGAAATGAGATTTTCTCAAACTCACCTATTCCGCCCGGAGAAAATACTACAGAGAACCATTCACGAGAGGGGCTTCCTTCCTTTTGACCTTGGGAGGGGTCCAGAGACCCGGGGGACGATCTGGGAGCAGAAGCTGGTCGTTCTGAGTTTTCCATCCAAATGGTTTGCTTATGAAATTGACTCACCACGCGGAATGGCTGGTGGATTTGGATCGCGGCATGAGGAATCCGCTCCATAATGGAAGGAAGAAAATCTCCGGCAGCTATGCCTCGCGGGTTCATAAGGACTGGAGAGTTACTCCTTCTCTCTGGCCCCCTCAAAACGCCCGGTGGTATGTCTGTTGCTCCACTACGCGTTATTATAATTAACTGCTTGTGTTACTCTTTGTGCTGTCTTGCTCTTCATTCTCCTGGTACCTCGGGTGCCCGCACAGCATGGTAAGCTGCTCAATAGTTCAATGAATGGGGAAAAGGTGTGCAGAGGTCATTTCTGCTGATTATCAAGACTTCAATTCTTCGAAGTGGAGCACGAGGATCCTCTAGGCGGCAGGCAAATGTCATCAGGAGTCTCAACGTCTTCCCCCCAAAAAACAATATTTTCAACAGAAATCAATTTACCTCCTCATTGGTGGTGGAATGGGAAGATGGTGGAGAAAGCTGTCCTTTAATAACAGCTCGGAGGTCTCCGTTCTCCAACAAAGGACTTTGTGCATACCTTTTCTCTCCCAGTTCCCGCCGCTATGGCTGTTGGAAGACTAAGGACTTCCACTCAGCCGGGCTTCGGCGCCTCTTCCTGTCCGGGCGCGGCTACGGTTCCTGGTACACATTCGCTGCGCCTCGGGCAGCCTAAGGGTGCTCAAGTTCAACAAGGTCAGCACCCAGTTCTTTTCAGACAGGGAACACACTGGCGATGCAAACAGGGTTGAGCTGGTTCAGGTATGCATGTGTTGAAATAGACAAGTCTGCGTCCTAGAGCCCTAGCAACGATCCCGAACAGGCAGCTCTTTTTCCTGGACGATTTCCCAGGAATTAAGTCTGGCTCAGCTCTAGTTTGGTGTCCGGCTCTAGTTTGGTGCCCAGCAAATAAATTTCGAGAGGAAAGAGGAATTCAGACCATTTCTGGAGTGACAATGGTATCCACGAGCGAGTGCTCTAAATTTTCGGGCCACTTGGAGGTTTCTCGGATTTCTATTTTGAGGACAAAGACGATAACGCTAGCCTCCATGACCCTGCTGAATATCTAGGAAAACCCAAGAATTCGAGGGAGGCCGTGTTGTAATATCTGGTCTGAGTGGCCCTCTTTGGATTTGGAGGCTGTTTCCAATAGACACAAGATAAAAACTGAAGATTTAACAGAGCTTAGTCGTTAGCCAAGTTGGGCCCTTAGGCTTCAAAATATTGTTACCCACCGTCCTCCCCAATTTTTTAAAACTATGTCCCCCCATACACATTTTTGACAAATTAATATGTATCTTAAGATTAAGCAGATGTTTTTCTTTGTATTATAATTATTGACATTTTTAAAAATTAAAGTGTTGCATCATTCTTGAATACGTTGAAGATCATAAATTTTGAATAATGTAATAGTTTTATGCTTAAAATTATTTTAAGTTTTCCATAGCCTACTTACCTGCAACAACAACAAAAATATATATGTACATTACAATCAATTTGGGGGATGGCGCAGGCTTTTTTTTTTTTTTTTTTTTAGACAGAGTCTCGCTCTGTCGTCCAGGCTGGAGTCCAATGACGCGATCTCAGCCCACTGCAACCTCTGCCTCCCGGGTTCAAGCGATTCTCCTGCCTCAGCCTCCTGAGTAGTTGGGATTAAAGGTGCGCGCCACCATGCCCGACTAATTTTTGTATTTTTAATAGAGACAGGGTTTCACCATGTTGGTCAGGTTGGTCTCGAACTCCTGACCTCGTGATCCACCCGCCTCAGCCTCCCAAAGTGCTGGGATTACAGGCGTGAGCCACTGCGCCTGGCCGGCTTTCATTTTTATGAGTTCCTCTGCATTGAATTATCATTAAAATTATTACTTATATACAATCAAGCATAACAATAAAAATATTATGAATTTGGAAACTAATCAGTGAGTATAAAGGTGAAAGTAATTGGATATTTATCGAAATTACACAATTGGGCTTTTATAATTAGTTCGTGTAATTGTTGATAAATAAATGTACACATTGCCATGATAAGTCATTTCAATATTAGTTTTATGCCCAATTTATAACTACTGAGAAAATGCATTTTAGTATACAAATAAATGAAAATAGATCAGATTTTGTTACACAAATGTCTCAGAATTATTTAACAGTAAGTTATTTGCCAAAAATCACATAGTAACCCACAATAAATAATTACATTTTACACTCTATGCTAGTTGAGAACTTGACTAGATTCTCCCTTAATTTGTTTAAACCAAATAATTGGAAACTTCCTGACTTGCTAAAGGATAGTTAATTAGCAATTAGAACAATTCAATTACCCGGGAAAGACTCTTCCCACCCAGGTCTTTCCAATCGTCCCTGTGTTGAAGCCCAGAGTGTTTTGCACTTTGAGCTAAAGAACCTTGGTCATACTGAGAAGAGTGAGAGAAACACGGGGTTTTTTTTGTTTGTTTGTTTTTGTTGTTGTTTGTTTTGTTTTTGAATATAAGAAAGGCCATTGAGAAAATGCACACCTTGATATCAGGAGTGTTCTCAGACAGATCAATTTTAGAAAAAAATCTATATGGTGGTTGATGATAGCGCAGTGGTGCCATCTCGGCTCACTGCATCTTCCGCCTCTCGGGTTCAAGCAATTCTCCTGCCTCAACCTCCTGAGTAGCTGGGATTACAGGCGTGCCCTACCACGCCTGGTTAAATTTTTTTTTGTATTTTTTGTAGAGATGAGGTTTCACCATGTTCGTCAGGCTGATCTCGAACTCCTGGCCTTGTGATCCTCCCGCCTCGGCCTCCCAAAGTGCTGGGATTACAGGCGTGAGCCACCGTGCCCGGCCGGATCTTGCACTTTTTAAAATTAGGTCCTCTTGTGTTCCCAAGGGTAAAATTACCCTAATTTGATAACTGCTGCAGTAGACCACTGGACCTCATTCTCTGAAAAGATACTCACCATCTATCATGTCCCACTACTTTGTGGTACCCATACTCCTTAAGGACAGGTATTATTGAGTGTTTAAGTAATTTCAGCATGGCACTTGGTTAATAAGTAGCCAAGGCATATGAAAGTCACCCCGTTATTGCCTTTGGAAATCAGAATTGAAACATGTTTGAATTTGTGCCTTTGTAATCAGTGGAGAGAACGGGACAGATGTAACTAAACTCCGAGTAACACTAGGAAGTGGAGAGAGCGGGACAGATGTAACTAAACTCTAAGTAACACTAGGAAATATATTAAGCATGCGCATTAACAGGGTAAAAGAAACCTGCTATATGAACTACATATATGTAGGATTTCGGTCAGGGTGGTGGGAGAAGTTATAAGAGAAAATTATAGGAAAAACGCAAACCTTCTTGGAACGCCAGGAGGTTTTGTAAAAGCTTTAGGAAAGGCTTATGGCTGAAGGCAGCCTGATCCTCTTACCTTGAGCTAATAGTATAAAGCAAATAACAAGGAGATGTAAAGAAACTGATCTAGATAAGTTAGTTTACTTAGGCCTCCAACCCTGGCCTTTAATCACCCGCAGGACTGCTCTCTCCAGGGAGGGTGACCATATTAATTAGCCACAAGTGTGTTGACTCAAAGCCTTTGCCATTAAATCTGTACTGAATAAATGCCCGCAGGGCCAGCTTGTCAGGGCCGGGCTGCGTAATCTTTAGAACACCCTCCTCTGTGTGTGCAAGCAGGATGCAACAACTCCTTCTGTGAACGCCCGGTCCCCTAGCCTGCTCTTTCATTGGATATCTGTGTCTGAGTGCATTTTTTCATCCGATGTTCAGTCAGGGTCTGCGGGTCGGACCCGGCACATATACAGTGTTATGTGAAAAGGCTTTTCATGATATCCCAAATCATTTCGAATTTGTGAGAAAAAAACAAAAGTCTTACTTCTGAGCACCTTTGTGAGCGTCTGCCCTGCCATGAAAATAAGTTTCAGTTAGAAGCAAGAAAATGGAGCTCACTTCTAGCTAAACATTTTAAAAGAAAAAGGACAGTAATGCATGTCAGTTGATTTGGGACTATATATATATAATTTTTTTTTTGAGATGTAGTCTCACTCTATCGCCAGACTGGAGTGCAGTTGCATGATCTCGGCTCACTGCAATCTCCGCCTCCCGGGTTCAAGTAATTCTCCTGCCTCAGCCTCCCGAGTAGCTGGGACTACAGGCGCACACCACCACGCCCAGCTATTTTTTGTATTTTTAGTAGAGACGGGGTTTCACCATGTTGGCCAAGATGGTCTCGATCTCTTGACCTCGTGATCTACCCACCTCGGCCTCCCAAAGTGCTGGGATTAAAGGCACGAGCCACCACGCCTGGCGAGTCAACTATATTTTTAAAAAACCAGATTAATCAATAATGAAATTTTCACATATACAGCATAGACCTGAAACAAACATATGACTGACTCAGAACAGAAAGGCATTTAAAGACCTATTCTATCCTCACTGGGCATTCACTCCACGGCCCCAGTACGCTACCCGTCATTACCACCTGCACACCTGGACCTGTCTCAACCTCACAGTCTCTCCCAGACAGAAGCTAACCTAGCAGAGACGTCATGAGAGTTCCAAGGTTCATTTTGGGGAGTCTTGATTCCTTTTCAGGTCACTTGTAGGCACTAGAAAGATGCAGACCAGAAACAGCGAGATAACCAGGAGTTTCTTGAATTCAAATTCCTTCCACTAGTGCCTGAGGTTCTGGAGAAGAAGGCAACAGCTTCATAGCAAAAGGGAGTGACTAAGAAAGTGGCCCCAAGAAGAGGGCAGGAGATCTCTGAAAAAAGTTAAACTCCCAAAGGAAAAGGCAAGGATGGAGGGAAGATATGGGAAATATCTTTTGGACAGTGTCACTTTAAACAGATGGGTCTCCTTTCTCTGTGTAGCGCCAGGAAGTCCAGACTGTTGAGACAGAGTGAAGGGCTGAGAGGAAATCAAGATCACGTGGAAACTCGCTCACACAAGTCAAAAGATGCCCTTAGTTATCAGGTGGATTTCGCAATTTGTTTATAACGGTTGATTGAAGTTCATGAAAGCGCGCTGGATGGGGCGCGGGGGATTGAAATAAGTGAGCGCCCTAGTGTCCTGCCTGCGGATGATCATGAATCTGTTGGGCTGCGAATGGTTTAAAAAGGCAAAACAATCTAGGGGATGGATTTAAAGCTTCCTAGAGCATCATAATTTATCCCTTGTTTTACTGCTCAAATTGAGATGACTTCTGCTAAGAACAGTTCAGAGGAACAAAAACCATAGAGAAGTTACGGGTACTGGAAGCAAACCCACAATTTTTTGGGCACTAGAACCACACTCAAGCCCAACTAAGCTACCAATCATTCCACTGACTTGTCTTTGCTTCGAAAACATTAACTTCATCAACATTCTTCTCGTAGATAATCTTAGACCGGAAAGAAGTCCCTTCCCACCTTCCACCGCTGCCTCAATAAAAAGAATAATCTATTTTCGATTAAAACAAACAAACTTGGTTTTAAATCTTACTCATGGAGTAGACAAAGGATGCAGACGTTTTCAAACCTGCAGCTTCTGACTGCGTAATCCACGGAAATTTCTGACCCTCCTGAAGGACATCATGTCTATGCTCACCAGGGGTCTGACCCGCTGAACTTCAGGCAGCAGGCACCACTGCCCACAATAAAAAGATTCAGTTTCATGCCTGAAGGGATAATCTGGCAGCCTCTGGTCCTCTCTATTCAATGATTTTTCCTGGCGTATTTCAGTTCTCACTTTTCCAGCGTGTTCATGTTCGAAATTGGAGACTTTCTACCTGTTTGGTTCAGGTTTCTGGAGTCTAAGAAATTACATGAACAAATGGTATAGCCACTTTGGAAAACAGTTCAGTTCAATTTCTTTAAAAGTTAAATTTGATTTTAATATATGCTCTGGTAATTCCACATCTAGGTATCTACCCAAGAGAAATGAAAATGTATCTCAACAAAAAGACTAGTACACAAATGTTCATAGTGGCATTAGCCATAATAGCAAAAAGAGGAAATAAACCAAATGCACATTAACCAATTAATAGATAGCTCAAACATAGTATATCCATAAAACAGAATATTATTCAGCCATAAAAGGAAATGAAATGCTGATACCTGCTATAACATGGATGAACCTCAAAAACATTATGCTAAGTGGAAGAAGCCAGACATAAAAAAGCATGTATTGTAGAATTCCTTTTATATGGAATGTTCAAAAAAGGAAAATAAATATATAGAGAAAATAGATTAATGGTTGTCTATGGCTAGGAATAGAAATGGGAATTCACTGCAAATAGGCATGAAGAGACTTTTTGGGGGTTACTGAAAATGTTCTAAAACTGGATTCTGCTGATAGTTAAACAAATCTGTAAATCTACTTAAAAAATTAAAATTTACACTTAAAAACAGGTGAGTATTATGGTATGTAAATTATACCTAACAAAAGTGATTTTTTTTAAAAAAAGAGTTCAAGAGTCTTCTACAGTGGCTGTTTCCTTTTACATTTCCAATGCTTGTATTGCCTATCTTTATCAGAGCCATTTTTGTCAATATGAAGGATTATCTCATAGTTTTAATTTGCATTTTAGTGGCCGGGTGCAGTGGCTCACGCCTGTAATCGCAGCACTTTGGGAGGCCGAGGTGGGTGGATCTCTTGAGGTCAGGAGATCGAGACCAGCCTGGCCAACATGGTGAAACCCCATCTCTACTAAAAATACAAAATAGCCGGGCATGGTGGCGTGCACCTGTAATTCCAGCTGCTTGGGAGGCTGAGGCAGGAGAATCACTTGAACCCAGGAGGCAGAGGTTTTAGTGAGCCAAGATCATGCCACTGCATTCCAGCCTGGGTGACAGAGCAAGACTCTGTCTCCAAAAATAAATAAATAAATAAATAATAATTGCATTTTAGTAACGACTAATGATGTTGAGCATCTTGTCATGTGCTTATTGGCCATTGGTGTATTTTCTTTGGAGAAATCCCTGTTCAAACCCTTTTTCCATTTCCAATTGTGCTATTTGTCTTATTATTGAGTTGGGATAAACATCCCTGTCTTTCCAGTCTAGCAATTAAAACAACTAAGTAAATTCGTATTTATCGAAAAATAAATTTAGAAATTTATTAATACATTTTTTTAAATATAGGTTCTTACTGTGTTGCCCAATATGGAGTGCAGTGGCTATTCACAGGCTCGATCACAGTGTACTGCAGCTTTGAACTCCCAGCCCTCTCGTCCCAGCCTCCCAAGTAGCTGAGAATACAGGCATGCACCACCACACCCAACTTTAAATTCACTTATGTATTAAGGTTTTAAAAGACCCTTACGGCAACATATCAGTCCTTTTTTTTTTTTTTTGAGATGGAGTCTAGCTCTGTTGCCCAGGCTAGAGTGCAGTGGCATGATCTCGGCTCACTGCAAGCTCCACCTCCCGGGTTGAAGCGATCCTCCTGCCTCAGCCTCCTGAGTAGCTGGGATTACAGGCGCCTCCCCACCATGCCCAGCTAATTTTTGTAATTGTACTAGAGACAGGGTTTCACCATGTTGGCCAGGCTGGTCTCGAACTCATGACCTTGTGATCCAGCTGCCTCGGCCTCCCAAAGTGCTGGGATTACAAGCGTGAGCAACTGCGCCCGGCCATATATCAGTCTTTAAATAAAAGCCAAAGCCCTTTCTATGGCTTGCCAGCAGGGTTGAATCTCTGATTACTTCTCTCTTCTCATCTAATTCAAATTCCTTCATTGACTTTCCAGCCCACTAACTGTTGATGTTCCTTGGTGGTGCCAAGCAGGTTTGTGACTCAGAGTCTTTGCACCTGCTCTTTCTTGGGCCAGAAACCCTCTGACTCCAGATAACCTCATGCTCCCCCTGGCTCCTCATTCTTACCTCAAGTATTTTTTTCCCTGCCTTCCTCCCTCCCCACTCACTCCCTTGCCTCAACTCTTAGGTCACATTCTTAGGGAATTCTTTCCTGAGCAGAAAACTAATTCATTAATTAATCAATTTATCCATATAGCCTTTTGCTCACTGCATATTCATTGAGAACCTTTCAAGTGCCTTGAAGTAGTTTGGGTGTTATGGGTACACCAGTGAACAAAACAGACAAAATTGCTTCCCAGAATAAGCTTACTTCCTGGGGAATGGTTTGGGAGAGAAGTGCAATAAAATGTCATCACTATCAGGGAGTGACAACAGAAGGATCAGGGGACAGGGTCTCAGGTGTTGTGCCATTTATAAGGGTGGTCAGGTAAAACCCATTTGGTAAGATAAAATATATGAATGGGGAACTATAGGAAGTGATAAAATAAGACTTGCAGATATTTGGAGGAAAAGCATCCTAAGGAGAGCAAAAATTCTAAGGAAGGAGTGAGTCTTGTGAAATATGAAATAGTCCAATGCAGTTGGAGCAGTGAACCCAGGAGGGGTAGGAGATGAAATCATGACAGTATATACAACAGGGGGCCAGGTCATACAGAGTTTTAAAAACTGTTTTCAAAACTTTAGATTTACTTTGAGTAAGATGGGGCATCAGGGAAGTGTTCTAAACCAGGGAGTGAATGATTGTGAATGATTGGGCTAATATTTAATTCTGTCTCTCTGTCTGCTGAGTGTAGAATAAATCATGAGGCAGAAACAGGGTGACCAGCTAAAAGCCTTCCATGATATCCCAAGTCAGAGATGATGGTGGCTCAGCAGTGGTAGCACTGAAGGTAGTGAGAAGTCATCAGATTCTGGATATATTTTTTAAATTTATGGGAATAACTTTTTAAATGTACAATATTTCTCATAGTGATAAGTCCCATGAAAAAGAATTAGGAATAAAGTTTGAAAAGGAATAGAAGAGGGCCATAGGTTTGGCAATTTTTAAAAAGCTGACCATGGAAGACCTTTCTGAATGAATGACCTTTGAATAAAGATCCAGTTGAAGTGAGGGAGCAAACCACGTGGGTATATAGGGAAATCACAATCCATAGGGTGGGAACAACAAGAATAAGAACCCTAAGGCAGAAGCAAGCCTGGTATGTTCAAAGAACTGTAAGGAGTCTATGGACAGTGTGAGATTGTGGGTCAGAGAAGCTCGGGACAGTGAAGCAGAGCAGAAAGTGAGGGGGCTGGAAAATAGACAAGGTGAGATTGGGGGACAAAGAGATGAGTATGGAGAGAAAGACTGAAAAAGAGATGGGGGACTGAGAAAAAAGAGACGGAAAGACTGAGTGTGGGAACAACTGAGGGGTACTGAAGATATGCTGAGGGGCAGAAAGAAAAGACTGAGAATAAGTGGGCAACTGGGGTTCCAGAGGAGGTGCTGAGGTGGGGAGAGACAGAGGTTGAAGGACAATAAGGCATGCAAAGGAGGAATCTGAGATAAAGAGAAGGTAGACCGAAGAGCGGAGAGGAGGAGACTGAGACAGCGAGGGCTACTGAGAGCTGAGGGAAGAACAGACTGAGAGGCCCAGAGAGAAGAAACTGGGAGTTCCGATGCTGCATCAGCAGCCTCTGTGTACAGACTCTGGCGTCCCTGCCCCGCTTTAGCAGTTCCTACAGACGCTTGACCTGCCAGGAAAGGAAAGAAACCTGAGCCTCTGCTGAAAGGTGATGGATTTAAGGCCCGGCTGCTGAGGATAAGATAAAGGTCCTCCTGGGGGAGAACAGAGTCCCGAACACCATGGCCGTCTGGCTTGCCCAGTGGCTGGGCCCTCTGCTCTTGGTTTCCCTCTGGGGACTCTTGGCTCCAGGTAAGAGGAGGCTGAGGGTCAAGCAGGGCATCCTAAGGGGGCCAGCCTGACTTCCTTCCCTCCATGTCCCACAGCCTCCCTTCTTAGGCGCCTGGGTGAGCACATTCAGCAGTTTCAGGAGAGCTCTGCCCAGGGCCTGGGCCTGAGCCTGGGGCCAGGTGCTGCAGCCCTCCCAAAAGTGGGGTGGCTGGAGCAACTGCTGGACCCCTTCAACGTGTCCGACAGACGATCCTTCCTACAGGTGAGGCCGGGAGACGGGGAGTCCACTAACCATCCTGCCCTCTCCTCAGTCTCCCTCATCTCTTCCTCAGTCTGCACTTTTTTCTCTCTCCACACCTCAGTTCTCCCCATCCCTCTGCTTGAATCTCATGTTATGCTTGCTGTCAGTATCCCTTTTCCTGCCCTTTGTAGATTTGGCCTTACTCTCTCCTCTCCTCGGGGTCCCACTCGTTTTGTCCCTCAGATCTTGCCCTTCACCATTTCTTTCTCTCTGTCATTCACATTCACTGCTCCTCCCTACCCCCTTGTCCCTGTCCAGACTGGACACAAAACCTACCACCAGGTCTCAGTAGGTAGCAGAAATTTGAACCAGCTTTGGAATCAGACCTAGCTCACAACAGGCACTCAAAGATATCTATCGAAAGAAGGAACAAATTCGCCATTTTTCAGTGCTTCCTCTGTATTTAGTCTCCAAATATCATCCCACTTGGATCTTATTCCTAAATCCATCTGCATTTATTTCTTATTTTACAATTATTACTTCAAGAAATAGCAAGTTCCTTCAATGTGAGAGCCACTCCCTCAGTTCTGGGGATATAAGAGTGAAAAACCAGGTCAAAAATTTGCTTTTGTATATTTTGCATTCTAGATGAGGAGATGAACAGGGGAAAAGTGAGCAAGTAAATAAACAAGCTCATTTCAGACACTGTTAAGTACATAAGGAAAGATCCATTAGGAAGAGAGACTGGAACAAATGAGGAATTGAGAATAAGTCAGGACTCTCACAGTGCCATTTCTTCTTCCCCATCCCACCTCTCAGCGTTACTGGGTGAATGACCAACATTGGGTTGGCCAGGATGGACCCATATTCCTGCATCTAGGGGGTGAGGGCAGCCTTGGGCCTGGCTCAGTGATGAGAGGTAAGAGGCAATGTTGGGGGAAAGGAGTTGGGATGCTGGTGGGGACCAGGAAGGGGAGCTGCATATTGCAATGCTGTGAGACCTGAGGAGTGAAAGGGCTTAAACTCAACTTGCATCTCACCTCCCCACCCCCCACCCATACACTCTTCACAGGCCATCCCGCAGCCTTGGCCCCAGCCTGGGGCGCCCTGGTGATAAGCCTGGAACACAGATTTTATGGCCTGAGTATACCTGCTGGAGGCCTGGAAATGGCCCAGCTCCGCTTCTTGTCCAGCCGCCTTGCGTGAGTGGAGGAAGGGAAAGTGTTTATGGTCAAAGGACAGGAATGTCTGTGCTTTGGCATCTCTGCATCTGTGTCTCTCTCCTCCACTGTCTGAAGTCAACCTCTGAGTCTCTGGTTCCCTCTGTTTTCTTCTGTGTTTCATAGGGTCTTGTTTTTTCTCTTTCCATTTCTGGGTCTCTGACTCTCCCTATCTGTCTTTCTCTTATCCTGTGTTCTTTCTATTTCTGCGTCTCTGTCTGAAGTAAGCCACTGTATCACTGTGCAGACCACCAGCATTCCTTACCTGGATTACGGCCACAGCATTCTCACCATTTTTCCTGCTCTGCCCTTGACTTCCAGGTGGAAATCAGAGTAATTCTGTTAGAGCATAAACCAGGACATGATCCTCCCTGGCTTAAGTCCCTCAGACATCTTCTGTATTGCTTCAGAAGTAAAGCAATTTTGACTGTATTTGACTTCAGAGTAAAGTCAAAGCTTTTACAGTCGCCATGGAGTCCAGTGGGTTTTGGCCTCTAGTTAACTCTGACCTATACTCTCTCACTTTCACTGGGCTCCAGCTACATTGAAGTCCTCACTGTCCTCCAGACTTACACGCACATTCCTGCCTTGAGCCTTTGAACTCATCCCTCTGCATGGCGTGGCCTTCCCCTAGATGTTTTTATGCCTCTCACCCCAGCCTCCTTCAGTGCATCTCACTCCTATTAACGACCGCCACCATTTTTCCAACTTTACTTCACCTGCTTTTTGTTTCTTTCATCTGCTTTATTCTTACAGAACTTAGCTTTTTCTTTCCTCATTGGTATCTCTGTCTGTGTCTGTAACAGTCTGTTTGCCTGTCTCATTTTCTCCGTCTCTGTATCTACATCTGTGCCTCTTTGTCTCCATCTCTGTCTCTCTGCATCTTAATCTTTTCTACAAGCGAAACGGTTTTCTAACTGCAACAGGATGGTACCAACTGCAAGCCATTCAGAAAGGTTAGGGAAGAAAGAAAGCCCTTGGGAGGAGAAAGAGGATGTTAGACATATCCAAACTTCACTCTCCATTTCTCTTTGTGTCTGTTCTCTCTCCCAATACCTTGCAACTCATCAGGTTAGGACCCCTCCTTCTCCTCTTAGTAGCCCTCCTTGAGTGCCCTCAACCCTTCCCTACATTTGTCAGGTTTTCATCTAAACTGACTTGGAAATTTTTCCTCTCCTACCTAAAACGAGAAGGGAAAGAGGGTGGTGGCTTTCTAGAAAGTGGACGAGGACAGGGTCTCCCTTGGCCTAGGCACACATGTTCTGGGAAGTGTATGTGGCTTGGAGAACACTTGGAAACACGTCATGAGAAAACGGCCCTGGTTTCTGGCCAGATTCACCCATTCATGTCTCTGGATCCGGGTTTCCCCCAGAATGGGGAAATCTTCAGGGATTCCCAGCGATGAGGACCGACCGAGTCCCCCCTTTGACCCTAGGCTGGCTGATGTGGTCTCTGCCCGCCTGGCACTTTCCCGCCTCTTTAACATCTCCTCCTCCAGCCCCTGGATCTGCTTCGGAGGCTCCTATGCCGGCTCCTTGGCCGCCTGGGCCCGGCTGAAGGTCCTGCGACTCCTCCGGGTGGGCTGGGGGGAGGGAACTCGGACTCCAGGGCCCCAGTCTCAGATAATAGGAATACCCTCCCACCACGCCCCTACCTTCCTCCCGCGCCCAAAGAATTTTGCACAAGCTGTCCTCACAAGAGCCCGAGATTACACAGCGAGTAAGTGACACAGAGGCAGAAAGATATGCGATTCCAACCCCTCAGCCCGCAGGCTGACGGCGTCTCCTCCCTTAGTTCCCCCATCTCATTTTCGCGTCGGTCGCCTCCTCCGCCCCGGTGCGGGCCGTGCTGGATTTCTCCGAGTATAATGACGTAAGGATGGCGGGCAGCAGGTGCGGGACGGGGAGGGGTCCCAGCGGGCGGAGTCCCTTGACACTTCCGGATACCTTCCTCTGCGGTCCGCCCACAGGTGGTATCCCGAAGCCTAATGAGCACCGCGATCGGCGGGTCCCTGGAGGTAGGAGGTGGGGCCTAGTCCGAGGGGGACTGGGAGGGAAAAGAGGCCTCGGATGCCAGGGAAGAGGAGGCCAGAGAAGGGCGAAACCTGCAACGTGGCGGGGTCTAAGGAAGGTCGGAGCTCGGGGGAATACGCAGGTTTTGGAAGAAGGCGGGAGCTGACGAAGAGGAGGGGCACCAGGAAAAGAGGCGCTCCCCAGAGAGGGCGGGGTTTGGGCAGGGACAATCCTATCCGGAGGTGAGGCTCAAGGTGGGGCGGGGCCACAATGGAGGACGGGGCCTGCAGGGAAGACCCGAGAAGGAGGGCTGCGAGGCAGGGGATTGGGGGCGGGGGCCTGGGGGCGGGGGCCTGGGCCAAGAGCTAGGTCTGCACCCTCTGAGTCCCGCTAGGGGAAAGTGGGGAACCCAAGGAGGACGCAGGTCCTGGGTAGGGAAAGCCGAGGCCCAGCCTAAGTCTTGGCGGACATCGCCTCTTGCTTCCCACAGTGCCGGGCGGCGGTGTCCGTCGCCTTCGCTGAAGTGGAGCGGCGGCTGCGCTCGGGTGGGGCGGCTCAAGCAGCATTGCGGACGGAGCTGAGCGCTTGCGGGCCCCTGGGCCGCGCTGAAAACCAGGCGGAGCTGTTGGGGGCGCTGCAGGCACTGGTGGGAGGTGTAGTGCAGTATGATGGGCAGACGGGAGCGCCGCTAAGCGTGCGACAGCTCTGCGGACTTCTCCTCGGGGGCGGGGGCAACCGCAGCCACTCCACGCCCTACTGCGGGCTTCGTCGGGCGGTGCAGGTGAGCACTCCCTGGCACAGCTGGGAGGAGTTAGCGGACAAAGATTCCTGCCCCACTTCCGTTGTGTGATCTTGGGCAAGCGAGAACCTTCTCTGAAACTTCGTTTTCTCATCTGTAAAATGGGGATAACACTTCACAGGGCCGATGGGAAGATGAAATGAGGCGGGTCATGTAGAGCAATCAGCTGGGAGCCTGGCACACAGTGTGCGAATGTTAGAGACTGCGATTATTACCTATTTTGCCTATCCTGTCCTGTTCTCTTTTGGGGGGCCTGCAGGAGTGCCTGGCACATGGCAAATTCTCACTTAGTATTTTTAGAATGAATGAAAAAATGTTATCTCTGGGGATAGGGTTCTCCTAGGTACCTGGGACTGCAGCCTCTAAATCCACAACTGCAATCCAGCTGTCGCTTTTCCAGCACTGTCTGGACCAAGTGCTGTATAAAGTGCTTCACATATATTATTTCATTAAGTTCTCAAGAGATAGGCACTATTATTATCGCCACTTACAGAAAAGGAAACTGAAGTCTGAAAGATTATCACTTGCCCAAGCTCTCACAGGTAATAAGGTCTCAGTCTTCTAGTGCATTGATCTCTAACTCACAAGGACCCAGGCATCCACCCCCTCTGACCACTGACTCCCAGGAGAACTCAGGAACTCACCCTTCTATTTCTGACTTTTGACCTCTGGGGACATAGGCCTCTGCACCCTGGCTTGCTGGGAAGAGAGGAGGAATTTATGTCTTATGTATGTACATTGTTCCCTAGATTGTCTTGCACAGCCTGGGCCAGAAGTGTTTAAGCTTTTCCCGAGCAGAGACAGTGGCACAGCTGAGGAGCACAGAACCTCAACTGTCTGGTGTGGGTGACCGGCAGTGGTTGTATCAGACATGTACCGAGTTCGGCTTCTGTAAGTGACTGGCCTAACCCTAACTTTGTCCCCTCAAACAACCTTTTTACTATGCCCAGAGAAGTCATCTTACAGGTGGTCTGGACTCATTTCGACCCAGCTCTCAGGCACTGTGTAACCTGCAGATGTTGGGCTGGAGAAGGTGGAAGCCATACTAGTGTATGCATGTGCTTGGCCCTCACATGCCTCCTCACGCACACACTGAGGTCTCCACTTGAGTGATCTTCCCTTCAGCCTATTCTTTCTCTGTGTCCCCATTCCAGGGATGGCCCCCTTTCCCCATCCACCAGACTAGAAACTTGAGCCTTGTTTTAGTTGCTTCCTTCCCATTTTCTAGCTAGCCTGTCAATTACTGAGTCCTCCTCACTCTGCATGGACAACTCTGTAGTCCATCCCTTGTGCTTTCTATGCCTACCTCTGCTGTCCTGCTGGGAACCTCCATTCTTTCTTGCCGGGATCCCTTCCCAGCCGCTTCTCTGGTCTCATGGTTTTCACTTCCTCTGTACAATCCAACTTTTTCATAGCATCCACAGAGATCCTTGTAAATATAACCTTGTCCCTCCTGTACTCAAAACCACAGCTCCTCAAAGACCCCAGGGTAGTGTTGCCAGATACAATACAGGATGCCCAGTTAAATTTGAATTTCAGATATACAACAGATTTTTTTTTAGTATAAGCATGTCCCAAATACTACATATGGTAAATTAAATGTTCAAATTCCAGCTCCATTTTCTACTCGTAATCTTGGGCAAACTTGGGCAAGTGACTTACTTCTCTATGCCTGTTTCCACATCTATAAAATGGGAATACAAGCAATATTTCTCTCATAGGGTTGTTTCAAGGACTAAAGGAGGTAATATTTGTAGCATTCTAAGAATAATGCAGGTCTACAGTAAGTATTCCATAAACCTCTTGCTATTGTTATTATTATAAGGCTTTACATATTTTAACCCTCTTAATACATTAGTCTTCCTAACATCTTAGGAACTTTGTACATGCTGTTCACTTTGCTTGGATTATTCATCTTCAAGTCTCAATAGGGTGGCCTCCCTCAGGAAGCCATGATCCCTCAAGATAAGTCAGCCTTGCCACCTCCGACTTCGATAGCTCTGTGTTCTCCTTAGCATTTTACACAGCCTGTCATAATACATTTTTTATTGCCTGTCTTCCCCTCTGGACTGAGTCCTGTGACAGCAGAGCCTGGAGCTGTCTTGGTTGCCACCATGTGCCCAACATTGTACAACATTTATCTGAGCACCTGGTAGGTGGTCAACAAATAGGGAGGGAAGGGATGAATTAATCTGATGTTACAGAAGTTATCTTTACCCTGAAAGCACAGTGAGCTATGGGTTTTAAGCAGGGCAGACATAATACAATTTGAGCTCCGAGCATTCCAGACCTTTGCACGTGCTATTTCTTCTATTTACTATGCCTTCCTTCTCTATCTTTGTTTGGCTCAGTTCTACTAATTTCTCAAGGTCTTATCCTTTGCAGGATGCTTTCCCTGAGCCCATCATGTTTCCTCTGGGATCCCTGCCTTGTGGCCTTTTTCCATCACAGCCCTGATCACTGTGGGCTATCACTGTCAGGGGACTGTGTGAGTCTGTCTGCCAGGACTGTAAACTCCTCGAAGGGAGTATTAGAAATGTTCTGGTCATCACTGAGGAAAGCTTTGAAAATGATTATTGAAGGAGAGTGGTGGGCTGCCTGTATACCCACACTTACAGGTATCTCCCTACACAGATGTCACCTGTGAGAATCCCAGATGTCCTTTCTCCCAGCTCCCAGCACTGCCCTCCCAGCTAGACCTATGTGAGCAGGTGTTTGGGCTCTCAGCCTTGTCAGTAGCCCAGGCTGTGGCTCAGACGAACTCCTACTACGGTGGCCAGACCCCTGGGGCTAACAAAGTGCTGTTTGTTAATGGTGAGCATGCTATCAAAACCTGGCTGCTAAGCCTCCACCTAGCCCCAGCTCAACATAGCCTCATCCTCTCCCAGCACCCATCTACCTAGCCCCATCCTATCCTTTCTTTCCAGGGGACACAGACCCCTGGCATGTGCTAAGTGTAACACAGGCTTTAGGATCCTCAGAATCAACTCTTCTTATCCGCACTGGCTCCCACTGCTTGGACATGGCACCTGAGAGGCCCTCAGACTCCCCCAGCCTCCGCCTAGGGCGCCAGGTAAGAGAAAAAAGGCTCTGAATCATTTGCATTCTCATTTGAATAATCACTTGCATGTTCCCTCCTTCTGCTGGTGCTGAAATCTGACTTTCAAATTCTTCCCACCTCCCCACAGAACATCTTCCAGCAGCTACAGACCTGGCTCAAGCTGGCAAAGGAGAGCCAGATTAAGGGTGAAGTCTGAATCTCATACCCTTTCCACTCCCTGCATGGTCACCTCAGTCCTGGACATACTTGTTCACTGAACAAAAGAAAGCAGCTTGTTTTGAAAGAAGAAACTCCCAGGAATTGGAATTCAGCACCTGTTCCGCACGTAATTGGCATGTGTCTGCAAACATCCTTATTCCCAACTTAAAGTGCTTTATTGCAGAGAGTTATGGAAATATAAGTGGATGATTATTCTCATTGTAAATATTGGTATTTTGAATGTTAAATGTCAAACAAATGTGACTTATGCTGGTGCCCTCGCCCTGCTGATCAGATTCTGGTTCAAATTCTGCCACTCCAGCTCCTGGGTTAGGGGCTTTGCTGTAAGTTTCTTTTTCTGGACTTTAGATCCTGAACCTGTCCTTGCTTCTCAGTTTCTCTCACTGTACCCCTTTCCCTCAGTCTCTTCCTCTCTCTTTCCCCTGTCACTATTTGTCTTTCTAATCTCCTTCTGTTTCTCTGAATATCTTCATTTCTATCTCTGTGTTTCTGTCTATTTCTCTGTTTATCTTTCTGTCCTTCAATCTGTGTTTTTGTTTCTGGCTCTCCGTCAGTGTCTTTTTCTCTCCTCTCTCTCTTGCTCTGCCATGGCTATTTCCACTGCTCTATTTCTGACTCTCATTTTTGGTCTCTGTGTGTCTCCTAGTCACTTTCTTTCTCACTCTGTCTCTGTCTCTATTTCTGTCTCTCCTCTGCTGTGTCCTCAATCTCTCTGTCTCCCTGAGGCTCTATTTCTGTCTCTCCTCTGCTGTGTCCTCAATCTCTCTGTCTCCCTGAGGCTCTATTTCTGTCTCTGATGCTCTTCTTCTGTGTCTCTATTTCTCTTCCTGTCACTTAATCTTTTCCTTCTCTATCTCTCTTATTTAGTCTTCCTTCCACACCCTTCACTCACCATCTTTTCCCACAATCAAATATCACTCCCTGGTACTTCCAGCTTCCAACTCTAGGGATTCATGATTCTGGTGGAGATTCCTTCTTCCAGGGCCTGGGAGGATAGGGCTAATCCCAAGGGTGCCTGCTTAGGCTATGTTAGCTGTGACAGGAACCTGCCATAGATTTGCACTGTTCTTTCCTAAAGATCAATTATTTTCAGCAATAAATACTTCTCAGCTTTTTGTATGTCTTTGTATGCACAGAGATGGTAGTTTTAGAGTTTTATCCAGTTTCATATTTCCTTGTGGGTAAGAGGCAACCTCCTCATGCTGTCATACCAAAGTCAATCTCCACTACACTTTAGTTCTGCCTGTTCTTGATCTTTATATAAATGGAAACTTGCAGTATATATTATATGTTTTTGTGTCTAGAAGTTTGAAATCAAGGTGTCAGCAGAGCCATTCTCTTTCTCACAGCTCTAGGGGAGAATCCTTCCTTGCCTTCTAATCCTTCCTTGACCAAAAATGAGAGTCAAAAATAGAGCAGTGGAAATAGCCAGGGCAGAGCAAGAGAGAGAGGAGAGACAAAGACACTGACGGAGAGCCAGAAACGAAAACACAGATTGAAGGACAGAAAGATAAATAGAGAAACAGACAAAAACACAGAGATAGAAATGAAGATATTCAGAGAAACAGAAGGAGATTAGAAAGACAAATAGAAAATGCTTCTGTGCTTCTTCTGGCTTCTGGTGTTTGCCAGCATTCCTGTGTTCCTTGGCCTGTAGATGCATTACTCCAGTCACATGGCCATTTTCCCTGTGTGCCTTCACATCACCTTCCTTCTGCATGTGCCTATCCATGTGTCCAAATTTCCCCTTTTATGAGGATACCAGTTATCTTGGGCTAGGCCCAGCCTGTTGATCTGATTTTAAGTTGGTTACCTCTGTGAATACCCTGATTCCAAATATGATCACAGATTGAGGTACTGGGGATAAGGAGTTCAATATATCTTTTTTGGGGAGAAGATGGGACACAGTTCAACCCATACCACCACCAACATGATAACAAGTGAAGGCTATTTATTCAGCACTTGCTATACCAAGAGAATCCACCATCATCACTTGTGTTTGGCAGAGACTCACAACAGGCAGAGGAGTGGGAAAGCGCTATAGTGGAAAAAAGAGAAGGTTCTAGGTATGCCTTAACTGGAAGCTGTGGCATGGGGAAGCTGTGGGCAGGCTAACTAGAAGAGGGGCATCATATGTGATTGGTTGGGAGTACATGTATGGCTTTCCCTCATTGGTCCTTAGTTGAAAGCAAGAACAAAAATTAAGGAATTGTGAGTTATTATATTTAGTAAGTGCTGGCCATTTGGAGCCAATCGGTACAGGGGTATTATTGTTTGTCTTCCTCTACTGTTTGCTACAGATAGCAGCTTGACTTCCTGGACTGGTTACTGTAATAGTAGGTTGGCTTTCTGGGCTGGTTACTGCAGGTTGTAGGTCAGAAGTCTACTTTTACTTTTAGTTTGGCCATTATCCATTTGTATATTCAATTCTCAACCTTTGTCTGTTGGATCTCATGTGGCTTGGGGATTGCTCTCTAAGTTCAGGGAGTTTACAAGTCTACTGTGCATTCAGCCAGAGACAGTAACCTTTCTGGTCTTTTCTGAGCAAGCCCACCCTTATGCATGTATTCAGTCTTCCAGATCGCCAGAGATGAGTGGGTGGTCTCGATGACTGTGCATATGCACAAGGGTAGGGTGCCCTTCAGCCATCCCTAGATGTCATTTTTAAATTTCTGGTAGATTTCTAAATTAAATATATTAACTTGCATGCTTCTGTTAGTATCCTTGAGCTGTCAGCTTTCCCTGATTACTCTTCACTGTGACCTCTATTTTCAGCATTGCCCTTAGGCCAGATTTTTCCATGTTCTACTCCAAATAAAGTCAACCCCTTCACGCAGGGGCCCCAAGCAGCCAGTCGTGAAGGTTTGCCATACCTACTAGGGCAGAACCTCTTTAACACAGAGTTGGAGCTTTAGGGAAGTGGGAATAGAAGCCACCAGTCCTTCCTGTCCTCATGGCCTACTCTGGCCCTCTTGGAGTGGAACTGCCTTGCCAAGGAGTAGGAGTGGGGCTCACAGGAGCAATGAGAGTTACTGGTCCTCACAGACTACCCTTCATGTCTAGAGTGAGACTTCTACAACATGTTGGGAAGGGGAGAGATGGGTGCAACCCCTGGCTTAAGTGCCGCAGACTTCCATGGTCTCTACCAATACTCACTAAGTGATTTTCAATATTTTGTAGAAATTTGGTCAATTTCCAGAGACTTTAAATGGAAATCTTACCTGTACCTGGGATAAGTGAGTTACCGTACTTGTAGAATGTGGGAAGTTACTTTTAAGAGACAGTCTGGAGTATTTTTAAGTAAACAGCACAGTTAAAACAAGAAGATCTCGGCCAGGCATGGTAGCTCATGCCTGTAATCCCAGCACTTTGGGAGGCCAAGGTGGGTGGATCACCTGAGGTCAGGAGTTCAAGACCAGCCTGGCCAACATGGTGAAACCCCATCTCTACTACAGATAGAAAATTAGCCAGGTGTAGTGCCCAGCGCTGTAATACCAGCTACTTGGGAGGCCGAGGCAGGAGAATTGCTTGAACTCGGGAGGTGGAGGTTGCAATGAGCTGAGACCACGCCACTGCACTCCAGCCTGGGCGACAAGAGCAAAATTCCTTCTCAAAAAAAAAAAAAAAATGCAAAACTAGACTCTTATAGCTTGCAGACGAGAACGATGAAATCTCAGATGATTGAGCATCTCACAGAAACAAAGGCAATAAAACTCATATTTAAACCTACTCATCTAAATTTATGTTCAAAGCTTTTATTTCACTACTAGGGCTGTAATGTGGCCTGGAACACATGGCATGTATGTGTGTGCATATGTGTGTGTGTTGGCCAAAGAGGTTGGAGGAATTTTTTGATACAAGGTCAAGCACTCTCAAAAATTAAAATTCCTAACTAATGCTGTAGTTATGGGTCTTCTGCCAACCAAATTCAAGACTATCATTTCTCCTTAGGAAAACCTGCCTGGTGGTACATGCCTTTGTTAACATCAAATTCGTTAAAATTAAAATTACACACACACACACACACACACACACACACACACACTCGCATCCCTCCTGAATTAAACATTTTTCTGCAGCCACTGGGAATCAACTCCAACCATCCCCAGGAGCAGTTTTGTTTTTGTTTTTTGAGACGGAGTCTCACTCTATCACCCAGGCTGGAGTGCAGTAGTGGATCTCGGGTCACTGCAACCTCTGCTGCCCGGGTTCAAGCAATTCTGCCTCAGCCTCCCGAGTAACTGGGATTACAGGGGCCTGCCACCATGCCCAGGTAATTTTTGTATTTTTTAGTAGAGACGGGGTTTCACCTTGTTGGCCAGGCTGGTCTTGAACTCCTGGACCTCGTAATCCACCCACCTGGCCTCCCAAAGTGCTAGGATTACAGGCGTGAGCCACCGTGCCCGGCCCGGGGGCAGTTTTAAACATTATCTCCATAGCCAGAGTAAAAGGGCAGGCTGCTCTGCACCTGGCAGGGCCAAGGTGTCTCCTGCCTCCCTCCTCTGAATTTGCCCAACTTGAGCCTCAATGCCTACACCTTTTCCCAAATCTTGATGTTTCTCTTAAGGGAAATGCCCCTGACTCTGGATGCGCCCTGGCCTCGAGTTCCTCCTGGCATTGATTTGGGGGTCTTGGTCGTGCCCGGAGACAGGGAGAACTCAGAGTTCTGGAGAGAGGCCGTCTCCACCTGCTGGATTACCTGAGGTCAGGAGTTCAGGACCAGCCTGGCCAACATGGTGAAACCCCGTCTCTACTAAAAAATACAAAAATTAGCTGGGCGTGGTGGCGGGCGCCTGTAATCCCAGCTACTCGGGAGTCTGAGACAGGAGAATTGCTTGAACCCAGGAGGCGGAGGTTCAGTGAGCGAGGTCGCGCCATTGCACTCCAGCCTGGGCGACAAGAGCAAAATTCCGTCTCAATAAATAAATAAATACAAAAAACAAAAACAAAAATAAAACCCATCTGCCCAGGACCATTTAGGGTCGCGGTGACCGGAGAACCACCCCGAGTCCAGGCGGCGAGAGGCTGCAAATTCCCTGGTTCCGAGGCCTCAGGGAAGAGCCCACCTGCCGGGCGAGCGTCTCCAAGAGTGAAAAGGAATCCGCACCCCGCGCGAGGGAGCCGGGTCCTGTGAACTCTGCGGTGGCTTCGTGGTTGCTTCCCTGATCCATTCGCTGCAGTCTCAGAGTTGGAGCAGCTTGGCGTTTACTCCCGGGCCTTTCCCGGATGGGAGAAGGAACCTGCGCGGGAACTTGAATTTTTTCGAGTCAGAATCAGCAAGTTGTTGTTGTTTGAGACCAAGTGAGCCACCGCACCCAGCCAAGAATCGGCTGTTTAAGAAAGACTAGGTTTCCACGTAAGAAGCAGGGTTCTCTGGGCCAAATGTTGACCTTTTCTCTTTTCTTTTTTCTATCTTCTTGATGAAGAGAATGCAATAGGAAGAATGTGAAGATTTTTAAAAATTGTTTTTGGTTGTTTCACGTTTGGGGATTTTTTTTCCCTGCAAGGAAAAAAAGAGTTAAAGAGAACAGAGAAAAAAATCATTTTGTTATCCTTTGCATATAGCGAAGGGGCCACAATTCTCGTCCCGCCGGCCGGTTAGCTCGGTTGCTTAGAGTGTTGTGTTAATTACGCTAAAGGTCGTGGGTTTGATCCTCTTACCGGCCACATGAGGAGAATTAGTTCTTTACCACTTTTGTTGATCACATCTCCTGTGAATTCTGCTTCCAGTTTCTCCGAAAGTAAGCTCTATATCGCCACTACTGAACTGGAAACACAGTCTTTCAAAAGAAGAAATGTGGGCGAGGGCGGTGGCTCACGCCCGTAATCCCAGCCCTTTGGGAGACCGAGGTGGGCGGATCACTTCAGTTCAGGAGTTCGAGACCAGCCTAGCTAACATGGTAAAATCTCCGTCTCTACTAGAAATACAAAAATTAGCCGGGCGTGGTTGCGAGCGCCTGTAATCCCAGCTACTCGGGAGGCTGAGACAGGAGAATCGCTTGAACCCGCGGGGGGGAGTGGGGGGGGGGCGGCGCGCAGAGGTTGCAGAAAGCCAACATCGTGCCACTGCACTCCAGCCTAGCTGATAAGAGCGAAAAAAAAAAAAAAAAAAAAAAAGAAGAGGTAACATGTGAGAGCTAAGACGGAGGCCTTCATTTTTGTTTTTAAGTAAAATTGAGTAAGGTAAGGCGTGTGTGCTAAGGGAAGGGGAACTAGCGTTAAACAATTTCCAGTTTTGTTTTAGACAAAACTTTCTGAAACATCGTTTCACATTAAACTTGTGAAAGACAAAAAAAGATTCTATTTGCTGTGGCTGGTTAGCTCAACTGGTTAGAATTCGGTCATAGATTCCCGTTTGTCCCTGCCTAAGAACACTTTGTGGTCTCGCAAGTCCTCTCCAAGATTTAACAACGTCCCCAATAAATCTGTAGAATCCGATGGCTGTTCCCTCACAGTTTAGGTCTTTGCTTTTATTTCCATCTTCATACATAGAAAATTGGCCTATGTGAATTGTCTCCATCTGAGAAGAAATTGTAAAGCCATCTGCACTTCCAATCACTTCCACACTTGGGTTTTCACCGGATCACATGAAATAGGATTTTTAAATGACATATGTGAACAATTTTCATTAACATCAACACACTAGGAAAAAAAAACAAAAGAAACCAAAAACTTCATTTTAAACTGAAATGACATGTAAAAGACATTATTTTGTAAACGTCTAATTAAAGTTTAATCTTGGGGTAAGAAATACGGTGGGCACAGTGGCTCACGCCTGTAATCCCAGCACTTTGGGAAGCCGAGACAAGTGGATCACTTGAGGTCAGGAGTTCGAGACCAGCCTGGCCAACATGGCGAAACCCCGCCTCTACTAAAGATATAAAAATTAGCTGGGTGTGGTGGCACACACCTGTAGTCCCAACTACGCGGGAGGCTGGGGCACGAGAATCGCTTGAACCTGGGAGGCGGAGGTTGCAGTGAACCGAGATCACGACACTGCACTTCAGCCTGGGCGACAGAGCGAGATTCTGTCTCAAAAAGTAAAGAAAAGAAATATACTCACATTGCAAAGTTAAAAAGCATAGAAAGATACAGTAAAAAGTCTCTTCTTATATTTCATCCACCCAGAAATCATTTCCAATGTCCATAGGTAAACTCTATGCATAGTTGCTTATGTATCCTTTCCAATATTTATACAAATTATTGTTTTCTCTCTTGTTTTCTATTTATTTATCTATTTAGACAGAGTCTGGCTCTGTGGCCCAGACTGGTGTGCAGTGGCACCGTCTCGGCTCACTGCAACCTCTGCCTCCTAGGTTCAAGCGATTCTTGTGCCTCAGCCTCCCGAGTAGCTGGGACTACAGGTATCTGCCACCATGTCTAGCTAATTTTTTGTATTTTTAGTAGAGACAGGGTTTCACCATGTTGGCTAAGCTGGTCTTGAACTCCTGGCCTCAAGTGATCCACCCACCTTGGCCTCCCAAAATGCTGGGATTACAGGCGTTGAGTTACTGTGACCATCTCTTTTTATAAAAGAACACATCGTGTTGCAATTTGCCTTCATCACTTCACATTGTAACTTGGAATCACTATTTTATCAGTATTTAAAAATCTAGCTAATAACACTTTACAGTTGGCAAAATCAGAGCTCATTTTCAAAAGAGTTGGCATATTAAGCAGAAGTTGAACCTGAAATGTTCTGTTTGCATCATTGAAGGAGGGAATGCATACAAGAAGGAAACTTTGAGAAACTTCAAAGTCGGAGAGATGATGACAGCTATAGTTTTCTGCTGCAAAGGAGGACAACACATTTTCTGCCTAACAGCATAAAATCGTACATGAATATGTATTAATTTAGCAAATATTTACTGATTTCTCCACTCTTTAGAATGCAATAATTAGTTGTTATTCTATGTCTGGTAGTTGCTGATGAGATATTGTTATGTGGAAAAAACAGAATCCAAAACAGTTTTGCAAGATTATGATTTTTAGTTTAAAAAAAACTGTATTATGGGATGATTTATATATGATAACGTGTACAATTTGATGTTTTGGCATATTTATACATACATGTAACAACTACCACAATCAAAGTAGAGAACATTTCCATGATCCTAAAAAGTTCCCTTGTGGCCTGTGATAGTGAAACCTGTGAATATGTTATCTTTCACAGCAAAAGGAACTTTGCAGCTGTGATTAAATTAAGGATTATGAAATGAGGTGATTATCCACAATTACCTGGATTGGGCGTTGTAATCACAAGGATCCTTTTAAGAGGGATCATTGTCAGAGAAGGAGATGTGACAGTGGAAGCAAAAGTTGGAATGATGAGGCCGGGCGCGGTGGCTCATGCCTATAATCCCAGCACTTTGGGAGGCTGAGGTGGGCAGATTGCCTGAGCTCAGGAGTTTGAGACCAGCACCACCAACATGGTGAAACCTCATCTCTACTAAAAATACAAAAATTAGCCAGTAATCCTGACTAAATGCTCCTGTAATCCTCGCTACTCAGGAGGCTGAGTCAGGAGAATTGCTTGAACCCGGGAGGCGGAGGTCGCAATGAGCAGAGATTGTGCCACTGCACTCCAGCTTGGGCGACAGAGTGAGACGCCGTCTTAAAAAAAGAAAAAAAGTTGGAGTGCTGCAGGGCGATGAGCCAAGTAATGCCAGCAGCCTCTTCTAGCTGGCGAAGGCAAGGAAACAGATTCTCCTCTAGAGCTTACAGAAGGAAGATAGCCCTGCTGACTCACTCTAGACCCCTGACATCCAGAGCTGTGAGATAATAAATTTGTGTTGTTTTAAGCTATTAAGTTTGTGGTAATTTTTCACAGCAGTAATAGGAAACTAATGCATGCCCTTTCCCAGTCAGTCACACTCCGACCACACAATTTCCAGTCAACTATAGGCCCTTTCCATCATGATGGTTTTGCCTTTTCTGGAATTTAATCTAAATGGATTAAATTATATGCTATGTACTCTAGTTCCTGGTTTTTGCTCAGAACATTTTTGAGATTCATTCATGTTGTTGCACATATCAGTAATTTATTCCATTTATTAGCACTTTATTGGTAAAATGTATTCTATTTGTACAGACATGCCACAATTTGTTTTTCCATTCATGTGTGGGTGAACATTTTTATTATTTTCACATTCTAGCTATTATAAATAGGGCTGCTGTGCAAATTTGTGTAACAAGTCTTTGTGTAGACATATATAAGCCAGAGTTCTTCAGAAACAGAAAACCAATAGTGTGTGTGTGTGTGTGTGTGTGTGTGTGCGTGTGTGTGTGTAGACAGTGATTTTAAGGAATGGACTTACATGATTGTAGAGTCTGGCCAGTTCAGATTCTGCACGGTATGCCAGCAGGCTGGAAACCCAGGAAAAAGTTAATGTGGCAGCTAAAACTCAAAGGCTGTCTGCTGGCAAAAGTCCCTCTTCCTAGGGAGAGAAGTTAGTCTTTTTTCTCTTAAGTATTTTTCAACTGATAGGAAGCAATCTGCTTTACTCAAAGTGTACTGAATTAAATGTTAATCTCATCCAGAAGTACCTTCACATCAACGTCTAAACTAGTGTTCGATCAAATATCTGAATACTATGAGCTAGCCATGTTGACACGAAAAATTAACCATTGCATATGTTTTCACTTCTTTTCCAGGAAATACCTAGGAATGGAATTGCTGGTCATTTAGTAAGTGGGTGTTTAACTTTATAAGAAGCTACCAGTGTTTTCCAAAGTGGTGGTTCACTTTACATTCCAAAAAGCATTATATGAGAGTTCCAGTTGTACAACCTCCTCAGCATTTGTTATTGTCAGACTTAATGTTTATGCAAAGATATCCTATGACATCTTTGCCTATTTCATAATCATGATTTTCTCCTATATTTCCTTCTCAGAGATTTATAAATTAGCACTTTTGTTTAGGCCTATGATCTATTTTCAGTTAATTTTTTTATGTATTCTAAAATAAGGATCAAAGTTAATTTTTTTCCATATGGCTATCTCCTTGTTTCTGCACCATTTTTGAAAAGACTATCCTTTCCTCATAAAGTACATAGGCACTTTTGTTGAAAGTAAATTTATTATACATGTACATCTATTTTTGGAGTCCCTATTTTATTCCATTAATCTATATGACTTTCCTAATTATACTTTAATTTGCAGGCCAGTTAGGATGGCTATTATCAAAAACCAGAAAATAAATTGGTAAGGATTTATTGGTAAGGAACTTTATGTATTGCTGGTGGAAATGAAAAGCAGAGCAGCCACTGTGGAAAACAGTAAGATTCCTCAAAATTTTCTTTTCTTTTTTTTTTTTTGACAGAGTCTTGCTCTGTCCCCCAGGCTGGAGTGCAAGGCGCGATCTCAGCTCACTGCAACCTCCGCCTCCTGAGTTGAAGCAATTCTCCTGCCTCAGCCTCCTGAGTAGCTGGGACTACAGGCGCACGCCGCCATACCTGGCTAATTTTTTTCGTATTTTAGTAGAGACCAGGTTTCATTGTGTTGCCCAGGCTGGTCGCAAACTCCTGAGCTCAGGCAATCTGCCCACCTTGGCCTCCCAAAGTGCTGGGATTACAGGCATGAGCCACTGCACCCTGCCAATCCTCAAACTATTAAATGTAGAATTACCATATGATCCAGCAATTCCATTTTTGCATATATATCCAAAATAAATTAAAACACGGGCTCAGATTCATAGCAGTGTTATTCACAATAGCCAAATATCCATCAACAGATTAATGGATAAACAAAATGTGGTATACACACAATGGAATATTATTCAGCCTTGAAAGGAAATTCTGGCTGGGCACAGTGGCTCATGCCTATAATCCCAGCATTGTGGGAGGCCCAGGTGGGTGGATCACCTGAGGTCAGGAGTTCAAGACCAGCCTCACCAACATGGCGAAACCCCGTCTCTACTAAAAATACAAAATTAGCGGGGTGTGGTGGCTCATGCCTGTAATCCCAGCCGGAGGCTGAAGCAGGAGAATCGCTTGGACCCAGGAGGCGGAGGTTGCAGTGAGCCAAGATAACACCATTGCATTGCACTCCAGCCTGGGCAACAAGAGCAAAACTCAGTCTCAAGAAAAAAAAAAAAAGGAAATTCTGACACATGCTAAAACATGAATGAACCTTGAAGACATTATGCTAAGTGAAATAAACCAATCACAAAAAGATGAATATTTTATATTCCATTTATATAACGTACCAAAGTAGTACAATTTATAGAGAGATAAAGTGGAATGGTGGTTTCCAGGGGACTAGAAAGAGGCAAGGATGTGGAGTTAGTGTTTAATAAGTACAGTTTCACTTGGAAAAGATGGAAAAGTTCTGGAGACAAATGGTGATAATGGTTGTACAACAATGTAAATGTACTTAATGCCACAGAACTGAGCACTTAAAAATGGCTAAGATGGTAAATTTTATATTATGGTTGCTTACATAATAAAATAATTACACACCAGAGACCTATGACATATGTATTAGCCACATTTTTAAAAATGATAAAAGTGTAACACCTTATTAGAGACTGACTCAGGTACCTACAGCAAGTAATAGGTGGAGTTGTCAGTAGCCTCTCAAACTCAGGTGTTTGATGGTCCCTGGCTAACACCCAAGGGTTACCTCTGTATTTATAACACATCATCACTTTAGTTATGGATAGAAAAATGCTTAAAGCTGTCTCCATATGTCTCTCATTTTCTACCCTCTCTTTTTGCACTGCACTTGGCCTGTGGTCTGGGTGTGAGGTCCACATTCCTTCTGAGAACTCATAGACCAGCACTCTGAGCTCTTCCAACCCCCTTCTCCTATATTTCAGCCTCCAGGCTCAAATCCTCATTTACTGATCTTTATTTATTTATTTATTTATTTATTTATTTATTTATTTATTTTTGGAGACAGAGTCTTGCTCTATTCCCCAGGCTGGAGTGCAGTGGCCCAATCTCGGCTCACCGCAACCTCTGCCTCCTGGGTTCAAGCTATTCTCATACCTCAGCCCCCTGAGTAGCTGGGATTACAGGTGCCCACCACCACACCCGGCTATCTTTTGTATTTTTAGTAGGGACGGGGTTTCTCCATGTTGGCCAGGCTGGTCTCGAACTCCTGACCTCAAGGTGATCCGCGCGCCTCGGCCTCCCAAAGTGCTGGGATTACAGGCATCAGCCACCGCACCCGGCCGCTGATCTTTCTTTAATCATTCTTTTAAAAATGATGGATATCTTAATGGTTTCCTTCTTTTCTTTCCTCCTTTCTTTGGTTTTATTTTATTTTATTTTATTATTTTATATTTTGAGACAGGATCTCTGTCACCCAGGCTGAAATGGTTTCTTATAGGAAATAATCTTTGGAGCCTCTCTGAACCCACTCCACTACCATACAGAGATAATTTTATTAAGTTTGGATTATATCCTTTCAACCCTTATCTACATCTATGTGAAATTATCTACATATTTGTAATTATATTTTTGCATAAATAAAGCCCAATAGACATGATGTTATGTGTTCCTTAAACTTAATATGTCTTGGACACATTTCAAACACACTTATACCTAAAGGTCTGCCTTATCTTAGCTATTTGATTCTATAGCGTAGCATAATTTATTTAACTAGACCTCATTTGTTGGGCATTCAGGTGGTTCCTACTTTCTCTCTCTCATAAAGAAGTTTCACACGCCTCCCGCTCCTCCTGTTGTGTGACCGCTACGCGCGCCGCTACCGTGCTCTCCCGGCTCCAAGCGCAGACCAAGAGTTCCGCTGCCAGCAAGGCTGCTCTCCGCGTGCCGCAAAAGGATCTCAGAGTAAAGACGATCTTAAATTCGATATGTGAAGTTGATTCCCATGGAAACCTCGTCATCCTCTCATGACAATTATGACAGCTTTGCTTCTGATAATTTTGCAAACACGAGGCTTCAGTCAGTCCAGGAAGGCTGCTGGACCAGCAGCCAGTGCAGACACTCTGGACTTCTCAGGCAGGCGATGAAGTTTCCAGGGCGAAACACCAGGGGAGCAGCCAATAAAAAAGCAGAGTACCCCAAACCCTCAAGGAATTCTATGACTGGTTCCAATTCCGATTCAGAAGATGAAAGTGCCATGAATTTGTTTTGTTTTGTTTTGTTTTGTTTGAGGAAAGGGCTTGAAATATAAAGCAAAACAAAGCAATGCTTGTAAAACGCATGTCAGTATTAGAAGCTTCTCTGGTTTGTTCCCCGGAAGACATTCCCCGCCAGGCCCCAACTCACAATCAAGGAGACCCCAAGGTAAACATTCCTGGATGTTTCTTCAAGGAGACATTCTGAATGGAGAGAGCTCGGCCTCTTAGAGGTCAAGGTCAGGATCCTCGGGTCCCTTGGCGCTCTACCTACGGAAGAGAAGGAAGAAAAGACAGAGGCTAAGTACATGTTGGTGAGAAAGAGGAAGATTGTGGACGGCTACATGAACGAAGTTGAGATGCTCAGAAATCGTCCCGCCAGATCACCCATGATCCTTCCACATATAATTCGGCCACCGGAAGAAATTACAGAGGAAGGTTTGGAGAACATCTGCAGCAACTCTCAAGAGAAGATATATAACCGTTCGCTGGGTTCTATTTGTCATCAATGCCGCCAGAAAACTATTGTTATCAAACAAACTGCAGAAACCCAGACTGTTGGGGCTTTCAAGGCCTGTTCTGCGGCCCCGACCTTAGAAACCCTTGTGGTGAAGAGGTCAGGAATACTCTGCTGGATGCGAACTGGCATTGTCCGCCTTGTCGAGGCCGTGCAACTGCAGTTTCCGCTCGCAGCGAGATAGACTGTGGGAAACTGGGGTCCTTGAATATTTAGCCAAATACAATGGCTTTGGGAATGTGCATGCTTACTTGAAAAGTCTGAAACAGGAATTTGAAATGCAAGCATAATATTGGAAAATTCACTGCCTGTCTTCCACTTCTCAAATCTCTCTTGCTGAAGTTTTCAATTTTGTCATTGCTTGAAACCTGAATTAAGAATCTTGGTGATCAGTCTGTTTTATAAGAAACTTCCATCAAGAAGCAAAACAAGAACAAAAACAAAAACAAAAAAAAACCTTCCATCAAGAATCTTGACAATCAGCCTCTTTATAAGAAGCTCCAATCAAGATAAATCTCAGTAGAGACATGTGTTTCTGGAGCATCACTAAACGAATATTGCTGGCTATACTTTCCCCTCCTACAGTTTTCTCCTCTGCTCCCCACAACCTCCAATTCATAGTACCCTTTTCTCTTTCCAATGGTCCTCTCCCCCTGCTTAGTTTCTGAAGTCTTTTTAAATGACAATTTTATGAAAGCATATTTGATTTAGTTGCAGTTGAAATAGCCCTGCAGTCCACTCATGAAACCTAAGCACTTAAAAACACAGTAGTAGTATTAATTAACTATATCTATTGAATTTCAGAGAACAGCCCTCTAACTTGTTTATGCAAAAACAATGGGTATGTGGGTTGGGAGCCATGGCTCATGCCTGTAATCCCAGCACTTGGGAGGCAGAGGCGGGCAGATCACCTCAGGTCAGGAGTTCAAGACCAGCCTGGCCAACATGGTGAAACCCAGGCTCTAATAAAAACATAAAAATTAGCTGGGCCTGGTGGTGGGTGACTGTAATCCCAGCTACTCAGGAGGCTGATGCAGGAGAAACGCTTGAAACTAGGAGGCGGTGTTTGCAGTGAGCAGAGATGGTGCCATTGCACTTCAGCCTGGGTGACAAGAGGGAAACTCCATCTCAAAAAGAAACAAAAAACAAAAAACCAATGGATATGATTTAGTGTTTATACTAGTTGATATTTTTAACAGAATCGAGGCACAAAAGTCTTAAAACCATGTGGGAAACTTAGGTAATTGTTGCAGAGTGTAGCATATTACTTCAGATGCCTCTCATGAATATATTCCATGTATTGTGCTTATGATACAAGTTGTCACATATGAGTCCTAGTTGCTGCTAATTTCTTCTGCCTTAAAGTTAAGTGTAGCATCTCCCTTACACAATCATGATCCAAAGGTTTGTGGGCAGTGTTATACTTACAATATAGATATATATAGATATATATGTCTATCATATTTATAGCCTATGTATGACTATATATGATATATACCAAATATGAGATATATATGATATATATGAGATATATATGATATATATGATATATATCATGTATGAGATATATATGATATATATGATATATATCATGTATGAGATATATATGATATATATGATATATATCATATATGAGATATATATGATATATATCATATATGAGATATATATGATATATATGAGATATATCATATATAGCCTATATAGACTATCATATATATAGTCTATATATGATAGACATATATGTCTATCATATATGTCATATAAAGTACTACCATTGTAATTTCCCAGGATATCTTTCGATGTCTTTCCTATACCATATAGGAAAGACATCCTGGGAAATTACAATGGTGAAACTTTAGGCGTAGGCTCATTGAATTCTTGGTATAAAACTTCATCATGGCCGGGCGCGGTGGCTCACGCCTGTAATCCTAGCACTTTGGGAGGCCGAGGTGGGCGGATCACAAGGTCAGGAGATTGAGACCATCCTGGCTAACACGGTGAAACCCTGTCTCTACTAAAAAATAGAAGAAAATTAGCCGGGCTTAGTGGTGGGCACCCGTAGTCCCAGCTACTCGGGAGGCTGAGGCAGGAGAATGGCGTGAACCCGGGAGGCGGAGATTGCAGTGAGCCGAGATCGTGCCACTGCACTCCAGCCTGGGCGGCAGAGCGAGACTCTGTCTCAAAAAAAAAAAAAAAAAAAAAAAAAAAACAAAAATCATCATAATTGTAGTTTGCCAAGTTTATTTCAGTTCACATGTTAAGTATTTCAAACAAATTCTTGGGCCATTTTGGGTGGAAACTTGATATTAATAACTAGTGTAGGGTTCTTTGCAGTTTCTTGAAAAAATTGTAGGCTAGGCACAGGGTTCATGTTTAGATTTTAAGCACCTTTATAACAATGAGAAGTTCTTTTTTGGAGGTGGGTAACTGTCAACAGTTTGTTAACCTGACGTCTCTGCTGATTTAGTTTCTGGGCAGAGTTCCTGTGTTGGCATTCTCCTTTTCTTTTGCATTAATCAAGTTGTTTGGTAGAGGTGGAATCTAAGTGTTTTTGTCTCAACCACCTGGGAAAATAGTTGTAAGTTGACCACTGTCTGATTTACAGAATATAATTTCTCTAAATCCACTCACATATTTTTCTTTCTTTCTTTCTTTCTCTTTCTTTCTTTCTTTCTTTCTTTCTTTCTTTCTTTCTCTCTCTCTCTCTCTCTCTCTCTCTCTCTTTCTTTCTTTCTTTCTTTTTTTTTTTTTTTTTTGAGACGGAGTCTTGCTCTGTCGCCCAGGCTGGAGTGGTGGAGTGGAAAGTGGAGTGGCCTATCTCACTGCAACCTCCGCCTCCCGGGTTCAAGCAATTCTCCTGCCTCAGCCTTCCGAGTAGCTGGGACTACAGCCGCACGCCACCACGGCCCGCTAATTTTTGTATTTTTAGTAGAGACGGGGTTTCACCATGTTGGTCAGGCTGGTCTCAACCTCTGACCTCGTGATCCGCCCGCCTCGGCCTCTCAACGTGCTGGGATTACGGGCGTGAGCCACCGCTCCCGGCCCACATATTTCTTATATAGATTTATTTCTGTTCTCTCTTTTTAAAATTTTCACTGAAAAAAATGCAAGTGTGCTTGGAATATGGATTTATACCTAAAAGGAAACTTTATATTACTTCCAATAAATAAGACGTATTAGCTAGTTCATAGAGAAAATAACGAAAAAGACAAATACAGTGAAAAATTGTTATTTTTTAAAAGGGTAACTGATTTACAAAATCAGATACATGAAATGATTCTCAGTGAAACTAAAGAAGTTCTCAGAGAATATAATAAAAATGCTAAATTCAATTTCTCCAAATACACTTTAAAATTAGAACGTTAACTGTTTGAAATGGTGAACAAAAGCCTTCTTATCTCGATACAATTGTAGGGTTACTAGGATTTTATAATTTTAGTATAAATAACATAAGATATAATTGAATTAGTGGCTAAATATTTATGCCATAATAAAAGCAACTAGGATACTCAATCTCCTGAGAATTTCAAACAAAACAGCTTTTAAAGATGTACACAAGCAACTCTTTCTAACACCACCACCGATAGAGGTAGAATGTAACTTTTACAAGAAAGGTAATTTAAAGGTAATCAGCGAACAACTTATCAAAAATCATCTAGTCCACAAGCGAGTTCACACAGATCACTGGTCTCCGTACCCTCTGTTGTGGGGAAGGACAGGGATGGCTTAAGACAGGGACTGAGCGGACTTGCTGTGGGGAACTCAGGTTCTGGGCGGGTCCCATTCATCCATTCGCAATCCCCTAGGCTGTGCCAGATGGCAATCACCCTTGGGACTCCTAGGTACAGAAGCTGGGAGGACCACCCAGATTCGCTTACCAGAAGATGCCCATAGAGCCCCGAGGCGAAGGTGTTCCAATTTCCTCAGGTGAAGGATATCTACTGGTGGCTACAGGGCACAAATAAAGAAAAAGTGCGTGGATGCCACGTACCAGTTCATGTCCAGCAGAGATCCGAATGCCCATTTTAGTTACATTTGACCCTCCAGACCCCTAGTCCCAGAACCTGCCCTCCCCCAAGCTCTCTCTCTACCTCTGTGCCCACTCCAATCAGTCAAACAGAGCATTCCAGGGCAAACCCAAAAGAAGAGCAGGCAATTTAGCCACCCTGGGGCTTGTAGCCTGAACTCTTCAGACATGTTGTCCCAGTCGGAGCCTGGAGACACAGCTCAACATCTGCTTGCCCCAAGAACCCTGAGGCTCCAAGATCTCCGGACAGCCCTGGAAGACAGGCCGCTGCACTTATATAATAACAGGGTCCTCTCTGGTGCCAAAAGCCTGCAACCCATAGCAGAAAATAGCTCCTCCAAATAGCTCTTCATCCTCCAAATAACTGGGAGATGATTCCAGTCAAGTTGGAATAACAGGGATCAGATTTACATTCCTGCTGTAAAGAACCAAAACCTAACAAAAAAGATGAAATGACACTTTTCAAGACATACAGTATTTGGTAAGGAAGAATAGTAACCCCTAATCACAGGGGAAAAAATGAATGATTGGAGAGAGGGGGAGGTGAACAGTAGGATTAGCCCCTAACTAAGGCCTTGAATTTCCAGGCCCCAATGCAGAAAGGCAGAACCCAAGCAGAGCCTGGTGGACTCCCAGAGTTGATGAGGAGTTGATAGACTGGGAGACTGGGGCAGCTAGAGTGAATATGATAGCATACCAGAAAGAAGAGAGCTGTAATAAGAGATAACTCCAGAAAGAACTTCTGAAGTATTCAGCTTAATATTCATGAGTATGTGCAGGTATGGAACCTATACAGGACAGAAAAGACTACCCAGAATGATCAGAGGTAATATGATATTGAATTGTCTAAAGTAACTAAGAAATTGTTTCTCCTTGTGAGACAAACAGGAATTATATTGCTGAATTTAATGCTTTCACCACAAAAAAGGATGAGGGTCTAGATTAATGGGGAGGGGGAGTGGTGTGGGGGAAGAGACCCAAAATGTTGGCTGGTTAGTTCAGTTGGTTAGAGCGTGGTGCTAATAACGCCAAGGTCGTGGGTTCGATCCCCATATCGGCCACATATTTTCCTCAGTACTTTTTCTCGGTAGTTCTAGAGAAACTCGTCGGTTTTCAGCCACCAAAGAGCTAAGGATAATTAACAATGCAACTCGTCGGTTTTTAGCCAGCGAAGAGCTGAGGGTGATTAACAGTGCTCTCAGATGGTACAAATTCCCTGCCATCATTTCTTAATCTATCTGAAACCTAACTCCATCCCCGAATCACCCAAATTTCTACATCTCCTCAGGTAAAGTTCTTATTCTTTTCTTCCAGGTGTAAGGGCTGGGGACAGAAAGCTGTTCAGGGCAGAGGGCCCAAGATCGGGAGTCCTGCCGAAGGAAACAAAAAATGAGAAATTAGAAGATTATTGGCGTCTTAAAAATTATTTAAATAAAGCTTACTTGATTTCAAATTGTCCTTCCAAATTTCTATTGAAACCAACCTTGTTTCTCAAATTGACAAGAGATACAAGATAAAGAGAAGAAATATTGAATTGCCCTTTCAAGTTGGAAGCAGTATGCAAGGTGCATGTTTATTAATCACAAGAGGCTAGATTCGACTCCTTTCTAGCTCATCCTTTCCTAAAAACAAAACAAGAAACCAAACCAAAACAAAACAAAACACACCAAGTCTGTGTTCCATGTTCAAAGCGATAGCTTCCTCTCAGGGCAATCTTTTCTGTCAGTTAAATCTAAAAAAGTCTTCAGAGACATATAATAACAATCTCCTAAGAATTTGTTCTCTCTATCTTGTATCTCTTGCCAATTTGAGAAAGAAGGTTGGTTTCAGGAGCAATTTGGGAGGACAATTTGAAATCAAGTAAGCTTCATTTAAATAATTTTTAAAAAGCCAGTAATCTTCTAATTTTTTTTTTCTTTCATTAGGCAGAGCTCCCAATCTTGGGTCCTCTGCCCTGAACAGCTTTCTGTCCCCAGCCCTAACACCTAGTGGAAAAGAATAAGAACTTTACCTGAGAAGATGTAGAAATTTGGGTGATTCGGGAATGGAGTTAGAATTCAGATGGATTAAGAAATGATGGCAGCGAATTTGGACCATCTGAGAGCATTGTTTATTACCCTCAGCTCTTCACTGGCTGAAAACCGACGATTTGCATCGTTAATTATCCGTAGCCCTTCGCTGGCTGAAAACCGACGAGTTTCTGCAGAACTGCCATAAAAAACTACTGGGGAAAATACGTGGCCAGTACGGGGATCGAACCCGCGACCTTGGCGTTATTAGCACCACGCTCTAACCAACTGAGCTAACCAGCCGACGCTGGGTGCAGCTCTTCCCCCCCCACCCCCCGCCCTTAATCTCGACACTCATCCTTTTTTGGGAAAGCATTAAATTCAGCAATATAATTCTTGTTTGTCTCACAAGAAGAAACAATTTCTTAGTTGCTTTAGATTCTTAATAAAAAGAATGAGAAACTTTCTCTTAAAACAAAAACAAAACAAGGAAATAACATTTTTTATTTATTTATTTTTATTATTTTATTTTTTAAGCCGTGTTCCTAGAGTTGAAAGAGGACGCTTAAAAATTTCAAACTGCGGCGAATAGTCCAGGAATCCATGGAAACATTTGTTGCTTTCTAAATGTCTGGTAATCAGTACGTGCAGACAATGAATCAGACTCGGTGAAATATTAGCGAGTCCTTGTTTTGTAAGAGCCGTTCACTAACACAACCCAGAAATTGGCACCTGAAGGATATTCCCGACGAGTCTGTTTTCGATGGTCCCACCGTCGAGATCGTCCCAGGCAGGTTTCTCATGCCCGGAGCCTCCATTTGGAAGTTTCCCTACCTGTTGCCTCAGATTTCCAGAGTGACCTCAAATCAAAGCCCACTTTGAAGACCTTGGTATTGGAGAATTCTAGAAATGTGGCTCTACTCACCCTTCAGGGACGGTTAAACCGATCTTTCTACCCAGCCATTGTCTCCTAAAAATATTACAATTGTTTTTAATATCTTCTTTATCGTTCCAGAGATTTTTAACGCATAGCCAAAGTTAAACAAATGTTTTCTTTTTTCTCTTCACAAATAGTGGCATTTTATCTACTTTTTAAATCCTTTGCTTTTTTTTTAACTCAGAATATATTTTTGCAATTCTTTCATATCACAACAGAAAAGTGTTCATTCTCTTTTAAATATGCATAGTATTCAGCTATATGAGTATATACCATAGTTTAATAGGCATAGCTTAGACTTCCATCCTCCTATTGCAAATTTTTGGTATCTATGAGCATACACCGTATCTGATGTATGCCATGATACTTCGCACATGTGGAAAGGCTGCATCAAAGAACATGTACATTGGCAATTTTGATGGCCATTGTCACACTGTGCTTTAGAGGGTTGATCCCAATACTCTTTTTGCTTGCTTGTTTGTTTTAACTATACTTAGCACTAATATGATCCTGAACACATTTCTTTTCTTTTGCTTTTTTTTTTTCCGGTGAGACGGAGATTTACTTTTGTTGCTCAGGCTGGAGTGCAATGGCGCGATCTCGGCTCACTGCCTCCCAGGTTCAAGCGATTCTCCTGCCTCAGGCTCCCGAGTAGCTGGGATTACAGGCATGTGTCACCACTCCCGGCTAATTTTGTACTTTTAGTACAGACGGGGTTTCACCGTGTTGCCCAGGCTGTTCTCGAACTCCTGACCTCAGGTTATCCGCCCCCTTGGCCTCCCAAAGTGCTGGGATTACAGGCGTGAGCCACTGCGCCCGGCCAATCCTGGACACATTTCTACACCTTCTTCCTGAATTCCCTGCTACAAATTCGAAGCGAAACTAGGCAATCGGTATGTAGATTGTCTAGTTGGGGCATACTAGATTCTGGAACATTGTTTTGGGGGTACAAGTAATGACGTAAAGGGAATGTGATAGAATCAGGCGGGAGAAGGAAGGGGCTGAGGGGACAGCACGGAGAAGGAGCCAACAGTGGCCTTATTTTGTGCACCTAGGAGAGTACAACACGGGCAGAAACACCTGAGGGACAGGAACTAAGACACGTCATTCTGTCTGGAGATTAAGACTGAGCTGCAGAGTGGTACAGGGCGAGTAGTAGGAGATGAAGTCTGAGGAAGAAAGAACATTTATCAATACATGATGCAAAACCCTCTAGTAGATTACTATAAATGAATCAGAATACTTGATGGTAAGTGGATGGGGCACTAAAAATAAATTGGCCGGGCGCGGTGGCTCACGCCTGTAATCCCAGCACTTTGGGAGGCCGAGGTGGGAGGATCACCTGAGGTCAGGAGTTAGAGGCCAGCCTGGCTAACATGGTGAAACGCCATCTCTACTAAAAATGCAAAAATTAGCTGGGCTTGGTGGCGGGCGCCTGTAGTCCCAGCTACTCGGGAGGCTGAGGCAGGAGAATGACGTGAACCTGGGAGGCGGAGCTTGCAGTGAGCCAAGATAGCGCCACTGCACTCTAGCCTGGGCGACAGAGCAGGACTCCGTCTAAAATAAATAAATAAAAATAAAAAAGGAATTATCAGGTGTTAATTGATCTACATTAAGTCTAAACTAAGAACTATGATCACTATAGGCCAAGTTAAGGATTTTTGAATTGGTCTTAACAACAATGGGAAACTATGCAAGGATTTTAGGCAGAAAAGTCACATGGACGGATTCACATTTTTAAAATTTGTTTATTATTTATTTTTGAGACGGAGTCTGACTCTGTCTCCCAGGCTGGAGTACAGTGGAGCGATCTCAGCTCACTGCAACCTCCACCTCCCGGGTTCAAGCGATTCTCCTGCCTCAGGCTCCTCAGTAGCTGGGATTACAGGCATGCGCCACCACACTCAGCCATTTTTTTTTTTTTCGTATTTTTAGTAGAGACGGAATTTCGCCATGTTGGCCAGACTGGTCTGGAACTCCTGACCTCAAATGTTCCACCCGCCTCGGCCTCCCAAAGTGCCGGGATTACAGGTGAGAGCCACCGCGCCCAGCCAGATTCACGTTTTAAAAAGATCTCTTTAACTTTGTGTAACAACCGCACAGGTCCAGTTCTAGACACTTGACAGGCATCAGGGAACTATAGCAACACATCACTAGTACCGGGCCAATGAAATATCTGCCCTCATAGAGTATGGAAACAGATATAAATAACAAACATAATAAAAATGTGAATTATAAAATGTGTAAGAAGGTGTTAAATGTGATTGGTAAATAGAGGCAGGTAGGAAGAACTGGAGTGATGAGAGTAGGTTGGAAAGCTAGAGTTGTTAGTATAGCCTTAATAAGATTGTGACTGGAAGAAAAGGAGCAATCAAGCCACCTGACATGTGAGGTGTCACAAGCAGAGTACAACCACTATAAAAGTCTAAAGGTGGGTACTTGCATGGAATGTTTGAGGAACAGTAAAAGGGTTCATGTGGCCAGAGTACAAGAGAGGGAGACAGTAATAGAGATGAGATCAGAGAGAAATGAAGGATCGGAGTATATAGGATCTTGTAGGAGATCTTAGGAATTTGGCTTTAATTCAAGTAGAACGGGAAGCTATTGTATAATTCTGATTTTAGGAGAGGCAAATCTGATACATGCTTTAAAATACTGCTTTTAGTAGGTCTTTTGTAAATAGACTATAGGGGACTATATTCGGTTTTATATTCAGATTGCATTAGCCGGGCGCGGTGGCTCACGCCTGTAATCCCAGCACTTTGGGAGGCCGAGGCGGGCTGATCACGAGGTCAGGAGATTGAGACCATCCTGGCTAACATGGTGAAACCCCGTCTCTACTAAAAATACAAAAAATTAGGTAGGCGTGGTGGCAGGCGCCTGTAGTCCCAGCTACTCGGGAGGCTGAGGCAGGAGACTGGCGTGAACCCGGGAGGCAGAGCTTGCAGTGAGCCGAGATCGAGCCACTGCACTCCAGCCTGGGCGACAGAGCGAGACTTCGTCTCAAAAAAAAAAAAAAAAAAAAAAAAAAGATTGCATTAGGTTATTGTATTCTATGAGAAACAGACTCCAGGATATAGTTTTCATGAAGGAAGTCTATTGTGTATCCAGGAATGATATACAAAAGAGGACTCAACCATTCCCATGGGGAGCTCTGGAGCTACAATGATCCTTTAGAAATGTCCTGAATTGGGGAAAAGGAGCTGGGTCATTGTACCCACTCATAGACGTGGCTTTAGATGTAGGCTGATCCCAGAGAAAAGATATAACCTTAAACAGGGTAGCTTTTTAGCTTAGAACAATTCCTGGGAAGAGCTGAGCTTTGAGTTAGCAGCAAACAGCACTCCAGGATGTTGGGTGTCTGAGTACCTTGCTCCACAAAACATTGGGCAATGTAGAAAACCATTGGGTTCTAGGTAGAACACCATCATATCCATTACAGTCTACCACTTGCTCTACTCAGAGCCGCTTCCTTCATATAATGAATTCATCCCACCTGGGAATAACTTTTCTAGGATTCTGGTTGATCTCTTCGTGACTAAATCGTAAAAGAGGCAAGTGGCTGTTTGGCTCCTTCTATACCTCAAAAAAAAAAAAAAAAAAAAAAAAGTCCGCAAACGGTTCCATATATCTAGAGCCGGCAGGCTCCATTTACCCACAGGGGCTGGCCTTGGCCTGAGTGCAGTAATCTCCGAGCTGGACTCTGAGTCCCGGTAGGGAGGAAAGCTCAGCAAGAACATCTGCCAGCCCAGGTTCCTTTCGAGGACCTCAGTACATGTACACACAGGAAAACACCCTAATCCCACTCCAAATCTTCCTGTAGCGTCCTGAGTCTCAGTGGAACCTTGTGATGATCCCATGGAGCGAGGCTTACGAGCAGCGAGTGAGCGACTGGAGCCCAGCCTGCACCTGGAGGGGCGGTTCTGGCCCAGTGCTCCCGGAAAGGGTGGCTTTCGGCAAAGTCTCGGCCTCGCCTTGACCCTCCAGGAAAAATGTTCCTGAGCGGAAAGATCGTTCAAGTTGCCTGCGAACCAAGTCCTTGAGGTCTTTGTGGGGATCAGGCGATGAGAGCATCAATTATAATAATAATAATTTGTTCGGCAAAAAATTGCTCGGGTCTGTTCATGTCCACCCGAGTAGCCACGGACACTTGGCTTTGAAGAGGGCTTTTTCCTTGTCGAAAACAGGAAGGGCTCTGGTGGGAGAAAGGCGGCAGGTGTACTTCGGTTTATATGCACACCACAGGTGACAAGGAGAACCTTCTCTCCTAAACGGCTAAAGATGGTGCGGGGGTGCAATTCTAAAAACGTGCACTGAGAAATTCAGCTAAGGATTCCTCAAAAATACAGGTTGCTTCTGCCCGGTTTCGAACCGGGGACCTTTCGCGTGTGAGGCGAACGTGATAACCACTACACTACAGAAGCCCTGACATTTGATAGTTTTTCTCCTAGGAGAAGAAGAAAATTTTTCTGGATATCCCAGATTTGGTAACATCGAATTGATCTTTTCTTTCAGGAAATTATCAAGGTTGATAAGCTTTCCTATTTATTAAAATCAGTAATATCGGAGTTCACGAGTCATACAAAGAAAATACTGCGACTTGGGGAAAATTTTCTTTTCAAACACAGCACAGAAATTTTACACAGCCCCCCAGTAGAGGACATTTTTTTTAAAGTACTCCCTCTGTTAGGCTTTCTCCAACAGCAGAAGGCTCTGTGATCTCCATCTCTTGGGAGGCAGAAAATTACCACAAGAAAATAGCCGGGAGGCAGCGGATTGAACCCTGGAAACGGCCCGCTCTTTGTGCTGGGCGGTGCTCGAAGGGAAGAAACTGAGGGCCCGGGAGTCGAGTGTGTCCAGTTGTCTGCCAGGCAGGATAAGGACTGGGAAAAATGAAAAAAAAATTCCTAGACATACACAACCTACCAAGCCTGAATCATGAAGACACAGAAAATATGAACATACCAATAGTAGATAAGGAAATTGAATCAGCAATAAAAACATCTCCCATCAAAGAAAAGCCCAGGACCTGTAGCGTCTCTAGTGAATTCTACCAACTATTTAAAGAACTAATAACATTTATTATGGAAAACAGTATTGTGGTTCCTCAAAAAATTAAAAATAGAGATACCATATGATCCAGCAAACTCTCTAGTGGGTATATAGCTAAAGGAAGTGAAATCAGTATGTCCAAGAGATTATCTGCATACCACCAAGATATGGAATTCTTCTTTTTTTTTTTTTTTGGTGGCACAGAATCTCTCTCTGTCGCCCAGGGTGCGATTTTGACTCACTGCAACCTCTGTCTCCCGGGCTCAAACGATTCTTGTGCCTCAGTCTCCCGAGTAGCTGGGATTACAAGCCTATGCCAATATACCCCGCTGATTTTTTTTTTTTTTTGTATTTTTAGTAGGGGCGCGTTTTCACCATGTTGCCCAGGCTGGTCTTGAACTTCTGGGCTCTCCTCGGCCTCCCAAAGTGCTGGGATTGCAGGCGTGAGCAACGGCGCCCAGCCAAGATATGGAATTCTTGTGTTCACCAATGGATGAATGGATAGAGAAATGCGTTTAGCTTCCCTGTGCCTTGGAAGTATCATTTCCAATTTATCATGGGTGTGTACATTTTTATTGGTGTACTTGTGAGCTCATCACTAATTTTTGCAGTCTGTTAATCTACCATAGTTTCAGTTTCATTGTATTTTCTTATATATTTATATTGTGTACTGATGTGTGCATGGATTAGTAATGAGTACTCTATTATTTTTAATGTCATAATTATTCATTATTTATTTATTATTTATTAAAAATAATATTTAATATTAAATATTATTTATTACTTATATTATTTATTATTATAATAATTTATAATATGTCACATTATAAAATATTATTTAATTAAAATTTAATGTCACTCTATTATTTTAATATCATAAAATACATGAAAATACATTTTTCTGTAGAATCACGTTTTCCTCCTACTGTGAATAAAGACATAACTCACTAAGGGGAAGAATCTTGGCCAAAATGTGTGATAAATCATGCAGCAGTTAAAAGTGTGCAAAAACAAACAGTAAAGGTGAAAGGAGGCACAAATTTAATAAAGTTACTCCATAAATCATAATTGACATTAAATGTTGGAATGTAGGAACTGATTTATTAACCATATAAATTTAAAACACACATGTTATCTTTTGACAAATTGTTTACCTATTTTAGTTTTCAAAGTGGGCAAAATTAACACCTCAAAACATATAAGTGTTTTCAGAGAAGGATCACAGAGTGTGTGTGTGTGTGTGTGTGTGTGTGTGTGTGTATAATGGTAATATGTAGACTTAACAGCACCTTTTGCCTAAATGACAAAATGGCCTAGACCCAATCTGGCAGAGTCCTTTTTCCAGAAGAACTGGGAAAACTTTTCATATTTAAGTTTGGAACAACAGAGAGAACGGGAAGACTTTGGCATTTAGAGAATGTGAATATTTGTATTTCTCGATAAAGTGAGAAATCTTTTTGGAAAAGCTATGGCTTTAATCAGTTTCAAATCTGAGACCCCTTTCTTGTAGGCAGATGTGCTAACCAGTACACCCCAAAAAACTTTCTCTTCTGTGCAGCAATCCATAGCAGAATGAAAGGAGGATTCTTTGGATATACTCAAACCTAATAACTTTTAATATGTTTTTCTTTTTAGTATATTTTTATCCACAGTGTGTTTCTTCCTTCATACTTTCAATTCGTTAAAATTAACATTTAGGTTGGTGCAAAAGTAGTTGCAGTTTCGGACCATGAATTTTTAAATCATTATAACTAGGCTCAAACACATCTTTATTAATCAAAATAGGAACCATTACAATCAACACATTTTTGCCAACAAGAAATAAGTTTGTTTATTCCTGGAGGGTAAAAATCTGTGCTTCGGGATTGGACAGAAAATGCTTGCATCCCCTCGTTGTGGAAGCGTTTTACCTGCAAAAAGTTGTGGAGATGTTTGAAGAAGTGGTAGTCGATTGGTGAGAGGTCAGATGAATATGATGGATTAGGAAAATCTTCGTAGCCCAATTCGCTCAACTTCAGAAGCGTTATTTGTGCGACGTGCAGTCGAGTCAACGTTGTTGTGAAGAATTGGGCCCTTCCTGTTAACCAATGCTGGCTGCAGGCATTGCAGTTTTCGATGTATCTCATTGAGTTGCTGAGCATACTTCTCAGATGTAATGGTTTCACGGGTATTCGGAAAGCTACAGTGAATCAGACAAGCAGCAGACCACCAAACAGCGAATATGACCTTTTTTTGGTACAAGTTTGGCTTTGGGAAGTGCTTTGGAGCTTCTTCTCGATCCAACCACTGAACTAGTCGTCGCCAGTTGTCGTATAAAATCCACTTTTCATCGCACGTCACAATCCGATGGAGAAATGGTTCCTTGTTGCGTAGGATAAAGGAAGAAGACACTTCAGAACGGCCCTTTTTTTTTTTCGCTCAGCTCATGAGGTACCCATTTACCAAGGTTTTTCATCTTTCCAATTTGCTTCAAATGCCGCACGGTAAAATGGTCGACGTTGAATTATTTGGCAACTTCTCTCGTAGTTGTAAGAGAATCAGCTTCGCTGATTGCTCTCAATTAGTCTTGTCAACTTCCCATGGCCCGCCACTACAACTCTTCATCTTCAAGGCTCTTCTCACCTTTGCAAAACTTCTGGAACCACCACTGCACTGTACGTTCATTAGCAGTTCCTGGGCCAAAGTGCATTGTTGATATTGCGAGTTGTCTTCGCTGCTTTATGATCCATTTTGAACTCGAATGAGAAAATTGCTTGAGGCCGGGCGCGGTGGCTCACGCCTATAATCCCAGCAATTTGGAAGGCCAAGGCGGGCGGATCACCCGAGGTTGGGAGTTCGTAGACTATCCTGACCAACAAGAAGAAACCGTCTCTACTAAAAATACAAAATTAGCCGGGTATAGTGGCGCATGCCTGTAATTTCAACTACTCGGGAGGCTGAGGCAGGAGAATCGCTTGAACCCGGGAGGCGGAGGTTGCGGTGAGCCGAGATCGCGCCATTGCACTCCAGCCTGGGCAACAAGAGCGAAATTCCGTCTCAAAAAAAAAAGTTGAAGAGGGAAAAAATCGTTTATTTTTTTATATCTTGTTAAGAGGGAAGTGAACTTCGCGTCGTGGCCGGTTAACTTAATTGGTTAGAGCGTGGTGCTAATAATGTCAAGGTTGCGGGTTGGATCCCCGAACGGGCCACAGTGGGTGTTAGCTTTTCATCATTTATATCAATCATCTGTGAACGCTGTGAACGCAACAAATATGTCTGAATACAAACTGTAGATCGTCACCGCTGAACCCAAGCAGTCATCAAGATAATTCCACCTGCTAGAGGGGGTATTAAGTAACACTTAATACCTTAATTTGAAAAAAGGATATTGTTTAGTTGTCGTCCTATCTTTTTTTTTTTTTTTTTTGAGACGGAGTCTCTCTCTTGATGCCCAGGCTGGAGTGCAATCGCACAACTGGGCTCACGGCAACTTCCGCCTCCTGAGCTCAACCGATTCTCCTGCCTCAGCCTCCCTAGTTATTTTCCATAATCTTGATTCTTGAAGATTAGCTTGGCTTGTTATGTAATTCTTGGTTCACACTTTATTTTTATTTTTTAATGCTGATCTAATTTTTTATATTACTGCTCAGAAGTCTGATACTAGGCTTCTGTTTATAGAAACTTTCCTTGGTTAATCGTTTCAATGATTACATCTACTCTATTGACTCTTTTCTTTCTTTGAGGTAATCCAATTAAAGTATTAGGTTTTCTGAGGCCTTACCTTAACCGTATGCAGAAAAACCTTCCTTGCTCCTTTGTCTCCATATTTGTTTCCCTAAATTTCTTATTTGCATAGCAGCCATTGAGACTTTAGCTTGAAATGGAAAATATAATTTTTCTTCTTCAAACTTTCCCAACTCTCCACAGCACATCACACCAAAGTGTTAAGTGAAAGATCGTCCTCTTTATTCCTGGTCTAACCCTTATTTTCTCATTTTGTCTTATTTTCTCCTACTCCCTGCCTCAAATTTAGAATTCCTTGGAGTTTCCCGAAACACTGACTTATTTCTCCATGCTGCCTCTAATTCCAGATTCCCCTATCCCCTCCATCTCTCATCAGCCGATTTCTTACTTTTCATCTATTAAGTCTTGGATTGAGGGAAGAGAGAGACCCTCTCATATTGTTTTATATTGTTTTATACTCAGTACCTGTTTTAAGAAAAAAAGAAGGAAGTGAAATCAAAGACAGGTAGCCCGGCGCCAGGCCCCAAACCAGACCTGGGCCTGCCTGGCCTAAACCTAGTAGTTAAAAATCAACTCATGACTTAGAAACCGATGTTTTTCATAGAGTCCAGACATTGTAGAGAAAAACATTGTGAAACTCCCTGCCCTGTTCTCTTTCTCTCTGACCACCGGTGCATGCAGCCCCTGTCAAGTACCCCTTGCTTGCTCAAATCAATCACGACCCTGCCATGTGAAATCTTCAGTGTTGTGAGCCCTTAAAAGGGACACAAATTGTGCACTTGAGGAGTTCGGATTTTAAGGCAGTAGCTTGCCGATGCTCCCAGCTGAATAAAGCCCTTCCTTCTACAACTCAGTGTCTGAGAGGTTTTGTCTGCGGCTCATACTGCTACAGGATCAGTTATCACTTCTTCTGAAAGCTTTTCCTCATTATTTAGAGTGACAGTTGCTCCTTTTCTATGTTTCCATGATAGTGCATGAGTATTTATCTCTGTGGTTTCATTTGTCAATTTAAAATATAACCACCCTGTTTTGGGTAATTTTATTATGAAAAATCAGTGTTGAGCCCTTTGCTACCTCAGGCATGTCCATTTTTTCAGGATATCTGTTACTGCTAGAGCCTAGCTCAGGATGGGGCACATTGTAGGCTACTCATTAATTTCTTTGAAATAAATGTCTAATCAAATTGTTGAAAATAATAAACTCATGCCATTTATGCTGCAGATTTAATGTCAGAAAAAAATCATAAGACTCAAGATCTTGCTAACTGGGAAATACTGTCTTTCTTCTCTGTTTCCTGAAATATTGTGATCAATCCAAGTTTTAGCTGCCAAGAGCAGGAATTTTCCACTTTGCTATTTGTCAGAGATTCATAAGCGGCACTGTCCTGTCATGTCAACAGATTTGGAGGAAGAGCACCATCTCACTGTTGAGCACCTTCCAGATACCCGGGAAATGCTGGAAAAGGAAAAAAGACAGTGACAATTGTCAGTTGACATAGGAAAAGGAATAAAAAATAGACAAATGTTGTACATCGTCTGTCCATTAAACAGATTGACATAATCACTGAGCATGTGCTTTCCAGACCAGTAAGAGTGACACAAACAATAGAATGACCGATGACTCCTAGATACACTCACCACACATGAATTCCCAGTCACATGAATTCCCAGATGCCACCTCTTTTGTCATCACCTTCTGACAGTCTACTGGGCACAGCTCACCCCTCCCCCATCACATCCCCTGCTCAACACTGTCCTCCAGACAAGCATTGACTTTGCAGAAGCTTGAGTGGTCTCCAGATCTCAGTGTGTTGGATCCTCCTGGCTCCTCAAGGTCAAGAAGAGACTTGGAAATCAAAGCCATAGGAAAACATCAAAGAGTTCCTTGAAATCAACTCCCTGTGTTTACTCTGCCTAGCTTTGGGGGAGAAATTTAGACTCTAGTTATGAGCTGTATTTGGTTATGAATCATGGAGTTTCTACAGCATTAATTTTAACAAATAGAAAGTATGAAGGAAAGGGCCGGGTGGGGTGCGGTGGCTCACGCCTGTAATCCTAGCACTTTGGGAGGCCGAGGCCGGTGGATCACGAGGTCAGGAGTTCGAGACCAGCCTGGCCAACATGGTGAAACCTTGTCTCTACTAAAAATACAAAAATTAGCCAGGCATGGTGGCGCACACCTGTAATCCCAGTACTCAGGAGGCTGAGGCAGAAGAATTGCTTGAACCTGGGAGGCGGATGTTGCAGTGAGCCGAGATCGTGCCACTGCATTACAGCCAGGGAGAGAGTGAGACTCCATCTCGGGGGGGTGGGGGCAGGGGGAAGAAAAAGGGGGAAAAAAAAAAAGAAAGTATGAAGGAAAGAAACACACAGTGGATAAAAATATAAAGAAAAACATGACTGGGGGCAGTGGCTCATGCCTGTAATCCCAACACTTTTTGAGGCCAAGGCGGGTGGATCACCTGAGGTCAGGTATTCGAGACCAGCCTTACCAATATGGTGAAACCCTGTCTCTGTTAGAAATACAAAATTAACCAGGCGTGTCGGCACCTGCCTGTAATCCCAGCTGCTTGGGAGACTGAGGCAGGATACTTGCTTGAATCAGGACCGGGAGGTTGCAGTGAGCTGAGATCACAGCACTGCACTCCAGCCTGGGCAACAAGAGCGAAACTCCGTCTCAAAAAAAAAAAAAAAAAAAAAAAAGAGAGAGAGAGAAAGAAAAAAGAAAAACATTAAAAGTTATTAGGTTTGAGTATATCTAAAGAATCATCATCTCATTCTGTTGTGAAAGGCCTGATTGTAGCAGGGAGTTTCTGTAATGTAATAATTAGCATGTCCGCCTAGCATGTGAAAGGATTCTGGTTTTTAAATCCAGTGGAAACAACAGCTTTTCCAAAAAATTTGTCTCATGGATACCTTCTTCCAGTCTGAGGCTGGCGTTTTCTCTCTCAATAGCCTTTTGATGAAGATAATGTTTAGTTTGGATGAAGTCCATAGTTTCAATCTTTTTAAAAATGCTTACTTGTTTTGTCAAATCTACAAAACATTTGACTATCGCAAAGGCAAAAAGGATTTTTCTAAATTTTCTTTAATAGGCTTTGTTTTCATTTTCACTTTAAGGTGTATGGGTGAAAAATTTGAACAGGCGCTTCACAAAGACGGCCAAATGGCAACTGAACAATTTGCAATCAGAAAAAAAAAAAGAAAGAAAGAAAGAGGGAAGAGGGTCTAAACAAGCAAATAAACGAAAAACGAGAGGCGAGGCTACCAGGTTTCTTCCATTTCTGGCAAACATTTATTGTTGTTGTTTTTTCCTTCACAGAATTATTTTCAGAAACCTTCCACAGGAGATTCGTGCGTGGAGGGGGTGGGGTGGAAAGAAGTAGGGAATGGAGAAGATTACTAAGAAAAGTTTCCTGTCTGGAACTGCGGCAGATCTCTTTGGATAGAGATGACTACTTAACCTCACTCTGCTTTCCTTCGCCGCGGTTGCGGCCGCGACCCTGTTCTTACCACCAGCAATTCCTCCAGGGACTTGGTCAGCAGCCCAACTTGATCTGCGTCTCTCTGCTAAGGTGTTTCCGCAACAGGGTCAACTCCAAGTCTCACCTTTCTAGGAATCCCGGGCGCAGCGCGGGGGTCGGGACTCCGACCTGTATTTCCAGGCGGAGGTTTCCCTGGGTCAGGCGGCCACTCTCTGCCAGAGATTGTCAGTTATCCAACTGTCAATAGAGCCGCCGCTCCAGCGAGTTTAATTTAGGCACAGAAAAGTCCTGCCTGGGTTGAGGTGGGCTTAGGATGAGTTTACTTGAGTGTGTGATTTAGAAATAGATCTATGGGACAGACAGACACGAAATCGGGCATTGGGGCCCTCGCAGGCAGGGTATCTAGACTGGCAGCTGCCGGTGCAGGATATTGCCAAGGACTCGGCATCCGGCTCAGCTCAAGGTGGGGACGAAGACGTCCTGGTTGCAAGGAGGAGCCCTACTCCCCCCGGAATCAGAACTGTGCATAGCGGGCTCTGGATTTGCCGGGATGTTTGAGGAATTTGAAATGAGAAAGGAGAGGAGGAAATGGTTTAATGGTATATTGAGTTACTGGAGTGTATTTTAGTCACCGATTTTGGTTTTAAAAAATGAGAAATATGGAGTGCAGGATTTCTGCCTGATTGAGTACAAGGCTAGAAAATAAGTGCTACAACCTCCCTAGTCCACCTACACTTCAATGTCTTAAATCCTAGTGCATCTGCAGAGCCCAGCACCGGATGGGGGAGGGGAGTGGGGGCGGAGAGAGAACAGAACTGGAATTCTAGGTAGGGGAGTCAAATTTGCTAGGCTCTCAGCTGAGACCATCGCATTTGTTCTTAGTTGGCTAAGGGTATACACATGATCTGAATCTCTCTGAGTATTCCCAAATTGTTTGGGGGAAAATTTAGCTGGTTTTAACTTAGAGATTAGGTCACACTAGGTCTCACATCCTGTGTACTTTGAGAGGACAAAAGGATAAAGGGTAGAAACTGGCATTTTAAAAGAACCGATTATCACACATTTTATAGCTATTTAATAAGGTAATCCTTAATATTATGACCTGAAATCCTCTCCATGGCTGACTCTCATGTGTTCAGCTTTATTTCATACCCCACCGCCCCTTTCTCTCCAACCACACTGTCCTACTTGCAAATCGGTCCCTCTTATTTACCATGGGTTTGGGTACATAAGATTTCTTTTGCCTTTAACACTCTTTTAAATCTAGTTAACATCTCCCCAACCTTTAAACTTGAGCATCATTATTTTCTCAGAGAACTCTTCCCCTAAACTTTCTAAATTAATCTTCATATATATTAAATGAGAGCACTATATGTCTCTCTTTTCTTGGAAATGCTGCATTAATTTGGATGATAACTTGATTACTGTCTGTCTCTCACAAGAATATAATTTCCAAGAAGACAGGTGCAGTGCCTGGTTTCGTTTACTAATAAAACCCTACAGTCCATTGCAATGCCCATATATGCAATGGACACACAATAAATATTAGTTGACTAATATGTGAACCCATACCATTCTACAAAGTAAATGTTAAACTTATTTTGAGACAAGGAACTGAGGTTAATAGTTAATTGTCCAAATTGCAGAATTAGTAAAAGAGTTATTTCCTATTTTTCTCGGATTTGAGACTCAATTGCAGAAACTGTGTAATCAGTAGGGAAAGAGGAATTGAATTCTTCCCTTTAAAAATAACAGAAAATAACAATGGCCTTCATGGTCAACATCTTTAAGGAAAAATGCAGACTGGTGTCTTTGAACAGGATTTTTACAATCATCACAGTGAGACACTAATTAACCACACAAATTGAATGCTGTATAGAGAGGTATTTGATAGACAATAGAACCTTTCCACTTTCCTGATAGTCCTCTGCCCTTCCCAAATTCTGTAAACATGCTTACCCTCGTGATATATCCAGAACAATATGAAGATCTCCAGACAGGAAACGCAGACATCTGGTCATCAAGATAGGAGATACATTCACTTTGAGCCTCAACTTAAGTTCACAATATTCTGGCCACCGCAACCCTTCCTTTTACACTATGTAGACTTTTGTCTACTACATTACATCTCTTTACATTTTTATCCATAAACATCGACAACAACGAAATCACACTCTTCTGAATTCCTGCCTCTGCCCCGTGAAAACAAAAAAAAAAGAAAAAAAAATCAACGTCCACAGTAACAAGCCTCGCATCTGAGGGGAAATTTTCTTAAATTCTCCAGTCACGTCTGAAAAAAAAAAGTTTTAATGGAGGACTTTGTAGTAAAGAAAAGCATGGTAACCTTGATAATTTACTGAAAGGAAAGGCCAATCAACTCGATGTTACCAAAGCTGAAACAGAAAAATTTAATTCTCCCTTAACGAAGGAAGCCAACGCAGCACACAGGTTTCCGTGGTGTAGTGGTTATCACATTCGCCTTACACGCGAAAGGTCCTCGGGTCGAAACCGAGCGGAAACAACTTGCAATTTTTCGGGGTGTTTCTGTTTTCCAAGATTCCCTTAGCTGACCTTGACAGTGGACGTCTTTACAATGGCACCATCGCACGATCTCTCGATCACTCTCAGCTTTCAAAAGCAGAATACTGTTCTATTAGGTGTTTCTCTCTGCATGTTGTCGGCAGTGTTCTGAATAGGAGGAGATCCCTGCCTTTAAAGGGGGCGAGATTGGGGTGGAGGGGTCTCTGCTCTCTTCCTAATGCGAACTGTCGCCTGCTGGCTTTATTCAAGGAGAGGCTCTTGGGGATTTCCGTAAGTAAAGTCTCCGCTTCTAGACCAAGAGTCCCTGACCACTTGAGTGAACATTACCAGTCTCCAGCAATTCATTTATTGTCAGACAATATTTTCAAAAATCACATGACTTTTAGAGAAGACAAGAAGAGAAAATGGGGAGGGAATATGTGTAAGACAAGATTCTGCAGGGAGAGCTCAATTAGGGCAGACGTTACTGCGTCGCCTGTTTCTCCACGATCATTTCCCTTGATGGTCCCGATCGCCACAAAGACGTCAGGGATTAGGGTCGCAGGCGCCTTGTTTAATGGCCTTTTGGCTTGGAGCATTTCCAATGCGGGTCAATGCGTAGTAGCACTTTTGCGGGAAGCTAGCGTTGCATGGAACATTAGGCCGCACCCGCCTCTCCAGGTCCCGGCTGGGCTCTGGTTGCTCACTCACTGCTGTGAACCTGGCTCCCTCCGAAGCATGGCAAAGTTCCACTTAAGGACGCTCCAGGTGGATATGGGGTAAAGCTAGGGTGTTTCCCGGCATGTACATACACTGGGGTCCTCGAAAGGATCCTAGACGGGGAGATGTGTGGGCACAAAGTGTGAAGATGTTTGTGTCACATGTTAAGTTAACCAGAGTGCGTCCACCAGAGAAGAACTAAACAACTAACTAACTGGAATGATTCTACCAGTTTTTGTCAGCTAGCTTTAATAATTAGCCACTACAGTGCTGGCAGATTGATTACATGAATTGAATAGCCTAATGTCAGCGATGGAAACTAAGCATGGGCCCAGTAACAATGGGCTTGTCTGTTACAGGAACTTAAAAAGATCTTTTCAAAATGCAAATCTGTTCATGAGACTTCTCTGCCTAAAATCCTTCCATGGATTCCCATTGTTGGTAGGGCCAATTCAAAAATCTTTAACTTGGCCTATACATAGTAATCATAGTTCTTAGTTTAGACTCAATATAGATCAATTCATGCCTGTTAATTTTAGTGCGCCATCCTCTTTACCATCAAGTAAAGTAACCTGATTTATTTATAACAATCTACTAGAGGGTCCTGCACCATGCACATGTTCTCTCCTCCTCAGGCCTCATCTCCTACTACTTGCACATCACTCTGCAGCTCAGTCTTAATCACCAGACACACTGACGCTGTCTCAGCTCTTCTCCCCTCAGGTGTTTTGGCCATGTTGTTCTCTCTGAGGTGCAGAAAAGAAGGCCTCTGCTGGCCCTTCTCCTTGCTCTCCATTCAGCCCCTTCCTTTTCCCACCTGATTCTATCACATTCCTAAAGTCTCGCCTAACTGAGAGAAGGTGATATTCCAGAAACAAACATTCCCCAGTATGACTTCTCTACATTTTCACTGATTGTAATTCAGGAAGAAGGAGGGGTAGAAATGTGCCCAGGGTCCTATTTATGCTCAATATAGTTAAAACAAACAAGCAAGGAAAAAGAATATTGGGATCAACCCTCTAAAGCACAGGTGGACAATGGCTGTCAAAATTGCCAATGCACTACTCTTTGATGCAGCTTTTCCACATGAATGCAAGGTATCATGGCAGATATCAGAGATGGTGTATGTTCATAGATATAAAGAGTTTGCAATAGCCGATGGAAAACTAAACTAACTGCCCATTAAACTATGATATATACTAACATAATTGAATACTATACTAGTTTATTTATTTATTTATTTTTTTGAGATGAAGTCTCATTGTGTCGCCCAGGCTGGAGTGCAGTGGCACAATCTCCACTCACTGCAACCTCCACCTCCCAAGTTCAAGACCTTCTCCTGTCTCAGCCCCTTGAGTAGCTGGGATTACAGGCATGCACCACCATGCCTGGATAATTTTTGTATTTTTAGTAGAGATGGGGTTTCACCATGTTGGCCAGGCTGGTCTCCAACTACTGACCCAGATGATCCGCCCACCTCGGCCTCCCAAAGTGCGGTGATTACAGGCGTGAGCCACTGCTCCTGGCCAACTACTACACATATATTTTTTAAATTATTATACTTTAAATTCTGGGGTACATATACAGAACATGCAGGTTTGTTACATAGGTATACACGTGTATAGTATATGTAATACTATACATATTTTTAAAAGAATGAAGAAAACTTGTCTATTCTGATATGGAAAGTTTGCAAAAGTACATTGTAAGTAAAAATTTAAAAAGGCAAGGGACTTAAAAAGTGTATAAAATGCCACTATTCATGAAGAGAAAAAAGAAAACACTTGTGTAACTTTGTCTATGTATTCAAAATCTCTGGAACGATAAACAAGACATTAAAAACAATGGTAAAGCTTTTGGGAAACAATGGCTGAGTAGACAACGATTGGGTTTAACGGCCCCTGGAATGGTGACTAGAACCACATTTCTAGCATTTTTCAATACCAAGGTCTTCGAAGCGACCTTTGATTTGAGGTCACTTTAGGAATCTGAAGGAACACATAGGAAGACTCCCAAATTGAGGATCTAGACATAAGAAACCTGGGACGATCTCGATCATGGGACCATCGAGAATCAGACTCGTTGGGAATATCCTTCAAGTACCAATTTGTATGTTGTATTAGTGAGCGGCTTTTACGAAGCAAAGACTCATTAATATTTCACCGAATCTGATTCATTGTCTGCATGTATTGACTAGACATTCAGAAGGCAGCAAATATTTCCATAAATTGCTGGGCCATTAGCCACAGTTTGAAATGTTTAAGCGTCCTCTTTCAAGTCTACGAATACAGCCATTTTGCTTTGTTTTTGCGTTAAGAGGAAATTTCTCGTTATTTCTATTAAGACTCTAAAGCAACTAAGAAATTGTTCCTCCCTGTAAGACAAACAGGAATTACGTTGAAGAATTTAATACTTTCACGGAGAAGGGGCGAGGATGCGGGTGAGATGAATAACAAAAGCACAGATTTGCGGTCGGCCGGTTAGCTCAGTTGGTTAGAGCGTGCTGCTACTAATGCCAGGGTCGAGGTTTCGATCCCCGTACGGGCCTTTGGCTTTTTCCCCCCTCGAGAAATTTGGTTTTCATGCTCTAAGATGATTCAAATTAACCGTCCCCATTTCTTAACGAACCTAGAACCTAAGTTCGTTTCCGAATCATCTGAAATGCTACATCTCCCCAGGTAATAATCTTCTTCTTCTTCTTCTTCTTTTTTTAAATGTTCTTTCTGTTTCCTCCAGGAATAAGGGTTGGGGACAGAAAGCTGTTCAGAGCAGAGACCTCCAAGACTGGGAGCCTGCTTAATGAAAGGGGGGGGGGGCGGGGAAGAGTTCAAGGAGTGGAAAAATAACTGGCATTTTTTTTAAAAAAATAAAGCTTATTTGATTTCAGATTTTCCTTCCAAATTAGTCCTGAAACCTACCTTCTTTCTCAAATTGTAGAGACACAAGATAAAGAGAATAAATCCTTAGAAGGTTGTGGATATGTGTCTCTGAAAACCCTTTCGAATTTAACTGACAGACGACATTGTCCTGTGAGGAAGCTATCACTTTAAACAAGGAACACAGACTTTTTGTTTTGTTTTGTTCACAGAAACCGATTCTGTGTGTGTGTGTGTGTGTGTGTGTGTGTCTGTGTTTGTGTTTTCACATGGGCTCCTGTGTGTGTCACAAAGGGATATGCGAGGGAGAAGCAGGGAGTTTTCTTTGTGTCCGTTTGGAAGTTTACCCTGCACATATTTCTCATTGGTGAAGGGCAGTGGAAGGACCAGGGGAGCTATGCACTGTCCTGGGAAACTCCAGAGGGACCTTTGTCTACCCTTCCCCTTCTTTCCCTGAGTTGCTATCCTAGGGTTGCTGGGATCTTCCTCTAACCCAGTAGTTCAAGTGCATTTATTTCAGCTTTCTGTAAACAGCAAAGTGGCTCCCCTGTGACTTCGGTAAAATCTTTCCATAACGTGTCCTTAAAAACGCTACATGTTACCCTGGTAAAAACGATTTTTGAGAAAATAATTAGATCTATAACGAAAAGGAGTAAAGCATCTCAGGTATCTGACTCAAATTTCTCACCTGTAAAATAGAGATTATGGGTCCCATCTCACAGCGTGGTTGTGAGCCTCACAGGTAAGGTAACAATAGAAAACACTTGTCACAAAAACTGGCACACGGTAACCTGGCATACTGTGTGCCTGGCACCTGGCACACAGTCTTGTTTAACAATCTCACTTGTCTACCATTGATGAAATAGAGGCCGAGGCCCGGGGCGCCAAGCTCCTAAAGCACTTGAAAGGAGTGGTTTAGGATTAGAGGACTCCTGACAGTTGGAAGTCAACGTTTTCCATTAAGACTGTGGTGTAAAAGGTGTTGAATGTAGGCATGTGGCAGGTAAGCGTCTTCTTGACTTAATCCTCCAAGAGGAAAAGCAGAATGCACCCATCACCCAAACTATGGGGCGGAGGGAAGGAACCTAAAGTGGAGAAATAGGTCACCTATGACTTTAGGAAATGCTAGTTCAGCTTCAGGTTCCATGGTGTAATGGTTAGCACTCTGGACTCTGAATCCGGTAATCCGAGTTCAAATCTCGGTGGAACCTTGGATTTAGTCCTCTGCAGTCAAATCCCCATCGTCTCTCCACAATCTATACTGTTGCTCATACAAATCACTCGACCAAATTTTATTCCTGGTATTTCCACGTCACATCTCTTGAGCGGAGTATCTTTAGCTGCCAACCAAATAATAACTTTCTTTTTGCTGCGCACAATTTGTTCTTTGGAGAAAAAAGAGAGAAGCCTCAAAAGGAAATGCACGAGGCAGTCGCTCGAGTCCTGCTGGAACTGCAAATCAAAGTCTCCAGAAAAGATCTGCAAACAAGTGAGGAGACAATAGATAGGAGGCTAGTGAGAAGAGAGAAAGGAAATTTGGTGATAGTCACGAACAGAGAAAAGCTGGGATGGAAACTGAGGAAAGGACTTACCCACTAAATGGGTCTGGGAGAGGTGACAGTCGCCGAAGCCGAGAGAAAACTGTCCTCAGACAAGACCACAAGGGGATAGAAGCTCAACTTGTGAGGGCTGGGCAGATAGAACAGGTGACGGGAAAGATACAACTGGCGATAGTCAATAGTCAATAGAGATAGATGCTGTTTCGAGTTTGCACAAGCAAGTTTTACTTGGACAGAGAAGAGGGGGAAATGAGCTGAAAAGACTCCCTTTCCCAGGATAACAGAGTTTACTCTACGCCCTCTCCCCGCCAATCTCCCCAGCCACCAACCTCCCGCAGCGTTTCCTAGTGAGGGTTCCCTGAGCTCATTGCTGGGCGCTCAGCAACTCGGCTTTCTTGGCATTTCCGTCTGGGCATGGACAAGCTCCTGAAGAAGGGGTTTCAGAGCTCGGACCCTCTTAGACAGATTGTAGAAGTTCAGTCACCCGGAAATTGCTGGGGCGGTTTGGTTTTGGAGAGAGGCGGGGACGAAAGAAGAAAGCTGTGAGCGAGGAGAGAAGGCAGGGAATGTGAACAGGAAAAAGCTCTTGCGCTAAGGAATGTCAGAGAAGCCAGCGCCCGGTGCAGCCGAGAAGCTTAGCGACAGGGTTGCTGGGCCGGAGACCACGAGATCCTAGAGGCTACAAAGAAACATTTCCCCATATGTGTCTCCCCTACCGCGCACTAGCTCCCTATGGGATGTGAATGCTCCCTACTTCCATCTTCCCCTGCAAATCATTCTCGCCTTTTAGATAATATCTTACCGTGACAGAACAACTGGAAATGCTGGTGTCTCCAAAGTCTTCTGTAAACAAGACACAGAGATGTGTGTCTCAATTGCGTATTTTACACGATTTTATGAAGGAACTGACAAATTCCTCATTTACTTCCGACTAATAACATTCCATTTTTAACAAAACGGAACGTACATATTGGGCCATGGAAAGTTAGTGTTTTCATTTTTTTTTACAATTATTGAGACTCGTAGGAAAATTCTTGGACTTTTATCAAATATGAATACAAATACAAATATGGATATCCGTAAAGTTATATATTTTACGTCCTCCCAAATCTCCTGCTCGCCATCACTTTTATTTATTGCTAAAATTTATTTATTAAATTTAGATAAACGTAATGAGAATGTGTTGAAGATTCCACTTTAAATAATGCACCTTAAATAATCATAAAAACACCTTTTGGAAGGCTCGGACTTATTCAAAACCACAATCTACTGATCTTTTTGTTGTTAATTCCACTGAACCTTTCTTATTCCGGCTATAAGAAGTATTTATCCGCGGACAATGAATTGATGGAGAAAAAAATATTAACAGCCATTTCACTAAAAGATGCATTTCCAATGCAACTCTACTTTTCGTGTATTCTAAATTACTTACCAAAATCGTTGATTTGTGTTTGTTATTGTGTGCCACCATTGAATGTAAAGGTAATTCAAACCAGAAGAAAAACGGTGAAACTCTTGGGGATTTATGGTCAATGGACATAAAAAAAAAATTAGAGGTTTCAATTTATATAAGTATTTTCCGTTGCTGTCAGTTATGATAGCGTTTTTAAGCATAAAAATACATAATATTGGGATAAAATTCTGTGGCAGAAACAGAAAAGAAATACATTGGCAGCAGAAAAAGGATTCCCCCCACCCCACCCCGCCGCCTCAATTTTCAGCTGCTTAGCCTTCAGTAAGAAGGACTGTAAGGCCTAACATGAGATCTGAGGAATGAGTAATGAACTAAGGCAGGTGAAGTGAGGGCAAAGAGAAGAGTTAAAAGAGTGCTGAGGGTGGAAAATGAGAAGGAGAGCATGGAGCTTGGGGAGAAAAAAAATTCACTGTAGTTGGAAAGCTAGAATGGATACGGAGGAACGATGACACTCAAGACTGGACACACGGGCGCTGGGCACGATCATTAAACTGTAAAAGGTTCTCCATATGAAGGTGGAAAGAACTTGTTTTGCGTAAGAATTCTTTAAGGAGACCACAGTTTGAAGGACATTACAATACATATCAACATATCACCATAATTAAATTGCAAGTCTTCGTCAAAAGCAAGCCTTAAAGGAGTATCCCAAAAACACATTTTCCCCAGAAGGACGAGGTGGCCGAGTGGTTAAGGCGATGGACTGCTAATCCATTGTGCTCTGCACGCGTGGGTTCGAATCCCACCTTCGTCGACCGTTTTCTTTAAGAGGGTAACCAGGTTTTTGTCGCAGGTCTGAGTTGCTCTCAGAAAAGTTATATAGATTATCTACAGCTTTCCTCCTTTTGCTTCCTCTCATTTCTCTCGACCATCTATCAGTTTTATTTCCTCCTGAGGTTCAAAGGAATTCTTGAGGATCTGAGTGGAATTACTCTCCATTCTTAGATTACAATTTACTACATCCGGCACGTGGGCTGCGGGCATTGCCTGCACCTGAAGGGCTCTTAGCCAAGATGTCCGCATGGTGCAATGGATCCCTTGCTCCACTCACATAGTGCCTCATGTTGCAAAGCGAAAGAACCAAAGGCGTTGGTCAGACACTGATAACCTCTCCTTCTCCGAACAATTAACAGAAGTTTGTGTGTCACCTTCCTTTCTATTTACATATGAACGAGTAATTTGTACCTTTGCTTATTGTCCAAGTAAAGTGCTTTGGAATCTCCTGTCTTGGATTTGCTTCAAAATACTAGTTGGTGTTGGAGAGCAGCAGAGAAAACAACATTACAAAATGTTGTTAATTGTTTAAGCTGGTTGATGGGAAGTTGAATGTTCGTTATACTAAATCTTTTTACTTCCTCAAATTTTTACTAAAATGTTTTTTATATATTTTTTTTTTGGACAGAATCTTACTCTGTCGACCAGGCTGGAGTGCAGTGGCGCCATCTCGGCTCACTGCAACCTCTGCCTCCCTGGTTCAAGCGATTCTTCTGCCTCAGCCTCCCGAGTGGCTGGGACTACAGGCGCCCACCACCACGCCCAGCTAATTTTTGCATTTTTAGTAGAGGCGAGGGTCTTGCCTTTTTGGCCAGACTGGTCTCGAACTCCTGACCTCAGGTGATCCACCCACCTCGGCCTCCCACAGTGCTGGGATTACAGGCGTGAGCCATTGCGCTCAGCCTTTTTAAACTTTTCACCCGGAAATAATTTCAAACTTAAGGGAAAAAATTAAGAATAAGAATAGTATAAAGACCACCCATATACCTTTTATCAGGATTCACTTTTAACGTTCATTCTCTCTCTCTGTATGTGTTTATATCTGTGTATGTTTGTGTGTGTGTCTTCCAGAACATTTACGAGTAAATTATATATATTATGTTCCTTTGCCCTTAAATATTTAAGTGAGTACTTCCTAAAGGAATATTTTCTTGTGCTATAGCCATAATATAGTTACCAATTCAGTATATTTAACATTAATATAATTTTTTATGAATTTTCTAACCTGTATTCCATTTTTTTCAATTGGCCAGTAATATCCTTTATAGTATTTACCCCCTCCAGTTCAGGAATCTGTCTAGAATTGGGTGTTTTCCATATCCCTTTAGTCTCCTTTAACCTGGAACATTTTCACATCTTTCTTTGTATTTTATGACATTGACTTTTTGAAGAACCTGGTAACTGCTCACATTTTTAAAACATAGAACATTTCTTATTTGGGCTTTGCGTGATTTTCTACCCTCATAATTGGGTTCACATTATGCATCCCAGAGAATAGAATGTACATGGCATGTCGTTCTCAGGACTATTAAATCTGGAGACATGCAATGTTCATTGCCCCTCATTGCTGAGGTTAATTCCAATCACACAGTCAAGTTGATATATGTGTATAGTTTCCCCCTTGCAACTAATAAGCAATCTGCGGGAGATGCTTAAAGATCATACAAATAACTTGCTCCCCATCAAAATTTTCCTCTAGAGTTAGCATCTATTGATAATTCCTACTTGAACCATATTTACTATGATGGTTGCAAAATGGTGTTTTTTTTCAACTCCAGAATTTTCTTCACATTTACCAGTTTTTACTTTGGCATTCTATTGTAATCAAGAATCCCCCTTGGCCGGGGGCTGTGGCTCACGCCTGTAATCTCAACACTTTGAGAGGTCGAGGCGGGCCGATCTCAAGGTCAGGAGTTCAAGACAAGCCTGGCCAATATGGTGAAACCCCATCTCTACTAAAAATACAAGAAAAAAAAAATTAGCCGGGTATTGTGGTGGGAGCCTGTTGTCCCAGCTACTCGGGAGGCTGATGTAGGAGAATCGCTTGAACCTGGGAGGTGGAGGTTGCAGTGAGCCGAGATTGCGCCACTGCACTCCAGCCTGGGTGACAGAGTGAGACTCTGTCTCAAAAAAATAAAATAAAATAAATAAAAAGAGTCCCCCTTTAACATCTATTTATGTATTTATTATCAGTATGGACTTATAAAATCTTATTTTTCAGTGGTTTACAATTCCATTATTGCCTTTAATAACTTTGGTAGTCCATATAACCCAGATTGTGTCAGAGGCAGACCCTTCAAGCTGAGTACTCTGTCCTTTTGACATTCTTCCACCATATTTCTTAAACTTTCTTAATTTCTGGCATAACAAATTGTTCTAGGCTCTACTGCATTTACCCTGTCCCAGTCCTGAAGTCTCCTATTTCTTAGTGGTGCTCTTTTAATGAGGAATGTATTAGAGACCAATATCCAGGGTCTAGGTGTATTTACTGTTTCTAAGGCACCTTTGCTTCTAGAACATTTTATCAACAATATCTAGGAAACACGTGTATACTCACACATACATAATATGTAAATACACACACACATATATGTACATGTGCACATATACATGCCTATGCACATACATATGCGTATTTTAATAATTATGAGTACCCAACGATATTTACTTTTTTTTTTTTTTGAGCCGGAGTTTTTCTCTTGTTGCCCAGGCTGGAGTGCAATGGTGCGACCTCGGCTCACCGCAACCTCCACCTTCCGGGTTCAAGCGATTCTCCTGACTCAGCCTCCCGAGTAGCTGGGATTACAGGCATGTGCCACTACCCCTAGCTAATTTTGTATTTTTAGTAGAGATGGGGTTTCTCAATGTTGGTGAGGCTGGTCTTGAACTCTCGACCTCAGGTGATCCACCCGCCTCATCCTCCCAAAGTGCTGGGATTACCGGCACCGGCGTGAGCCGCCGCGCCGGGCCGGATATTTACAATTCTAATGTATCCCCTGAGGAGCATTTTTTTTTTTTTTTTTTTTTTTTTTGCCTTCCCACCATCACCTATTTGTATAATCCTCTTCTGCAATTAGAATAGCGGCTGAAATGATTTACTCAAACGAGTAAATCAACACATTTAGTCATGTGCCCTATCCTATAATACACCTAAAATTGCTTCAAAATTGCTTTGTCCACATTACAACAGAAAACAAAATCGATTAAAAAGAGTCCAAGATTTGTTTGTAATTCTCGTCCTGCCCCAAGTTAAAAGTAACATGGTCTGATTCTTTCTTTTTGTATACTATGGTTTGGTATTCACTTGAGTATGAGCCCAGGCTAGAATGTAGTGGCGTGATCTCAGTTCACGGCAATCTCCACCTCTCTGAGGCTCAAGTCACCCTCCCACCTCTCCAGAATAGCTCATTTTTTGTATTTTTTTGTAGAGACAGGATTTTGCCCTTTCTCTCAGGCTGGTCTCAAACGCCTGATCTCAAGGATCCGCCTTGGCCTCCCAAAGGGCTGGGATTAAAAGTGTGAGCCACTGCGTCCGGCAACCACTACACTTCTAGATAACTGACTTCATTGCTTCCTGATTTATCCTCCTTCTACATGTCTGCCTTCTTATTTTCCCTTTTTTCTTGCACTTCAGAAAGTAATATAGTACTATAAATACTCCTTTGCATTTTGCTTTTTCTTCATTTAATGTCTTCTGGAAATTGCTCCGTATAAGTTAATAGATATCGTCCCTATTCACTCTGTTTCACAGTATCCCCATGTGTACACGCACTGTAGGTATAAACTAATCTCCTATGACATTTAGTCAAAATGCATTTGGGAGTCAGTGGGTAAAAATAAATTGAAGATTGTAGGCCTAGGGGGTCTCCAGATAAGAACATCTTCAAAGCAGCAAGATTAAAGGAACAAAACATGTTCCCCTCATCATCTTATTTCCGTTTGTCCGATTCATTTTTTTGTGTGTAAATGCTCATTAATTAGGGTGCTCATTGTTTAGAATAATTTATATACTTTTTTTGTTTTTTTGTTTGCTTTTGCCATATGTAACGACTCACTAAAGAGGGCTTTAATTTAAATTTTTTTCTTAGGGCCGGGCGCGGGGGTTTTATTCCTGCAATCGCCAGCACTTTGAGAGACCGAGGCGGGCGGATCGCTTGAGTCCATGAGTTCGAGACCAACATAGCGAAGCCCTGTCTCTACAGAAAGTACAAAACATAGGCCTGGCGCGGTGGCTCACGCCTGTAATCCCAGCACTTTGGAAGGCCGAGGTGGGCGGATCACCTGAGGTCAGGAGTTGGAGACTAGCCTGACCAACATGGTGAAACTTCGTCTCTGCTAAAAATACAAAATTAGCCAGGCGTGGTGGCGCTTGCCTGTAATCCCATCTACTCGGGAGGCTGAGGCAGGAGAATTGCTTAAATCCGGGAGGCGGAGTTTGCAGTGAGCCGAGATCGCGCCATTGCACTCCAGCCTAGGCAACAAGAGCTAAACTCCGTCTCAAAAAAAAAAAAAAAAAAGTTAGGTGGGCGTGGCAGTGCGCGCCTGTAGTCCCAAATACCCCATTTCCTCAACAACAACAACAAAAATTGCAAATATCTTACCAAGACTCCCCTTTCCGATTTTGCTATTGAATCCTGAAGCATAAACTTAAAAAATTTTTACGACATTCCATTTTCCTTCCTAGCATTTCAAATTTAACTTGTTTCTGTTTTCCCCATAAAGTCCAAATGACTCTAGTTTATGTATATGGGGATAAAAATGGTGTCTTCATGATTAACATATATTGCTTTAGAGAAGAATTCACAAAGCTTTCTCATTAACTTTATCTAAAGTTTACAAATCATGTGCGGAAGCGTATAAAGGAGTGACAGTGAGCAAGAGAGTCTAACCCAAGTAAAAATGCAGAACAGCTGGCCCTTCGTAACCATGGGTTCTGCATGCAATGGATTCAACCTACTGCTGATCTAAAATACTTGAAAAACCCTGCGTCTATACCGAACATGTACAGAAATTTTCTTGTCATTATTCCCTAAACAGTGCAATATAACAACTATTTACATAGCATTTGCATCACGTAAGACAGCAGTCCCCAACCTTTTTGGCACTAGGGACCGGTTTAGTAGAAGACAATTTTTCCACGGACGGGACCGGTACTGATCCGCGGCCGGGAGGTTGGGGACCCCTGATATAAGGTGTGATAAATAATCTAGAAATGGTTTAAAGTATGCCGGAAGGTGTACATAGGTTATAAGCAAATACTCGATCATTTTATATCAAGGACTTGAGCACTGGTAGATTTTACTATTCGCAGGAGGTCCTGAAACCAACCTTTCACAGATACCAAAGGACGACTGTATAGTTATCGAGCAGAAGTAAAAAATGCTTTTCCTTCGCGTGTACGAAAATTATAAAACCATAACATACCAAAGATAGGTGTGTATTCTATTCACTGGAAGACAGAACGCGGATCCGTTGGAAATTAAAGTTAAATTTGTCATCTCTCTTTTGAAATGAGCGATAAGGGAAGGTATTGCAAGAACAGATGAGAAAAGAATACGATTAACGCCTTTATAAAAGTTGGGCAGTGGAGTAGTAACTAATTTTAAGAGGTTAAGTAAGGAGACGTTGAGAATCTGATTTTCTTAATTATATCATGGTACCGGGAAACGGTGATCATTAAGAAAAACACCCTAGCCAAGGATGGCTTCGATCCATTGACCTCTGGGTTACGGGCCCAGCACGCTTCCGCTGCACCACTCTGCCCACGGAGAAAACACTCTACTTTTCTTCCTAAGATGATAATCAATAAGCTCATATTTCCTCATACCAACAAATTCTGGTTTATTTATAAAATGGAATCTTATTTAGCTGTAAGAATGAATTTCTGTGACAATACAAGTACTCTTTTAATACAAATAAATGTTTTTATTTATTATTATTATTATTATTATTGAGACATGGTCTCACTTTCACCCAGGTTGGAGGGCAGCTATGCCATCTAGGCTCACTGCAACCTCTGCCTCTGCTTCCCAGGCTCAAGCTATCCTCCCGCCTCAGCTTCCCGAGTAACTGGGGCTACAGGCGCGCTCCACCACACCCGGCTAATTTTTTTTTTTTTTTAAGTTTTTGTATTTTTTATAGAGAGGAGATTTCTCTATGTTGCCCAGGCTGGTCTTGAACTCCTGAGCTCAAGCAATCCTTCCGTCTCGGCCTCCAAATGTGCTGGGATTACAGGCATGAGCCACCGCACCCGACCCAAATAAACCTTAAAATGACATAAATACATCTCAAAACCATAATGTTGTGCAAAAATGCCACACTATGGGATATACTCTACGATTTCACTTCTGTCGAGTTCAAGAACAGGCAAACTAACATCTGGTGATAGAAGTCAGAATAGTACTTAGCTTACAGGATGCAGTATTGACTTGATAAGGTAACACAACGAAATTTGGAAATTTTCTCAATCTTGATCTGGATGGTGTAATTTCATAATTACATGAAATTATACATATATAAAATTCATTGAGCTCTATCTATACTTTTTTTTTTACATTTTATTGTATGTAAAGTATACTTCAATAAAGTACTGAAAAAAGTGAAAGCAGAAATGAAGAAAGGAAAGAAAGAAGGCAAGAAAAAGGAAGTATGTTCTAATATACTTCAGGGAGCTAAGGCAAAAGTGACCAGAGGACAACTTCCTAAACAAAGTTGTAGAGCCATGAAGTGGTCCGTAGGAGCAGGAGGAAATTCCTAGCACTGTTTGGAAAAAGTACGCTGAGCTCTGCCTTCCGCAGATAACACTCCCTCAATGCAAAACACTATTTCGCAGAGCCTTGTTCTCCTCCCAGGAAGGCAGGATTGTTTATAACCCCTAATGTATGACAGAATGATAGACCTAATAGGGGTACTGGCTCTGATAGATTTTGAAAGCATTCTCCCAAATAAGAAGAAAGTTTCCTTTTAATGTATTAATTCCAAAAGAAAAAAAAAAAGAAATTAAAAGGAGCTCCAGAAAACTAAGAAATATTTCTTGTTTAATTGAGGTGCTAATTCATTCAATATTCAGGAAAACGTGTCTGTTTGGACCATAGGTCTAGACTTCAGAGGCAAAGAAAGATCTCCCCAGTGGGCACAGGTCTCTTCTGTGGCTGGCTGCAACTACTGCATGAAGACCACATGCTTTTCTTTTTTTTTCTTTTTGAGACGGAGTCTCACTCTGTCGCCCAGGCTGGAGGGCAGTGGTGCGATCTCGGCTCACTGCTAGCTCTGCCTCCTGGGTTCACGTCATTCTCCTGCCTCAGCCTCCCGAGTACCTGGGACTACAGGCGCCCGCCACCACTCCCGGCTAATTTTTTGTATTTTTAGTAGAGACGGGGTTTCACCGTGTTAGCCAGGATGGTTTCGATCTCCTGACCTCGTGATCCGCCCGCCTCGGCCTCCCAAAGTGCTGGGATTACAGGCGTGAGCCACCGCGCCCGGCCAACCGCATACTTTCCTTTTTGGCTTCCTTTTATGCATTGTTGTCAGTGGTTGGGCAAGTGCAGTACTAACTATGAGAGTCCAGGAGTGGAGCAGAGACTATATCTTGAGGTCCCTGGAAAATGAGTAAAGAGAGTCAGACTATTTCTGGGGCAATGGTGGGGAAGTCAGTTAAAACTACTGGTGGGGAAATCAACACATAAAGGCAGATGCTCACGCACAAGCCCACAGATAGGTAGACATACAGACATACATAAAAAGGCACCAAACAATTTATAGCTATTCTTTAACCAGTCCTTTAATTTTATTAAATTCCAGCATTCTCTCTTTTAGAGAATCCAGTCATATCTTGCTTGAAACTTTCACTTGAAGTAAACACAACAACATTCAAGGGGAGTTATTCTGTTTCCTTATGCTAGGGTACCAGCCAATAAGAAGACTTGTAATATAATTGCTGAACACAGAATCTTTGAGGATTGAACCTGGGGTGCCCTCCTTAAGGGAGCAAGCTGTAAGTCTTGCCATATTCTTATGCTGTGCTGATGCAGGATAAGAAGCATCTCTAAAACATTTAGACCTGCACTATTCATGTACTTATTATCTGCAGTGGCTATTGAGCACATGAAATGTGGCTAGACTTAGCCTGGGCAACATGGTGAAACCCCGTTTCTACAAAAAAATTAGTTGTGTATGGTGGAGCATGCCTGTAATCCCAGCTACTTGGGAGGCTGAGGTGGGAGGATCACCCGAGCGTGGGAGGTCGAGGCTGCAGTGAGCCAAGATCACACCACTGCACTCCATCCTGGATGACAGAGTGAGACCCTGTCTCTAACCAAAAAAAAAGAAGGAAAGAAATGTGGCTGGACTTAATTGAGATGTGATGTAAATGTGAAATACATAACAGATTTTGCACACATTATGTGAAAAAAAACTCAACGATAATTTTTTTCAAATTAATTAAATGTTAAAATAATATTTTGAGTATATTAGATAATACATATCACCCATTTATTTACTCTTTAATGTGGCTTCTAGGCTATTTAAAATTATATACCTGGCTCACATCTGTGGCTTGTGTTATATTTTGTTGGACTATGGCTGGTGTAGCTAGCCCGCATCTTGTATACCATATATTTTTATCATGACCTCTTTTCAATGTCCATTGATTAATATATCACTAATTTTACCATTGTAAACACATTTTTGACATTCTTTAGACTAACTAGCTAGTGTCTGCTATTGATCCAGAAAAGAGAGCTGAAGCAATTGGACCATTCCTAGATTATGAACTCTTGACTAGGAAAATGACTGCCTTCCAGGTGTAGATTGAAAATCGTCCACATTTATATCACACTTTCTACACTGAGGAAAGTTAAAGACATCACAGGTGTTGGGTGTCCAGAAAGAGGACCGTGGAATGTACTATCAGCTGAGAGGCATTGTCTCCTCCCTGTGTACAAATACTAGTCTAAGGGCTTAACATGCTTAATTTTCCTATGAGCTATTCTCTATTATTGTCTTCATAATTAGGTAAAAGTCATAGAGTGGTTGAGAAACTTTCCTATGTGAGGTGAGCTACATGTCAGCCTAGATTTGGACTATAGTATACTTTTACCACTATCCTGCACTCCAGGAAAGTCCCATAGTGAGGGGTGAGGAGCACAGTCTTTGGAGCCAAACTACCTAGCAACAATTCTTTTTAAAAAATTTAATATTATTTTTCATCGACAAATCATAATTATCTACATTTATGAGGTACAGTGTGATGTTTTGATGTTTTGATATATGTGTACAGTATGGAAGATTAAATCAAGCTAGTTAATTAAATTAAATCACATGCTGGATATATTCCCTTGCCTATCTTTTATTTTTTCATACCCAGATGAGCTGAATTACCTATTATTTTTTATGGTGGAACATTTGAAATTTACCCTCTTATTTTGAAATAGGCAATTCATTTTTGTTGACTTATAGTCACTTTGCTGTGCAATGTATTTCAAAACTTATTCCTCCTATCTGAAACTTTGTACCCTTTGACCAACAGCTCATTCCCTTCCTCTCCCCCAACCCCAGTAACCACATTCTACTTTTTAGTTCTACGAGTTCAACTACATTAGATTCCACAAGTAAGTGAGATCATGTGGTATTTGCTTTCTGTGCTTGTCTTGTTTCACTTAGCATGATGTCCTCCAGGTTCATCTTACACATTTTTGCAAATGACAGAATTCCCTTCTTGTTAAGGCTGAATAATATTTCATTGTGTATCTATACCACATTTTCTTTGTCCATTCAGTCATTGATGGACACTTAGGTTGATGCCATATCTTGGCTGTTGTGAATAATGCTGCAATAAACATGGGAGTGCAGATATCCCTTCAACACATTGACTTCAATTTCCTTGAATATATATCCAGAAGTGAGATTGGGGCATTATATGGCCGTTCTATTTTTGGTTTTTGGAGGAACTTTCATACCATTTTCCATAATGGGTGTACTAATTTACATTTCTACCACCAACATACAATGTTTTCTCTGCATCCTTGCCAACACCCTAGACACAATTCATGCCTCTGTCACTTTCTCACTGTGTGTCTTTAGGCAAGCTACTTGGCTTCTTCATTGTTCTGTCCCCATCTGCAAAATAATGACTGAAACAGTGCCTACCTCATAGGATTGTCATTAACTCAATAGTTTGACAGTTTCTCATAAGGTTAAATATACACTTATTATATGACCCAGCAATACCACTCCCAGAAATTTTCTTAGAGAAATGAAAACATATGTTCACACAAAAACCTGAACATGAATGTTTCTGGTGACTTTATTTATTTTTGAGAAAAAAATGGAAATAAATGTTCTTCAACAGGTGAATGGATAAATGAACTGTGGTATACTCATACAACTGAACACAATTAAAAATGGATTTTTAATCAGCAATAAAAGAAATAAATTATTGATATAAGTAACAACTTGGATAAATCTCAGTGGCATTATGCTGAGTGAAGGAAGCCAGTCTCCAAAGGTTACATACTGTTTGATTCCATTTAAGTGACACTCTCTAAAAGACAACCTATAGTGAGTAACAGAGAACATGTTAGTGTTTACCAGCAGTAGGGATGGCAGGATGTACGAAAAGATGTTCTAATTGATAGACATTCAACTTATTTGGAAAGTCTGGATATTATAGATCCTGCTGCTGTGCACACTGCACACCTGACACAGAGAAGAGTGGACAGGAAGGGGAAGGCGAGGTTCTGTTCAAGTCCAATGGGTTTGGTTCCACCTGGCCTCAATCTGCAATCAGCACTAGATGGTTTAGTCCTTCACTTTCGTCAAGGATGTAGATTAGGACACACAGTGTGAACATCTAAAGCTCCAGTTTTAGATCTGGAGTATGTTTACTTTAGAAAATTGGAAGACACTGAGGTTTTTCAAAAACAATACTGAGGTCTAAATCAGGGTGCAAGTGACAGGGAACACAGGCTACTTCTTGTAGGCATGATGCCTTCGGGAATGCCCTTTCTCCCGATTCTTTGGGGTTTTTGATTTTGCGCCAATGGAAAATGAAGAGGCTGATGATCTAAAAGGTCCTCTCCCAACAGAGCCCTGGGCAGGTGGAAAAGGCATCCCAAAGCCAACACTGCTGCCTGCCTTAGCTTGTCCAGGGACTGGGGTGTTTTGAGCAATGGGGGCCATAGTCTTTCTTGCAGAAATGCTGCCTCTCCCCAAGGAAAAAGCTGTGCGGTGGCTGGGCAGGCCTTCAGTGTTCTGGCTCCAGCCTTTTCCAAAGGGGATCATGGTGTTAGTGGTCCCACTAGGCAATGCTCCAATGCTGAAAGCTCCAGAGGTGGGGCTCATGTCTGGACCAGTCATTATGATCCCAGACTCATCACAGTCCATAGGGGTCACGAATCCCCCAAAAGTGAAAGGTTGTGGAGCTCTGCTGCCAAACACTGAGCCAAAAGCCCCACTTTGGTGGGTCTGAATTACAATTCTAAACCCAGTTGTACTAGCTTGACTAATGGGAAAACCTGCTGGAATGCCGCCAATGCCTGACCAGGTGCTGGCAGGGGTTTGAGAGGTGGAGGCTGAGGGTGTCAAACACCCCAAGGCTGACTGTGTGGTACTAATGAAGGCTGGCTGAGCTGGAGTTGGCATGGGGGTTGGCAATGCCACTGCTGAGCTCCCAAAAAGAAAAGAACTACTGACACTTGGCATAAGGGCTGGCTGGGAAGGCCCTTGTTTCTGTCCATTTGTGGCACCAAATGCAGGCTGGGGATTAGCTCCTTGGGATAGTGGGAAAGGTGGCCTTGAGCTTGATCCCAAGGGACTTGTGATTGCTGGAGTCAGGTTGGAGATGCTGGGGGTTGATGCAAGCCAGTTTGTGGATACTAGGGCAGAGGCAGGCAGAGGGCTGCCCATACCCCTGAAATTAGCAGTGCTGCTTCTAGGGGATATCTGTACAACACTGGAAAGGACCTGGGTAAACATGGTGACTGTATGCACAGTAGGAATTGTAGGATGGTGGTGTGGTGGGAAAATGAATCCTGTGGCTGGGGTGAAGTCGGCCCTGAAGGCCTGAGCAGTCCCAAGCAGGAAAGTGTCGCAAGTGGAAGGGACAGAATAAGTGTTGCCTACGGCACTGGTGACATTCACTACACCAAAATCCAAAGGTGGCTTAAAAACAGAGTCTTTAGATGTGCTGGCTAGGGTGGTGGACATGACCACAGAGGTGGCCTTGACCAGGCCATGGAAATGATGGGTAGAAGCATGAGTAAATGGAGGAGGGGTCTGCTTGGAGGAGAAAGGAGCTATCATGGGCGTAGTTTTAAGTGGATCTATGCTGCCAAAGATAGGCTTGAAGGTAGGAGTTAAGGTACCCTGAATTGTGGAAAGGGAAGAGATTGAAGATGCTGCAGCTGTGACTGAAATTCTGGAATATGAGGAGCTTCCAATCTCGCTGTTGTGCAGGGGCCCCAAAATCGGTTTTAACATGAGGTGAGCAGAAGTTGCATCAGGAGGTGCAGATGCAGAAAGATGGGATGTTGGGCTACTCACCATTCCAAGCAAAGTACTTTGGATGGTGGGTGGTGCAGGTGGGTCTGGGGGCATGGGAGACCTGTCAGCCTGAGAGGTTGAAGGCGGCCAGGTGGTGTCAGTAACTGGTAATGTGGGAGAGGTGGGGGTCAGCAGGATGAAAGTAGCTGTGGGCTTTGAGTCTGGAGAGGTGCCTGGAAGGAGCTCTGACTGTGAGCACCCAGGTGGGGTCGGTAGGCTGGGTGTCTTCAAAGGAGAATGGGCCACACTGGTTGCCTCTCCCGTGGACTGTGGAGAGGCCAGTGGACCTAGAGACTTCTGCATTTTTCTTAAGTTTTCCAACTGAGGATTTGCTCCCTGGGTTAGATCTGTTTCTGAAGAAGGCAGAGCAAGAGACAAGGAAGGCTGAATAGCAAGCCAAGTCTCAGGGAAAGGGTCTGTGTTGACCTCAGTTGTATCTTCTCCTGCGTTGTTGCTTACCTGTAGCTCAGCTTTCTTCCCCAAAGTCAAGTTCTCATCAGAGACTGCATAACCAAGCTGGGGAGGTGGGATCTCTGACACCAGGTTCTCAGGGCTAGACGGCAGCTGTGGAATCTTCTGGTTTTGCTGCCCAGAACTTTCAGATCCTCCTAGGGACTCAAAATCTGATACCAGTGGGACTGGAGAGGAAGGCCGATGACAACTTTTTTCCTTTTTTATTGGCCACTCTGGTGTCTCGAATGATACACTGGGAACACTTCTCTTCCAAGGGTCTGAGAAATTTCTGCAAGAGCTGTAAGAGCTGCCAATAGCATTCCTTTTGGAGCTGAGGGTGCCACCTCTGTATATGCTGGCCAAGGAGCTCATGGAGGAGCAATTGGGCCTCTTAGTCAAGCTGTGATCTGAGCCCCAGGAGTGGAGACTTCTCTTCAGCGGCCCAGGCCTGGGCACAAAAGAAGTGAGGGTTCCATTTTTCATCAGGGGCTTAAATGCCGATGGTCTGGTCTCTGGACTCCTTCTCTTACTGTCCAGACTCTCAGGGAATAGTGGTTCTTCCAACCTCCCTTTCCCTTTTCTGCACTCTCTGAGGGCCCTCAACACTGTCTCCTTTGAACATGGATCTGCGAGCTCCTCAGAGGGCGGGAGTCCTGCAAGGGCAATTACATCTTCAGGAGAAGTGGAAGGGGGCACTCTCTGGTCAGGAGGAGTGATCCTGATGGTCACTGGGCTCCAAATTGGCCTGGGATGTCGAAGAGACCAAATAGTCCGCTTTAAGTAACTTTCCCACCAGTCTGAAGGGAGAGGCCCCAGGGGGGAATTCTGGGACTTCTTCATGGGAAAGCGCCTCCAGGCCTCGTTGGCCAGCCACGTGGTTGGATTGGCAGGATCCAGGTTTGGCCGCCTCCTCACAGGTCTATACCGTGGGGCAGGGTGGGCGCGGTGGACGAACTGAACCCGATGAACTTGGTGAAGGGGCTGAGGTGGCCGGCGTTTCGTGGGCCTCTCGGGCAAGTCGGTGCGCACCTGGGCTGGGGACGAGGGCGAAAGTTCCAGTTTGCTCAGGAAACTGCCCATGAGGAGAGATGAGGCGCGGGCAGTGAGTTCAAGCACGGTTTTGGCTTCCGAGGTTTCGGACGTCTGCAGAATCGGACAGAGTCGAAGAGCGCAGTGTTCGGTTGACGGTTGGGATTCACGCGCTAGGAAAGCGCGAGTCTCAGGGTGCTTAGCACTCTCCAGGCCCGGCACCCGCGGGAACGGGGGACACGCGGGACTTCGGCAGTCCCAGTAACTTGCTTTGCTGTTCTGAGACCTCAGCGGGGCGGTCAGACCTCTGCTGTCTCCGCAGCGAGTTGCAGTACTTGGCGCGGGGAGAGGAACTCGAGAGGAAGCTCACTGCGCCTCGCCCCTGGCGTCGGCAGCGGCTGTCTGGGACCCTGTGGTCCGGATTCACCAAGTGGCGCAGAGCTGGAATCGAGTGGGTGCACAGTTTCCAGGCTCCGACTATTACTGGCCTCGAAGGTACAGGCTCAGGCGGCTCAGGGCCCCGGCGCAGATCTGTCGGCCCGCGGGATCCCCGGAGTCTGAGTGGGGAGCACTATCCGCACCCCGTAGAGTGAGTGCGGGCGGCTTTCGCAGGTGCTCAGGACTGGAGATCTGGACCGGTGGCTGTGCCGCCCGGATGGCATTTGTGGCACTAGCAGTCGGGAAAGCAGCTGATTGAGGATTTCCGCGTTTCTCTTTTTTTGCAGATCGTGACGCCGCCAGTAGGTGTCAGTCATTTGCCGCACAGCCACCTTTGAGATCCACCTGTGTCTCCCAGCGGCCGAATCCAGGTTTCCTTCCTATTCGCACTTGGAGAACTCATGCAGATTGCCGTCAGGAGTGGCCTCAGAGATCCGGAGTGGGCGAATGGGAAATCGCATCTTACGGCCCAGAACCTGAGCCCTCCACAAGCACTTGGCTCAGTCCCTTGCTCAGGCCACCTCCTGTTCTCTTCTGCTCTGTGAAAGACACTGTTAAGAGAATGAAAAGACACGCCACAGACTGGAGAAAATATTTGCATAATACGTATGTATCTGCTGAAGCACTGGTATACAAAATATACATAGAATGTTAAAACTCATAATAAGGTAAAAAATTAATGGGCAAAATATTTAAACAGAAACCCCGCCAAAGAAGATATGCAGATGGTAAACAGTATAAAAAGATGCCAAACATCATTGACATATGCTATATGTCAATATTTAGCTATATATAACTAAACATCAGTAAATACTTCTGATTGCAATTTAAACATCAGTAAGATACCATAATTGCAAATTAAACATCAGTAAGATATTACTACACACCATTCAATTGGCTAAAATTCAAAACACCACATGCTAAGGAGGAGGTGGAGTAACAGGTACTCTCATTCATTACTGATGAGAATGCAAAATGGTACAGCCACTTTGGAGGACAGTATGGCAATTTCTTACAAAGCTAAAACACAGTCCTACAATACAATTCAACCACCACAATCCACGTGTTTATCCAAATGAGCTTAAAGTGAATGTCCACATAAGGACCTGCATGTGAATGTTTATAGAAGTTTTATTCATAGTTGCCAAAAATTGGAAGCAACCAAGAAGTCCTTCAACAGGCAAATGAATAAACTGTGGCATAACCATACAATGGAATATTATTCAACACTAAAAAGAAATGCACTATCAAGTCACGAAAAGATATAGAGGAACCTAAAATCCATATTGCTAAGTGAATGGAACCATCTGAAAAGGCTACATATGACTTCAAATATATGACAATCTGGAAAAGGCAAAACAATAGAGATAGCAAACAGAGTGCAACCGTGGTTGCAGGAGAGGTGGTAAAGAAATGTGGGATACCATTAAGCACACCAACATACACAAAATGAAAGCACTAGGAAAGGAAAGAGAGAAAGGAGTAGAAAAAATTGTCAAAGAGAGTGGCTGAAAACTTCCCAATCTAATTGAAAAACATTAATCTACATGTCCAGAAAGCGCAACAAATTCTACATAGGATTATACAAAGAGTTCCACAAACAGACATGTCAAGTAAAAGCGCTGAAAGACAAAGACAAAGAGAAAATCTTGAAAGTAACAAGAGAAAAATGACTCATCACTTACAGAAGAACCCTAAACAAATTAACAACTGACTTCTCATGTGAAACAATGGAGGCCAGAGGCAGTGGGATAAGATATTCAGTGTTCAACAAAAAATACTGTCACCCCAAAGTTCTACATCTAACAAAGCTACCTTTCAAAAATGAAAGCAAAATAAAGACATTCCCACATAAACAAAAACAGAGAATTTGTTGTTAGAAGACCTGCCTTAGAAATACTAAAGGAAATTATTCAGACTGAAGGTGACACCATCTGGTAATTCAAACACACATTTAAAACAAGAGCACTGGTAAAGGTAATCACGCAATTATAAAAGACAGTATAAATGTGTTCTTATCTTAACTGATTCAAAAAGTAATTGTACAAAACAATATGCATATTATGTACAAAACCGTATGCTATGAGGGCCTATAGCGTATAGAAATGTAATATATCTGCTAATAACAGCACAAAGGAGGTGGGTGAGAAGAAAGCTGCACTGGGCTAAGGAAATAACTCCTGATAGTAAGACAAATTTATAGGAATAAATAAAGAAACCAGAAATGATAAATAATAAGATTAATATAGAATAAGCTATATATATATACACACACACAATTTTTTCTCCTTTTGTTTCTCTCACCTTATTTAAAACACATAAAATTATATAAATTAATAATTGTAATAATGTTAGGTTTGTAATATTTATAGTTGTAATATTTATAACAATAATATGATTAAAAGGGAGAAATAGGAGAAAGAGCTATATGGGATTGAGATTTTTATATCTCACTGGAATTAAGTTAGTATAAATCTGAAAGTGTTCTGATAAGGTATATGACAAATAAGTCCTAGGAATTATTGAATTATTTCCTCTGAAGAAATAATTCAAAATTTATAGTGGAAAAATCATCAAAGAAATTAAATGCTACAGTATAAAATATTTGCTTAATGCAAAAATGGAATATAGGAGGAATGGAAGAACCAAAAAGGCATGAGACATACAGAAAATAAAAAGTTAAATACCAGACAAATCCAAATATATCAGTAATAATAATGTTATATGTAAATATATTAAGCAATTGAATCAAAAGGCAGAGACTGTCAGGGTGGATAAAGAAACAGTATTCAGCTATCTTTTGTCTAGAGAAGACACCATTTACATTTAAAGATACAAGTAAATTGAAAGTAAAAGGATGGAAAACATATGTCATGCAAACTTCATCCAAAAAAAGCTGTAATGACTATACGAGTAGACAAAGTAGACTTTAAAACAAATAATGTTACTAGGGACAAATAAGGACAGAAAGGGCTAATCCATCAGGAAGATATCACAATTATAAACATCTATGCAATTAATAAGAGCACCAAAATACATAACGACAAAAGTGACAGAAATGAAGAGAAAAATAGACAATGCAAAAATAATAGTTGGAGTCCTCAGTGCCCCACTTTCAGTAATGAATAGAACAACTAAGAAATAGATCAGTAGGGAAATACAAGACTTGAAGAATGCTATAAACCAACTAGACCTAACAAATATTTATAGAATCTCCATTAAACAGCAGCAGAATGTACATTCTTCTCAAGAGCATATGGAACATTCTCTGAGATAGATCCTATGCTAGGTCATAAAACAAATCCAAATAAATTGAAAAGGATAGAAATAATGCAAAGTATGTTTGTCTGATCACAATGGAATGAAATCAGAAATCAAACACAGAGAGAAATTTAAAAATCCACAAATAAGTGGAAATTAAATTTCTAAATAGCCAGTGGGTTAAAGAAGAAATATTAAGATAAATTAGAAAATATTTGAGATAAATGAAAATAAAGAAACGACATACCAAAACTTATGGGATTCAGGTAAATTAGTGTTTAGAGGAAAATTTATAGCTATAAATGCCCATATTAAAAAAGAAGAAAAATATCAAATGAGTAAACTAAGTTTTTACCTTAAGACACTGGAAAAAGACCAAACTAAACAGAAGCAAAATTCAGGATAACAGTGAAATTAATGAAGTTAATAATAGAAAAATGTCAAGAAAATCAATGAAATGAAAAACTAGCTCTTCAAAAAGATCAATAAAATTAACAAACCTTTAGATAGAGTGACCAAGAAAAAAAGAGAACTGAAATTATTGGAATCCAAAATGAAAGAGTGAACATTACTACTAACCATATAGAAATAAAAAGACTGTAAAGGACAGCTGCGAAAAACTGTATGCCAAAACATTAGATAACTTAGATGGAATAGACAAATCCCTGTAATGATGCTAACTACTGAAACTGACTCAAGAAGAAATAGACAATCTGACTAGACCTGTAATAAGTAAAGAGATAAATTAGTAATAAAAAAACTATATACAAATAAATGTCCAGACTTAGATGGCTTCAGTGTTGAATTCTACCAAACACTTAAAAGAATTAATACCAACTCTTCACAAACTCTTCCAAAAAACAGAAGAGGAGGAAACACTTCTCAACTCATTCTACAAGGCCAGTACCAGTATCCTTATACCAAAACCAGGCAAAGCCATCACAAGAAAAGAAAACTACAGACCAATATTTCTTATGAATACAGACATAAAAATACTCAACAAAACACCAGCAAGATGAATCCAACAACATATAAAAAGAACTAGATATCATTACCAAGTGGGATTTATCCCAGAAGTGCAAGATTGTTTTAAATTCTGAAAATCAGTTAATATGATACACCATGTCAACAGAATAAAAAACAAAAACCACATGACCATCTCAAAAGATCTCTTTCATGTTAAAAAGTCTCAACAAACTAGAAATAGAAGGGAATTTCTTCAACCCTAAAAATGCACCTACAATTGCATGGAACCCTTGAAAAACTAGAACAAAGTTGAAAGACTCACACTTCCTGATTTCAAAATTTACTATAGAGCAACAGTAATTAAAACAATGTTGTACTGCCATAAGCATAAACATATAGATGAATGGAATCTACAGTTGAGAGGCCAGAAATAAACCCATATGTCTATGGCCAACTGACTTTTTCCAAGAGTCTGAGACTATTCAGTAGGAAAAGAATAGTCTTTCCAACAAATGGTGCCGGGACAAATTGACAGACATGTGCAAATGAATAAAGTTTGACACTTACCTCACACCATATACAAAAATTGACTCAATGGATTAAAGAGCTAAATATAAGAGCTAAAACTATAAAACCCAATATTTGGGAAACCACTGCCTTATAGAAAGCTTATACATTTGTACTACAAGGCAAATACATGAATGTTTATAGCAGTATTATTTAGAATATAAAAAATCTGGAAGGTATCTGAATGTGTATTCACAAAAACGAACACCAGAGAATTTAATTGTGATATACCTGCGCAGGGGAATACAATACCACAACGTAAACTGAATGGTCTCCAGGTACATTCAATAACATGGATGAATATCACAAACCAAAAGTTGTGCAAAAGAAGGCAGGCAAAGAATAAAAAGACAGTATATATATAAAGTTCAAAGACTGGAAAATACATTTTGTCTTTTGATTCATACACATGAGGTGTATTAGTATCAAGTAAGGAAAACAGAGATCACACTGATTATTTTAACAGGATTACTAGATGGAATTGGTAAAATGGGTGTTGGAAGACTAAAAAGGCAAAAAGAAACAGTAGTGACAGCATGAAACAGCTACTACCCCAAGAGCTGAGGAAACACACGTGCAAGAGGTGGGGTTATTAGAAGCTAGAAGCTTAGAGAAAGAGACTCAGTGCTGAAGCCAGATCTCTGAGGAGGGGTCACTGGCCAGCTGGTGCTGTGAACTCTGAGAGGATATGATGAGGCTGGTTCTGGGAGTGTGGAAAACAACCCTGAAAACGTGAACTAATTGCTGCTGGAACTTACTGCTACTACAGCGTGAAGTGCTGCTGGGATGATGCTAACAGGAAGAGAACAACAGAATTGAGAGTTTCTTCTCTCTTTTCCAGCCTTCCAGTGTCCTTCTAGAGTCCTCCACTGCCAAAGTCTAAGAGAGGGTACAGGGTGAGGTTTGCAGTCCCAGCCCCAGCTTCACAAAGCAGAATGTAGAAGTGTGAACAACATTAATATAAAGTTCAGAAACATGCAAACTTAACATATTCTCTCATAATGCATAGATATGTGGCAAATCAATTGAGAACAGCAAAAAGAATGATAAATATAAAATAATTATTCTGCAGAGGAAGAAAGGAAGAAGAGATTGGGAAGGGCAGATTTAGGGCTTCAAAGTATTGGCAATATTTTATTTCTTCAGTTTTATTGGGTAAATTTGTGCTTGCAAAAAAGTATTTTTACTTTTATATATTGCATTTTTGTGTGTATGTCATTTGAATGTACATTCAAATTTTCACAGTAAAATATACTTTATAACATTTAACACAAGTTGTTGGAAGCAATTAAAATACAGTAAAAATTTTAAATCTTAGGAAAATCACTTTGTACATACCAACTAATATAGGTACTGAGAATTCAATTAAAAATTGAATTGACTCATTAAACAGAACAGTATTAAGTTTGCTTTTTAAGGAAACTTCAGAAATATAAACCTGCTCCAAATGAAAAAAGTCATAGCAGCATCTTAAGGGAAAAAATATTCTCTGGGAAGATGCAACAAGGCCTAAGCAATAGCAAAATTCATGGTAATTTTATTGACTGAGTGAAATTAAACTGTTTAATTTCTCCCATCACAGTCCTAGAGCCTTGGGGAATGCAGCAGAATGTTCTATTGCATTGTTCAGGCAGGAAAAAGTGTGTGTTTCCAGATGGTAGCTTTGCACCTTCAGTTAATAATTCTAATAAATTCACCATGATGATACTTGGCATCTGGAAGAGCTATTTGCAGCTTCTCTGGACACATCAGAGCAATCCACCCTCCACAAAGGCAGATGCACTAAGGATGACAAGTCAAAATGCAGATGAGCCTTCCTTATAAGTGAAGGAGCCAGCCTTGGCCTCTCTGCACAGCACGAGAGCATCTGCCTGCAGTTGTGGGCAGCAGAAATCTCCTGTGGTAAATATTCTTCAAAGGCCCCTGCTCTGAGAATTCCAAGGAGGTTTAAGGATTCTTGAAAGTTTTTCCTTGTCTTATTTCTCCATGTATAGAAGGGCCCCATATGCGATTTAATGTTCTGCTGTCATTGTCTTGAAATTCTTAGTAATTTATTAACAAGAGGCCCCTCGTGTTTTCATTTTGCATTGGTCCCCCCAAATTTAATAGCCAGTACAACTCCTATTCTTTCTCTTCCAAAATTAATGTAATTCAACCTTAGTATTTTCCTTCCTCTATTTCAGTCTTATTTCATTAATTTTGGTTACCAAATACTGACTTTTTACATTTTGTTCTTTTTTAAATTTTTTTCTCTCTTCTTTCATTTCTCTTTTTCTTCTCTGCTACTTATTTTCTCAGTAGTGGTTAACAGGATGGGCTCCACTGCCTGGGTCAAGTACAATTTTGCAACATATGAGCTGTGAGAACCTGGGCAAGTTACTCAATCTCTTCTTGTCCTCATCTGTAAATTTGGAACAATAATTTTATCTACCTCACAGGATTTTGTGAGGTTTAGTTATGTTAAGTATCTGCAAAGTGTTAGAACATTGCTTGACACATAAGTCCTCAGCGAGTATTTATTAAATAAGTAACCTTATCTTTATATTCTTTCTCTATATATTTCATTTTCTACTTTGATATTCTTTATTTTAAAAATTCTCTCCATACTTTATATACTATTTTGATATTATTTAATCAAGCTTTAGTTAATTTCATGTGTTACATCTCCTCGGCATTTTTATTCTTCCATCATTTTTCTCTATACTTTATACCTTACGTAACTTTTTAAAAATCCAATTATGGATTTCTCTTTACTGCTCCTTTCTGGATAACCTCTTCTTCTTTACTGTTATAACTTCCCTTATTTTTCTCTGTTTTATATTGTATTGGTCTATGTTTTCACATTTGAAATGCTTTCAAATTTATATTTGAAATGCTTTGCATAGTTTCCAGATATTTTATATTTTTTTCTTACAACCACTTCTCTACAAAGCTCTTCTTTCTATGATTAAAGCTCACAACATTCCTCAGGTGGTTTTGCGTTTCTCTAACTTCAGAAGTGGATTTATATGACTTTTATTCTTTTGCTGTCCTTTAACAATTTTTCACACAAAACTCTCCAAATTCTAGCATTCTTTTTTTCTCATTCTGTATCTTCTTTTAGTATTGTTTCTTTCATTACTATAGTGTCTATTTCTTTTTTTTTTTTTTGAGACAGAGTCTTGCTCGGTCGCCCAGGCTGGAGTGCAGTGGCACAATCTCGGCTCACTGCAAGCTCTGCCTCCCCGGTTCACGCCATTCTCCTGCCTCAGCCTCCCGAATAGCTGGGACTACAGGCGCCCGCCACCATGCCCGGCTAATTTTTTGTATTTTTAGTAGAGACGGGGTTTCACCGTGTTAGCCAGGATGGTCTTGATCTCCTGACCTCGTGATCCGCCCGCCTCGGCCTCCCAAAGTGCTGGGATTACAGGCGTGAGCCACTGCACCCGGCCTATAGTGTCTATGTCTTATTGTACACTTTCTTTTCACTGATTTTCATATCTTATTTTTCTTTTTTCTCTCTCTTCATTCTTTTTCTCTTTCTACTGCTCCCCCTCAATTTCTATTCCCTCTCTATTCATATTGTCTTATTTTATTAAATGTTTTATATTCTTTTAAAAATCATCTTTATATTTAAGTTCAAAACGTTTTATATTCTTTTTATATTTTATTTTATTTTTTGAGATGGAGTCTTGCTCTTGTCACCCAGGCTGGAGTGCAATGACGCGATCTCGGCTCACTGCAACCTGTGCCTCCTGGGTTCAAGCGATTCTGCTGCCTCAGCCTCCGGAGCAGCTGGAATTACAGGCGTGTGCCACCACGCCCGGCTAATTTTTGTATTTTTAGTAAAGACGGGGTTTCATCAAGTTGGCCAGGCTGATCTTGAACTCCTGACCTCAGGTTTATATTCTTTTTTAAATCCTCTTCTGTTAAACAATATTTCCGATTTTATTTTAACACTGCTTTTAATTATTTTTTTAATTTTTAGTATCGATAATTTAGAAAAATATTTAACAATTCAGGTATCATTTTAAAAAATATATTTTCCCTCCTTGATGTCTTTGCTTAATTTTTCTATTTTTTTAAACTCTTTGATATTTTAGACTGCCTTAAAGTAAAATCATTTTCCTTTTGTAAACATTGCTATTTTCATGTTGGTTTATTACTTTACTTTCTTCTTCCCAAACTTTCCTTTGTAGGATTTTACATAACATGCTGTAAATAAAATGTCATACTAATTTGTGTTCTCTTTCCTCTTTCACTGCATATCTGGATATTAATTTATAACCTTTCTCTCTTCTTCAAGTACTTTCTCTGACTCACTTATTGGTTGCTGTTTATTCTAAAAGTGTGTTCACAACTTTTCTATATTTTAGCCATCACCAATACTTATCTTTCAGTAATTTAATTATTTTTCTTTCTAATATTTCCTTTTTGATTTTCTTTTTATTGATACTAATTCTTCATCTTATTCCTTCTTTACCTACTTTTTCTCGCTTCCCTTTTTGTTGTTTATTGCATCTAATATATTTTTAATCTTCTTTCTATTTAATTCAATATACTTTGAATTTTCTATCTTACTAATCCTATTTTTCTTGTTTTGTGTATGTGTGTGCATAAACTTTATTGAGGTATAACTTATGTACAAAAGAGTCATTTTAAGTTATACAGTTTCATCATTTTGACACACACACACAACACACACACACAATGTCACAACCACCTCAACCAGAACATTTTCTTCTCCCCAAATTTCCCACATGTTCTTTTGCAATCAGTGCACCCACGACCTGGGCCTAGTCAACCAACGGCTCTAATTTCTATTACATTAGTTGTGACTCATAAGATTTATTATAAATGGAGTAATAGAGTAACTTTTCCTTTCTGTCTGGCTTCTTTCTTTCTGTTTTGTTTTGTGTTTTTGAGACACTCTTTCACGCAGGCTGGAATGCAGTGGCACGATCTCAGCTCATAGCAACCTCCACCTCCTGGGTTCAAGCGATTCTCCTGCCTTAGCCTCCTAAGTAGCTGGGGTTACAGGTGCGCACCATCATGCCTGGCTAATTTTTATATTTTTAGTAGAGATAGGGTTTCACTATGTTGGCCAGGCTGGTCTCGAACTCCTGACCTCAAATGATTCCCCCGCCTCGGTCTCCCTAAGTGCTGGGATTACAGGCGTGAGCCACCGCACCCAGCTGCTCCTTATTTTATAGGTATTATGTTGTTGTGATGTTGTGAGGTAAATTATATAGCCTAGATACAAGTTCATTGTCAGATATATGTATTACAGATATTTTCTACCAATTTTTGGCTGCCCTTTTTCATCTTATTAATGGTGTTTTTTGAAGAGCAGATTTTAATTTTAATGAAATTGCATTTAACATTTTTTATTGTTAGTGTTTTCTATGTCCTAAGAAAATTTTTCTTACCACAAGATTGTGAAGAGTTTTTTTTTTTTATTTTTTGAGACGGAGTCTCACTGTCGCCCAGGCCGGAGTACAGTGGCACGATCTTGGCTCACTGCAACTTCCATCTCCCTAGTTCAAACGATTCTCCTGCCTCAGCCACCCGAGAAGCTGGGACTACAGGTGCGCACCACCACACCTGGCTAATTTTTGTATTTTTAGTAGAGATGGGGTTTCACCATATTGGTCAGGCTGGTCTCGAACTCCTGGGCTCAAGCGATCTGCCTTCCTCTGCCTCCCAAAGTGCTGGGATTGCAGGCATGAGCAGACTGGATATTTTCAATTGTCCTATCTTCAAGCTCAATGGTTCCTTCTTTTGCATCCTCATATCTGCTGTTGAGCACCTCTAGTAAATTTTTAAACTATGATACTTTTCAACTCTATAATTTCTATTTGGTTCCATTTTAACATTCTATCTTTTTATTCTCTTTCTATGTTTATATTCTCTTTACTTGCTTATACACCATTCTTTTGGTTTCATTTTGTTCTTTGTTCATGGTTTCCTTTAGCTCTTTGAGCATATTTAAGACAGTTGATTTAAAGTCTTTATCTAGCAAACCCAATGTCTGGGCTTCCTCAGGGATAGTTTCTCTCCATTTCTTTTTTTCTCTGTGAATGAGCCACATATTTCTGTTTCTTTATGCCCTGTAGTTTTTTGTTGAAAAGTGGACATTTTGAATATTATAATCTGGAAACTCTGGATATCAGATGTTTTCTCCTCCACAGGGTTTACTATAGTTGATTTTTGATGTTTGAGGATTTCAGTCATCTCTTTCTTTAGTGAGTTTCGCAAACTATTTTTGCAAAGACTATATTGCTTGTCATGTGTTGTCACTGAAGTTCTGTTACCTTAGCAGTCAGCCAGTGACTTGACAAAGATTTTCATAAATACCTAGAGGGAGAAAAAACCCAACACTCTGGTCTTTTCAGATGGGCTCTGAGCTGGTGTACTCCTTATCTCTAAGCCAGGCCACCTGCAACTCTGCCTTAGCTATCATCTTCTGCTTGCACGGACTCCAAAGATCAATCAGGGGTACAAGCCAAAGGTACTCTTAGGACTTTCTGGAGCATGCATCTGGCCCTGGGCATGCAGGTTGCATTTCCACTTCCCTGGTGTCTAAGTCTGAGGTCTCCAGAGAAACAGAATCAATAGGATGTGTGTGCATGTGTACAGTAATCTGAATACTGCAGGGCAAGCTGGAGACCAAGTTTATAATATACCTTGCTGTAAGGAAACATAAAAAGTTATGTAATAACTAGATGGTAATTCAGTGTCAGGAGAAGGGCTGTTTATCTGTTAAATGAAAAAGACTTCATCAACCCTGTTGGCTAATTGGAAAGTAAATTGATTTAATACCTTATTACATTTGATCACTTTATCAACTTCAATTAAACCTTTACTACATTTGTAAAAATATTAAATATGCTTCCTAAGCAAAGAATGTTCTTCAGAACAAGCAAACTTAGCATTTAATGACAGAAATTACTCAGTAGTTAACCATATTCTATAAATACATTTCATTATTCATAAAATAACAGTGTGGTACAATTAGCACTCCGAAAAGTGGATTCATATTCATATATTGCTATTTATAGGTTATAAATATTACCTGTGTATAAAAAGTAAAAAATATTTCAAGTTATAAGTTTATAATTAAAATACAATACTAGAATTTGAAATAAAATTGTTTTTTATTACATGGGAAATTGTCTTTAAAATAGAACAGACTACTCCTGAAAAACGGGCTAGAACAAATGGTAAAAATGTGTATGCAAATCTCAACTGCCACGTAAACTTACTCTGTTCTCTAGATATTTGAACAATACATGGCATCCAGCCTCTGGAAATCCCACAAAAATGTAATGAATTCATGTATAGTTGAGTATTTGTCCCTCTTTCATGATAGATTTGTCCCTCGTTCATGATCATTTTCATGTCAAAACTGAAATTTCTTTCTAAGAATTCAGTGATTGCTAAACTTTCATATGTGGAATATATTTATGCTGCTGTTTAGGCTGTGCTGGCTTCAATCAAAAGATCCAAGAAAACCATGAATATTTTGTATTCAAGTGACACAACACTGGGAATCTTACCTGTCTTTCAAAGTGGCATTGGGCTCATGGGGAACTTATTGCTATTCATTACATATATGTACATCTTCTTATTTTGGCCCCATCAGAAGAACCCCTTAGATGTGATTCTCATGCACCTAACTTTGGCTAATGTTATAACAGTTATCATCAGGGGTGTTCCATATATAATGTCATCCTTCAGACTTAGAAGTACTTTTGTTGATACTGGTTGTAAAACAGGGCTATACATTTATAAAATGACATGGGGCATTTGTGTATGTACTTCTTCTCTCCTGAGTACATTTCAGGCTGTTATCATCTGTCCTTGTCATTCCAAGTGGGCATGGCTCAAACCTCAAATCTCCCCATAAATTTTCCCTTATTGATTTATTCCTAAACAACAGGCTAATCAATATGTGGGTCATTATAAGCACCGTAGCCACCAGCAAATCCACTAATGTTGGACTTGTATATTCTCTGATATACTGTAAAACAAGACTGTTTATATACTACCATGCAATGATATTTCAAAGTGCCATGTTTACTCAAGGTTTCCTCTTCTTGTTCCTCATGATTTGGACTAGTTTCTACATGGTGACTATTTTCTTAAGGCATCAAAAGACGGTCTTTCATATTCACAGTATCAGTCTGTCTCCACAATCTTTTCCTGAAACAGAAGCCAGTCATGTTTTCTTCTTGCTGGTGAGCCGCTTTGTTTTCTTTTATGGGACTAACGTGTGTCTTTCCACTTATATTAGCTCCATGTATGAGAACAGCCTAATCCTGGAGAACATTACTAGTTTTGTTTCATCTTCCTACCCAATTATCTGTACTTTGATATTGATTAATTATGATAATAAAGTTTCCAGATTAACCTGTGCCATTTTAAATATGATTATTTCCCCCTGCTTACCACACAGCTTTCTATTGCATCAAAGAAATCCTGATAAAAATTATTTTAACCACAAGAGAATGTGTTTTTAAACTTTCCTGAGTTTAGAAATTTAGTCCTTTGGCCTGGGAGGTCCAGGCTGCAATGAGCCAAGATCACGCCACTGAACTCCAGCCTGGGAGACAGCAAGACCCTGTCTGAAAAAAAAAAAGAAAAGAAAAAGAAAAGAAAAGAAAAAGAAAAAGAAATTTATTCATTTGGCTGTCATACTTGAAGAGAAACAATATATAATAAAATAAAAAATAAATTTAGTCCTGATTGCACCTAGGCAAAAATTTGAGAAAAAATAATCCATTGTGACTCAATCTATGAAAGTTTCTTCAAGCATAAATGTCCACATTGCAGATGAATACGTAAAGTGTAAAATACATACAGATTCTAAAAACATGAAAAGTTATATCAATGCAAATTCTAATGTAGTAAAAATAAAGAAATGTAAGGACATGGTAAAATTCAAATTCAAAGTAGTGGTTATCTTTAAGGGGTTTGGAAGAACATGTGAAAAGATTTGGGAATTTAGATGACTTCACCTTCATTTGTAATCTTTTATTTCCTGAATTGACTTATATGTTTATTAGTACTTCACATCTGTATATGTCCAAAATGCCCTGTAAATAAGTTTAAAATAAACAATATTTGCTCTTATTTCTATACTTTCTTGGTATATTTCTCAAATTTGTAAACCATTTATTTGCACAAATTTTGCATTGGGTTTATAGAGTTGATTAGATTCATGGATTCCCAAAAGATGCTTGGCATGGAACACAATTTATTTCTGTTTCTAAATAGACACATGGACATAAGATTGTGCAAATTTCAAAGGATTCAAATATAGGGAGATTACAGGATGGGAAGTTAGATACACCTCGTCATACTTCCTCTATTTTGTAATTTAGACACAACAACTGACCAGCATTAAAGTTAAAATAGAAATCATAAGACTAATGAAATGAACTCTTCGTATTAGCCGGGCGTGGTGGTGGACGCCTGTAATCCCAGCTACTCAGGAGGCTGAAGCAGGAGAATCGCTTGAACCCGGGAGATGGAGGTTGCAGTGAGCCGAGAACGTGCTACCGCGGCCTCAGCTACAGAGCAAGACTCTGTCTCGAAAGAAAGAAAGAAAGAGAGAGAGAGAGAGAGAGAGAGAGACTGTTTGTGGCAATATGATAGCAAATTATAAACAACACCTAAGGCCATGCCAGACAAGAGTTAAGTCACACACCCATACACTTAAAAAATAAACTGTATTCTAACTGCCACAAGGTTAATTTTTTTCCTTTTTCTCTAACAGCTAAGCAAACATTGGCTTCAAGATAAATAATACTTAAAAAAAGTTACAGCTCACCACCCATCAAACACTGACTAACTGACCCCTCCATTTCACAAGCCATAACTACAGCTTTGATTAGGCAACAGACTAGTTTCAGTAACTTCTCCTAATAAAAAGACCACCAACCACAGACTGGTTCTGGCCAGTTTACAAAGGCTACTTCATGTCCCTGCTTTACCTCCGTGTCCCTGCTTCACCTTTTGACATATAGGGGCTAATTGTAATTTTTTAAATATCAAGTCTCAACCCCATAGTAACATAGTAAACATAAGTGACATGTAACTTACATGTTTACTTATCATGTATATGCACATTCCCCCTTTGAAAATATTCATAACTCCTCCTATAACCTGTTAAATATGTATGTTTAGCAAACCTGTTCAGCATAAAACTCCTGCCCAACCCCTCCTCCCTCAAAGTGTCTCCTTCTGGCTTTGGCTGGAAGCTACACTTTCCAACCTGTCAGTATAGCCAGCTTACAGGCTGTAACTATTTTTAAAAAGTAAAGTATTCTTTCCAAATTTATACATCTCATGATTTTTCAGTTGACAACAGTATAGTCTTGAATACATTTAAAAAAACAAAATGCTAAAAAAAAATAAACTTTTAAGGGCTTTTAGAAAGAACAGGAAACCATAATGTTCTAGGTCATAAAAGAAGAAAGCAAGAGAGTTAAAAGCAGAAAAATGAAATGGAAAACAAACATAAAGAAAATAAACAAAGCCAAGGGCTGGTTACTTGAAAATACTAACAAAATTGATAACTACCTAGCAAGTCTGATTAGGTATATTCTTATATATAAGAGTTCACATAAATTACTAATATCAGAAACAAAAAAAGGACATCACTATACATCCCTGCACACAGTAAAAAGTATATGAGAGAATATTATAAATAGGCTGGGCGTGGTGGCTCATGCCTATAAACCCAGCACTTTGGGAGGCTGAGGCAGGCGGATCACCTGAGGTCAGGGGTTTGAAACCATCCTGGCCAACATGGCGAAACCCCATCTCCATTAAAAATACAAAATTAGCCGGGCATGGTGGCTCACGCCTGTAATCCCACCTACTTGGGAGGCTGAGGCAGGAGAATTGCTTGAACCCGGGAGGCAGAGGTTGCGGTGAGCCGAGATCGTGCCATTGCACTCTAGCCTGTGCAACAAGAACGAAACTCTATCTCAAAAAAATAAATAAATAAAAATTAAAAAATAAAAAATAAATAAAAAAGGACATCACTATACATCCCTGCACACAGTAAAAAGTGTATGAGAGAATATTATAAATAATAACATGGCAATGCATTTGAAAATGTAGATGAAATGAAAAAATTCCTAGGAAGACACAGGTTATAAAAACTGATACAGGAAGTAATAGAAAATTTAAATAGTGCTATTAAACAAATGAATCAGTAATTTAAAAACCTTCTTACAGAGAACACTCCCAGCTTATACTGCTTCAAAGGTGAATTCTTCCAAATATTTATGAAACAAATAACATGAATCTTGCACAAACTCTCAAGCAATAGAGAGAAAGGAACACTTCCTAAAATATTTTGTAAGACAAGCATACTCTTGGGTATCAGACATATCTTATGTGCCACCTCTGATTCTCTTGCCATCTTACCTTGCAACTTGTTTTACCCCAATAGTCATGGCAATCAATTTCCTCTGAGTGCAGAAAACAACAGGACTTCACTGTTCACCTCTGTTGAACTTCTCGTCTTCTGCTATAAGGCTTCTCTGCTGCTGTTGAAACATGAGCTGCTGAGCGATCTTTGATATCTGCACATGCCCAACTTCTATATGTAGGGCTATTAATGCTCTATGGAGCAAAACTTTGATCAGTTGGATATAGTAGCTGACCAATAATTTTTTTTTTTTTTTGAGATGTGTCTTGCTCTGTCACCCAGGCTGGAATGCAGTGGCATGATCTTGGCTCACTGTAAGCTCTGCCTACCCAGTTCAAGCAATTCTCCTGCCTCAGCCTCCCAAGTAGCTAGGATTACAGGTGTGCACCACCATATCCAGCTAATCTTTGTATTTTTAGTAGAGATGGGTATCACTGTGTTAGCCAGGCTAGTCCTGAACTCCTGAGCTCAACTGATCCTCCCGCTTTGGCCTCCTAAAGTGCTGGGATTACAGGTATGAGCCACCATGTCCAGCCGTGACCAATAAATTTTTCCCACTTTCTTCCCCTAAATAGCCTTCCCTGAGATTACACTCCTTAATACATTAATAATACATTATAATTTGATTCAGTGGATGCTGTTTACATGAGTGTGTTCAGTTTGTGAAACTTCATCAAGGTTTACACTTACAGGTGGAGTTTTATGTGTGTATGTTATGCCTCGATAACATGTTTAAGATGATATTATTTGCAATATCTCCAAAAAACATTTTCAACCTAGAAATAACTCTTATAAAACTGTGCAGGACCTCTATTCAGAAAACAATAAAACGTTGCCAAAAGAATGTAAAGAATACCTAAATTATTCTAACGATATACTGTATTAATTGAATGCAAGAATAAAAGATTACAATTCTCCTTAAAATAAATTATAAAGTCTATGCAACTAAATTAAAAGACACTATTGTTGTGAAAATTGACAAGCTCATTCTGAACATTCTATAACCAGGCAAAGATCCAAGAATAGCCAAGACAACCTTGAAAAGCATAGAATGAGAGGATGTACACAGATAGATATCAAAGTTTATTATAATGCTATGATAATTAAGATAGTAGGCAATTTTCATAATGATATAAAAATAGAAGTGTAACTAAATACAGCATCCAGAAACAGAACCAAATATTTGTACACACAATTTATGAAAAAAAAACAATGTATAGTAGTGAGGGAATTGGTGGTCTTTTTAATATGTCATACTACATTCTTTGGATATCGAATGGGGAAAAATAAGTTTTGACCTATAAATTATATAAACAAAAGTTAATATTGATGGATTTTAAATGTAAATGTGAAAGGTGAAAGTATTTCACTCCTGTGTATAAATCTAACAAAATGAATACATATGTACACTGTGACATATACAAAAATGTTCCTGTTTTTTGATGTTTATTTGTAATAGCCCCCAAATAGAAACAGCATAAATGTCTATCAGCAATAGAATAAATTGGTTAGTAAAAATACAATGAACATTGTACTGCCATGAAAATGAAATTACTGCTACATTTAGTAACAATGATTAATTTACAGGCATACTTGAGTAAAAGAAAAATACAAAAGAGGGAAAACAATACGACTCCATTTACATAAGTTGTAAGGATAGGAAGAAGTGAACTCTGCTGTTAGAAGTTGGGATGGTTGTTACCTTAGAGGAAGAAGGCAAAAGTGACTGAAAGACAGCATAAAGGGAGTCTCTGAGGTGCTGGTAATATTTTATTTCTTGATCTAGATGGAGGTTACTCATAGGCTTCCTGTGTGAAAAGTCATTTACCTATACCCATATGATTTGTACTTTTATTAAAATATGTTCTAAATCAATTCTTTAAAGGTTTGTTTTAGACAATGAAGTGATAAAACATTAAAGAAACCTAAGAGACATGTAAAACAAATGTAAAAGGAAATGAGAACACAGATAAGCAGAGCACCACAACAACCAGTTGCTTATGCTTTTAGAGCTCTTGCTCATGGAGGCAAATTTGGGCTTATGCTTTGGCAGCTTCTAAATTGAGGAAAACCGAAGTCACTAGGACCTGCTGAAAATGGAGAACCACTCTACACGTCCTCAGTGTCATACATGCAGATTAATAATAATCTAGAGAGAAAACTCAACTATCATCCCTAGTGAACTGCCCGAAAAGTAGTCTTGTCACTTAGGAATGCACCAAGTAAAGAAAAGAAGTAGAAAATATCTTCATCTTGATAAATCAAAGCCACAAAGGTGACCTACAGTAGATCGGCATCCTGGAAGTGCATTTCCTGAATAGTCCAGGGAGCCTTAAGTTATAAACTTAACTTATTTGAGATTTGTATTGCTTATCAATTGCTGTAACAAATAACTCCAAATGTAGTGGTTTAAAACAACACATTTATTATCTTACTGTGTCTGTAACTTGAAAATCAAAGTGTTGTATTTGGGTAGTTCCAGCTTAGGGTTCCTCCTGGGGTTGCAATCAAGATGCCAGGCTAGGGCTCTAGTCATCGTAAGGCTTGACTGTGTCTGGAGGATCTTCTTCCAATCTCCCTAGTGGGTGTTGGCAGGAAGGCTCACTCCCTCCCCAAATAGGCTACTAAACAGGACTGCTGGTGACATAGTAACTGGCTTCCCTCTAGAGCTTATCTATCACTTACATTAGACACAAAGACCACCCCTGGTACATAGGGAACTACACCAGGGCAAGAATACCAGGAGGTAGAGATTATTGGGGGTCATCTTAGAGGCTGCCTACCAGATAGGACCTCTGTCCACCTATGACCCCAGTCTCTCTCACAAAATACACTCGTCACCTTCCAAAAGGGCCTAAGGGTTCCAGAATTTAGCATTTAAATCACATCCAAGTATGTATGAGACACTTCGGGTATGGTTTCTTAAGTATGCCCACTCAAATACATAGAGAGAAACCTTACTGCACAAACCAGAAAACGCCACTACATCTGTTTTGTTTTGTTTTTTGAGATGGAGTTTTGCTTTTGTTGCCCAGGCTGGAGTGTGGTAGCATGATCTCGGCTCACTGCAACCTGTGCCTCCCTGGTTCTAGCGATTCTCATGCCTCAGCCTACTGAGTGGCAAGGACTACAGGCATGCACCACCATACCTGGCTAATTTTGTATTTTTAGTAGAGACAGGGTTTCATGATGTTGGCCAGACTGGTCTCGAACTCCTGACCTCAAGTGATCCACCTGCCTCTGCCTCCCAAAATGCTGGAATTACCGGTGTAAGCCACTGCACTTGGTCTGCCACTACATTTGGGCAAGAGGTTGACCCCTTTACTCTCAAAGTAAAAGTCTGGTATTGTACCAACCAAGCCACATAGGTCCTAAGAAGATATGCTTATTCATATTGAGAAATGATTTTAGCACATATCACTAATGTTGACTGGTATTGTAAATGAATTATTGGACTCAGAAAAGACAGCTAAGGAGGTGGTTTGAATTCCATGGAGTCAATTCATTGAACAGAAGTGTATTCATGTACTCTGAACATTACTTGTATTCGCTAGTGAGCTGTTACCTGTTTGTTTTTCTTTCTTTTTTTTTTTTTTTTTTTTGCACTAAGTCTAAGAAATCAAACTGGTTTATATAGGATTAATGTAAATAGGATCAATACAACAGTCCTTACTCATTTACCTAAGATTTGTAAAAGGTAAGACTGAAGAGGTGGAACCAACTGATTGCCTTCAGCAAATAGTTATTGAACTTAACATTCGCACCCAAAAAAAGACTTTTCTGGTGACCAAGAAAAACAACAAAACTAATGACAAAGGCAGAGAGGTGGAGAGCAACTAGTTTAAAACAATAAAGTTATTATATGTTGTCAAATACTTATTAAAGCAAATAATTAATAAAGGAAGAGAATGTCCTGGCAATTAACAGAAGTAAATGTGGGTTTATACAACG